>NC_000012.12:102308612-102611643 GCF_000001405.40 Homo sapiens | reverse complement strand
GAGCCAGGTCCTTAGCCACTATTTTAAGCGGCTTCTAAGTTACCCCACTACATTATAATAATCGTTATACAGTTCTGTATAGCTAACAATAATCTAGGCTTTGTAAAGAAAAAAACTATGTCTATCTTGTTAATTCTTGGTATCCTTATTGCTTAGCGTAATTTATGGTACATAAATGACAATCAGTAACTATTTATTAACTGTGTGACATCAAAATACTATACTTTATTTCCCATCTTATCTGTATGTGTTGCCTCTATACTATGAATTTCTGTAAGTTAGATATCTTCAATTTTCATCCATCCATCTCTAGATTCAGAAGCCTAAAATATGGTAGCTTTTCAATAAATATTTCACAAATGTATGATGGTTAAATGAAGAGAAAACATGTAGTGTGGAGGTTAACATGTTTTATGGATCAAAAACAGTGCATAGACCCTACTTAGTGGAGCCAGGAACTCAATATCAGTGGTAAATAAATGAAGGTTAAATGCAGACAAATAAGGGCCAGGATTTCTGGACTCAATTCTCTATCAAAGGTTATAAAACTCACTAGTAAGTAGTCCAAAAAATTGAACATAAAATAATAATATACTATTTTTAGCCTACTAAATTATTGAATTGAAATTAACAATACAGAATTATTAATTTAGCAAGGATATAGTGAAATGATGCTAGCATTATCATGCTCATGAAGATTTAAATTGGTATATTTGTATTAAGTCATTAAAAATATTCATAGACTTGAAACCATAATTTCTTTTACAAGAGTCTATTCCTACAGAAATAATGAAAAATGTGAACAAAGATTTAGGTGCCTGCATTAGTTAAGAACTGCTTTAAAAAGTCAGAATCAGTTGAAACTATATAGACCTTAAGTTTTTGTTTAGTAAGACATGGAGACATGATCAATCACCATCTATATGCATAGAAAAAAAGCCTAAAAGAAAATATTTCAAAACATTAGCAGTGATTAGCTCTGGGTGATGGAATTACAAGTGATTTGAATTTTCATTTTTATACTTCACTGTATTTTTCAATTTTTCAACCATTGGCATGCATTATTCTTTAATCGGATGAAAACAATAAGTGTTACCCAAAAAACTGCAAACTAAGTTTGCAGCTGACCACAAGATCCATCATAAATAAACAAGCTGGAGTGAGCCATTTCAAGAAAACAGACGTAATAACTGACAGGGTGGTGGGAAAGCATGCAAGCCAAAGGCCCTTCTCCTTTAGCAAAGGAAAGATTATGTTGCTAAAGACACCCTGGGAAAAGAGTGCAGGCATCAAGGAACAAGAAGATCCAAGAATTGTTGGAAGGAGAACATATAGGTTTACATCTGCCTATTAAATATGTCTTGGAGGAAACTTTAAAGCAAACAAATCCAAGCTCTCCAGTGGTCTAAGTGAACTGCCAATCCACAGTCAGAGCCAATTCAAGCTTTGGATCCTTAACTTGAAGGCTCTTAGTGGGAAGGGAATTGGAGACCTAAAACCTTAATTCATAGCCCACACCTCTCCATGTGCACTTTGTTTGGCCTGCACTTTACTCAGGACCTGCTTGGTTGATACTTTCAGTCTGTTGACCTCCCTCCCCAAATCCCTGATCGTGTCTGGTCACCAGGACATTTGAGAGATTATGCAAGAGTTCTCTCTAGCTCTCCATCTAATTGTCCTGCAGGAAACGAACATTTTCATACATCAAAACCTCGTTCAAAAATAAAAGTGAGGATTTCATTTCTTCTTGAGTCTGTACTGCAATCTATGTCATGGACATACTGTACTTAGTTATATTGCAAGGACAATGTCTAATAATCCTCTTTATATTTCCATAGTGCCAACCCCAGTTGTGGGCAATATTTCATACAAGTGATAGAAGACTATCAATAAATATGGATTGATTGATTAATGTTTTTCCATTGATGCTTTTCCAGAGATGGAGTGGCAAATGCATTCGTTGCATTGAAGTTGCTGTTCCTCCTCTAATACTATATAATTGGATTTCAAAAATTGGTCACAGCACTTTTTCTGAAGTGCTGAAGAGATCCCCAAATAGTGCCCCAAGATGACATTACCAATGTATTGGCACGCAGGAGAACGTCTATTTGCCATCTATTCTTTTTTGTTTTTTTTAATACTTTAAGTTCTGGAATACATGTGTAGAACATGCAAGTTTGTTACATAGGTATACACGTGCCATGGTGGTCTGCTGCACCCATTAACCTGTCATCTACATTAGATATTTCTCCTAATACTATCCCTCCCCTAGCCCCCAATGCCCTGACAGGTGCCAGTGTGTGATGTTCCCCTCTCTGTGTCTGTGTGTTCTCATTGTTCAACTCCCACTTATGAGTGAGAACATGTGGTGTTTGGTTTTCTGTTCCTGTGTTAGTTTGCTGAGAATGATAGATTTCTGCTTCATCCATATCCCTGCAAAGGACATGAATGCATCCTTTTTTATGGCTGCATAGTATTCCATGGTGTATATGTGCCACATTTTCTTTATCCAGTCTATCATTGATGGGCATTTGGGTTGGCTCCAAGTCTTTGCTATTGTGAATAATGCTGCAATAAACATACATGTGCATGAGTCTTTATAGTAGAATGATTTATAATCATTTGGGTATATAGCCAGAAATGGGATTGCTGAGTTGAATGGTATGTCTGGCTCCAGATCCTTGAGGAATCACCACACTGTCTTCCACAATGGTTGAACTAATTTACACTCCCACCAACAGTGTAAAAGCATTCTTATTTCTCCACATCCCCTCCAGCATCTGTTTGCTGACTTTTTACTGATCACCATTCTAACTGGTGTGAGATGGTATCTCATTGTGGTTTTGATTTGCATTTCTCTAATGATCAGTGATGATGAGCTTTTTTCATATGTTTGTTGGCTGCATAAATGTATTCTTTTGAGAAGTGTCTGTTTATATCCTTTGCCCACTTTTTGATGGGGTTGTTTTTTTCTTGTAAATTTGTTTAAGTACCTTGTAGATTCTGAATATTAGCTCTTTGTCAGATGGATAGATTGCAAAAATTTTCTCCCATTCTGTAGGTTGCCTGTTCACTCTGATGAGAGTTTCTTTTGCTGTGCAGAAGCTCTTTAGTTTAATTAGATCCCACTTGTCAATTTTGGCTTTTGTTGCCTGCCTTACAAGAACTCCTGAAGGAAGCACTAAATATGGAAAGCAAAAACTGGTATGAGCCACTGCAAAAACATACCAAATTGTAAAGACAATCGATGCTATGAAGAAACTGCATCAACTAATGGGCAAAATAACCAGCTAGCATCATAATGACAGGATCAAATCCACACATAAAAATTTTTAACCCTAAATGTAAATGGGTTAAATGCCCCAATTAAAAGACACAGATTGGCAAATTGGATTAAGAGTCGAGATGCATTGGTTTGCTGTATTCAGGAGACCCATCTCACATGCAAAGACACACATAGGCTCAAAATAAAGGGAGGGAGGAAGATTTACCAAGCAAATGGAAAGCAAATAAAAGCAGGGGGTGCAATCCTAGTCTTTGATAAAACAGACTTTAAACCAACAAAGGTCAAAAAAGACAACGAAGGGCATTACATAATGGTAAAGGGATCAATGCAACAAGAAGAGCTAACCATCCTAGATATATATGCACCCAATACAGGAGCATCCGGATTCATAAAGCAAGTTCTTAGACACCTACAAAGAGACTTAGATTCCCACACAATAACAGTGGGAGATTTTAACACCCCACTGTCAATATTAGACAGATCAAGGACACAGAAAACTAAGAAGGATATTCAAGACTTGAAGTCAGCTCTGGACCAAGCAGACTTAATAGATATGTACAGAACTCTCCATCACAAATCAACAGAATATACACACTTCTCAGCACCACACATACTTATTCTAAAATCGACCACATAGTCGGAAGTAAAACACTCCTCAGCAAATGCAAAAGAATGGAAATCATAACAAACAGTCTATCAGACCAAGGTGCAATCAAATTAGAACTCAGGATTAAAAAACTCACTCAAAACTGCACAACTATTTGCAAACTGAAAAACCTGCTCCTTAATGACTACTGGGTGAATAACGAAATTAAGGTGGAAATAAATAAGTTCTTTGAAACCAGTGAGAACAAAGACACAACGTACCAGAATCTCTGGGACACAGCTAAAGCGGTGTTTAGAGGGAAATTTATAGCACTAAATGCCCACAGGAGTAAGCAGGAAAGATCTAAAATCGACACCCTAACATCACAATTAAAAGAACTAGAGAAGCAAGAGCAAACAAACTCAAAAGCTAGCAGAAGACACAAAATAACCAAGAGGAGAGCAGAACTGCAGGAGATAGAGACATGAAAAACCCTTCAAAAAATCAATGAATCCAGGAGCTGGTTTTTTTGAAAAGATTAACAAAATAGATAGACAGCTAGCCCGACTAATAAAGAAAAAAAGAGAGAAGAATCAAATAGACACAATACCAATGAAAAAGGGGATATCACCACCAACCCACAGAAATACAAAGTATCATCAGAGAATACTATAAACACCTCTACGCAAATAAATTAGAAAATCTAGAAGAAATGGATAAATTCCTGGACACATACACCCTCCCAAGACTAAACCAGGAAGAAGTTGAATCCATGAATAGACCAATAACGAGTAATGAAATTGAGGCAGTAATTAATAGCCTACCAACCAGAAAAAAGCCCAGGACCAGATGGATTCACAGCCAAATTCTACCAGAGGCACAAAGCGGAGCTGGTACCATTCCGTCTGAAACTATTCCAAACAACAGAAAAATAGGGACTCCTCCCTAACTCATTTTATGAGGCCAGCATCATCCTGATACCAAAACCTGGCAGAGACACAACAACAACAAAAAATTTCAGGCCAGTATCCCTGATGAAAATCGATGTGAAAATCCTCAACAAAATACTGGTAACCTGAATCCAGCAGAACATCAAAAAGCTTATCCACCATGATCAAGTCGACTTCATCCCTGGGATGCAAGGCTGGTTCAACATACACAAATCAATAAACATAATCCATCACATAAACAAAACCAATGACAAAAACCACATGATTATCTCAAAAGATTCAGAAAAGGCCTTTGATAAAATTCAACAAACCTTCATGCTAAAAACTCTCAATAAACTAGGTATTGATGGAACGTATATCAAAATAATAAGAGCTAATTATGACAAACCCACAGCCAATATCATACTGATTGGGCAAAAGCTGGAAGCATTCCCTTTGAAAACTGGCACAAGACAAGGATGCCCTCTCTCACCACTCCTATTTGACATAGCATTGGAAGTTCTGGCCAGGGCAATCAGGCAAGAGAAAGAAATAAAGAGTATTCAAATAGAAAGAGAGGAACTCAAATTGTCTCTGTTCACAGATGACATGATTGTATATTTAAAAAACCCCATTGTCTCAGCCTAAAATCTCCTTAAGCTGATAAACAACTTCAGCAAAGTCTCAGGATACAAAATCAATGTGCAAAAATCACAAGCATTCCTATACACCAATAGCAGACAAACAGAGAACCAAATCATGAGTGAATTCCCATTCACAATTGCTACTAAGAGAATAAAATACCTAGGAATACAACTAACAAGGCATATGAAGGACCTCTTCAAGGAGAACTACAAACCACTGCTCGAGGAAATCAGAGAGGACACAAGCAAATGGAAAAACATTCCATGCTCATGGATAGGAAGAATCAATATCATGAAAATGGCCATACTACCCAAAGTAATTTATAGATTCAATGTTATCCCCATGAAGTTATCATTGACTTTCTTCACAGAATTAGAAAAACTGCCTTAAATTTCGTATGGAACCAAAAAGAGCCCATATAGCCAAGACAATCCTAGGCAAAAAGAACAAAGCTGCAGGCATCATGCTACCTGACTTCAAACTACACTACAAGACTACAGTAACCAAAACAGCATGGTACTTGTACCAAAATAGATATATAGACAATCAGAACAGAACAGGGGCCTCAGAAATAGCGCCACACATCTACAACCCTCTGATCTTTGACAAACCTGACAAAATCAAGCAATGGGGAAAGGATTCCCTATTTAATAAATGGTGTTAGGAAAACTGGCTAGTCATATGCAGAAAACTGAAATTGGAACCCAACCTTACACCTTACATAAAAATTAACTCAAGATAGATTAAAGTCTTAAACATAACACCTAAAACCATAAAAGAAAACCCAGGCAATACCATTCAGGACATAGGGAAGGGCAAAGGCTTCATGACTAAAATACCAAAAGCAATGCCCTCCATTCTACAGAATAAAGTCCAAGCTTCTTAGGCCCCAACAGTCTCACCACAGCATTTCTGCCATTACAGGATCACATGCATCCCAAGCAATTGCTGCACTTTCATGCCTCTCAGTCCCCAAATCTAATCACTTGTTTTTCTTTTATGTATCTATCAGTTGGCTTTTAGTTCAGTTGTAGCATTTATTAACTCAAACTTGGAATCTTAGTATTATCCATAATAGCATCAGTCTTTGAGAGTCAAAATTCCTTTCTTTAGCATCAAAAACTTTCATGAATTTCTTCCTTACAGAAGGCAAGGACTGTGTCTGTCTTAGCCATTCGTGTAACTCTAGTACCCAACACAGTAGCTACCCACATGGTAGGTGCTTTTTGTTTTTGTTTTTGTTTTTTTGACAGAGTCTCACTCTGTCACCCAGGCTGGAGTGCAGTGGCACAATCTCAGCTCACTGCAACCTCCGCCCTCTGAGTTCAAGAGATTCTCCTGCCTCAGCCTCCCAAGTAGCTGGGATTATAGGTGTCTGCCACCATGCCCGGCTAATTTTTTGTATTTTTAGTAGAGACAGATTTCACCATCTTGGCCAGGCTGGTCTTGAACTCCTGACCTCGTGATCCATGGGCAAATTATATCCTTTAATTGATAAGTATATAATAACCAAATGTGATTATGAATTTGCATTTTCTCATGAATTTACATTTCAGAAATTACAACAACATCCATTATTTTTAAATAATGGTCAAGTTTAAAGTATAATAAACTTTCTCTTTAGGGGGGTTTCTGGTTATTAAAATATTTAATACAGTTAAGTATATATAAGTTATTCAGAGAATAACTACTGACATCCAAAGACTTCGAAGACAGTAAAAACTCAATACTAAAATTAGACCGAACATAATTCTCATTGTTATTATGATTCAGGAGGCACTTCATGACCAAGCAATACCCTAGGGCCATCATTATGCACCAATTGCTCTTCCCAGCAATAATTGTTAATAGAAATTTCTGGTAGTTAAATGCCAGATTAACAAGCTGTTCCTGCCTTTGGAGCCCATGTGTACACAGGCTCTGCCAGCCCCAAATTGAATGAAATATATATTGGTTCTACTGTTTTTAGAGTTTTCTCAGTAGAGTAATTCAAAATCCAATTGCATTTGGGGGGATTTCAATTGGTCTCCAACATGGCCAGTTTCTACACCTGCCTCCAAATAATATGTCATTGATCAAGCATATTATGTTGGCATTGGTTAGCAATCCCAGGCTCTACTTTTTGTGAATATGTGTGACCTTAAGAAAATCATTCAGCTTCTGTCTTGTGGAGTTTCCTTTTCTTTACATTTTAAGTTCTTTATTATCTCTATTATAATTATCATAATTACCACCATAATCTTTCCCTTGTGTTTTATAGAGATAATCATAGTGTCTACCTCATAGTGTTTTTGCACGGGCTACACATATTGACAATACTTCTCAGGTAATAGATGCTCAGATAGAACATAACCATTATTATTATTGTGATGTGGTTTATTCTCTGCCCATCATTGAATAGAACTCCTGACCAAAAAGCATCATCCCCTACCCACCCAGGAAGGCTTACTTATCCATTCAATTTATTGAGTGTTTATTTGAGTCTCCACTTGTGCTCCATTCTCTGAGTCAGGCATCAGAGAAAATAAAGATAAAAGAGACCTAGTGTCTACTCTAGAGGATCTCAGAGTCTAACAGGGGAAACAGACACACAACTCGACAGGTATAAAACAATGTGGTATGTGCATACCCACTGACAAAGATGAGGGATTTCTGGGGGAAATAATACCAATGCAGGGTCTTAACAATAAAAGAGAGAGCAGAGCAGGGTGCAGGAAGAAAATGATGAGCAGTCACTGGGAAGAAGATATTCCAGATAGAAGGAACACCTGAACAAAGACAGAAAGGCAAGAAAGAACATGAGTTTGCTTCAGAGTATGGGGACTTCATATGGTTTGAAATTGCTGAAATATAAAATACAATGTAAGAAGTGGCAAAGTATGGGAGTGGTCAGCAGGGGCTAGATCACAGACGAGCTTTTAGATAGTGAACCACTGAATGCTTTAAACACAGACCTGAAACAGAGAAGTGGCACTTTTCACTGCCTCACTGTCAGAGTTCCCCTGTTCATGAAAGGTTCTCTAGACAGGGTAAGATTGAACTATGGCAGTGGCCCAAGGCAGGAAGCATAGGAAACCGTTTGCTCTTGAACTAATGAGTGCCCAGTGGGAAGTCCTATGTAGTTGATTAGGTTTGGGTCAAAACTCCCAAGAATAGAGAATTTTAGAAATGTCCATTTGGATTGCCTCCCTATTTTCCAAGTTAAGCCCAAAAGCTGGACAGACAAATGAGCTTGTGTAGTGAGTTTCTAAATCTTTGAACAAGTCCAGAGGAGACCCCTTACTTCATGGAAGCTGTGTGTCCTGGCCTTAACCTGCCCATGTCGGTTGTGCTTACAGCCCACTAGAGCCTGCTCTGTGTTTAGGACATAATTAGTGGAAACTGAGGGGTCTGTGCTTACAGACTAACAAGGGTGTGCTCACAGGTGCCTCACAGGCCCATGACCCACTGCTTGTAGGCTTGTATTCCAAGAAGTTCAGCATTCCCACAGCTCAGCCAACTTTGGACATAAATGTCCCAAAATCAGCAAATAAATGCTGTATTGTGGCCAAGGCAACAGCAGCTGCTTCTGAGAATATAATGGGGTAAAGAAGGGACACAGAATGCTTTCCACAGGAAACAGGAATAAAATGAATTAAAACTCCAATGCTGGATTTTTATTGTTAAGAACCTTTTAAAAAAGATATAAACACCCTATGTTTATGCAAAGTAATGTGGAGAATTGGGTTCTTGATCTAGATAGTTTCAAACAAAAATATTTTTAACACATTCATCTAAAATATTTGGATCATTGAGGGAAACATCATTTATTGTTTGAGTTATCTGGAATTCCCCACTTCACTGGATTGTATAGACACAGTTCTGAATTATATTTGTCCCAAAAGAAAATACCAGAAATTCTGAATTGAGAAAAAGGGCTGACATTTGAGGGAGGAATGGGCCTCCTCAAAGCAGTCCAAAAAATTTTTAATAGCTTCAGAAAAATCAACAAGAAAGAAAAGGGTGTTGTAAAATGCTTTTAACTTTTTCTCTTGTTCTCAAGCCTGCACAGAGCCCCTCTTCACCACAGAGTAGAAACATGCTCCTTCAAACTCAAAGCAGCCTACCTGAATGATCACATTTAAATCCCATTTAATCTGGAAGAATATGAGCAAACATCTGCCAACACATCAATAATGAATTTGGTCACTTGGGTCTAGGGCAAGAAAGTCATCCAAGATCGAAAAGGATGCAGTCTTTGAAGGTGGCCATAACAGGGTTCGTCACAGTGTGTGACGGATCTCAGATGCATTTCTCTTGAAGAAGCCAGAGTACAAATGAATTTGAATTTTTAGAGAACAGATAATCCAATGACTGAATCTCGAAGATTGTAAGAATGAACGCCAGGATGTTAATCATTCTCCTCCTTGTCCTCAGTGCCCTGGGCCATCTGTCCACCTAAATATTTAAATAAGATTTCAAAGCATCAACAACATGCATCATCTATCAACAGCTTCCAGGCACTGGAGAGGTATCATGATGGTCCAGATTATCTGGTTTTCTTAAGCCTTTTCAACATGTAAGATGCCTCAGTAATATACTCACTCACCTACACGAAAACATACACACCAGATGATACAGTTATAATTCTTTTGAAGCTTGTTTATGAATGATACCAAAGTATAACTATGTTTTTATCCACAGTCTATAGAGACAGCCAGATCTGGCCTTCAGATGCTTGACAATTCCACAGTTCTCTTCACACCAAACCTCAGTGCTATTAACTGGTAATGTATTTATCTCCTGTGGTCAAATTTCTCCAACCAAACTAAATTTCCTGGAAGGCAAAGATTGGGATTCTCCCTTTGCTTGTCTTTTTCATAGCAAAGTATTGGTTATGGGATGGGCTCAGTGAAAGTTGTATGTGAACTCAGAGGTACATTTAAAAGAAAAACACATGTTTTCTGGTTTATGGCTAATCCAATCAGACTTGTCAATTTAAAAAGATAAAAGACTTAATGATAGCTTTTGGAACCCAGGAGTTGGTATTTTGGGGGTAATTACACATCCTCAATGAAGAAGACACTTGGCTGGGTGTCACTGTAGCTCTGAGCCCTCCGTATAGCTCATACTATACTCCTAGGTCACTACAAAAAGACCTAAAACTCAGGGCTTAACTTCTAGGAAATAAGTGCAGGAACCTCAGTTATAAAGACCAATTTGTATTTTCTATCTGCCAGTTTTGGCACATTTCACCATGAGAACACAAGTTCTGAAATCCCCAAAGAGGCCCAGAAGATTACCAAGCTAATCAACAAAGCAGAACTGGCTTTGGTGCATATAAAGGGATTCATCCCAGGGAATTTTGCAAAACTTGAATATATGGAGTACGTAGCCCTAGTGATTTCAAATAAGCCAAGGGAAACAAATGAGGCTTTATTTGGGGTTATATAAAATGAGACCATGTTAGAGACACAAATCACAGGGGGGAAATGTTTCAAATCCAAGGAAAACCACAGCTAAACGTTCTCTGTCTGGACAGTTTGCCCTTCAAGAGATGTGAATTTACCCGAGGTCAAATAGAGACCAAGGTCAGAGGCAGGACCTGAAATAAAACCCTTAATTTTCAATTTGCTCCAAACCCAGGCTGAGTATTACACCCAAGGCTAAAATAAGCATTGTGTCAGAAATCTGTCAGCCTTGAGCAAAAGGAAATAAATTATTTGAAGTCATAGAAATCCCATTGTTAAACAATTTGGTTTTAGGCTACATTTAGGCACTTTGAAATGTGTAGAGGGTTCCACAGGGAAATAGCTTGCCAATTGGGCAGTGATATTGAGAAATGCTCAAATGCCCTGTGTACCCCTATGTCATATACAAAGTGCTTTCACATGCACTATATCATTTGATTTTCATAGTCACTTTGTAAAGTACACAGGACAGGAAAATATCTCAGCCTTTTATGGAGAATACTGGGGCCACAAGAGGTTAAGGAATTTTTAAACTCTAATGGCTAACAAGGGGTAGTACAAGACTCTGAGTCTGCTGCTGTTTATACCCATCATGTTTCAATAAATAAATGTATATTCTCTGCTCTCACTGATTGATGTGGGCCTCTGCATGCAAGATGGAAGGAATATAAAGGAAGAACTCTTGGTCTCAAGGAGCTGGTTGGGAAGACAGGGCTGATAACAAATACTGTTCTTCATCAAATTTAAGAAGCTCTTAAGTTATCAAAAGATCTATTTTTTTCCCAATGGTGTTAAAGTGCGAAAAAACATGGCTGATGGTGAATTGTAGGATGTCAAGAATTAAAGATGTGTCCCAATTTCAAAAAAGTTGAACGTGAAAAAGATTTAAAGATTTCCGTCTTAGAATCCAAGAACTAGGGTAATCCAAGACAATATTTTATAAATATAATATATTATATATATAATACTGTCTTAGATTATATATATAATATATAATAAACATAATATTGCCTTGGATTTTATATCTGAGAGGTATCAATGTCTCCTTTCAGTTGCAGAAACAGTCTACAGTGGAGCAAGGTGAACTAGTTAGTAAGTGGCCAGATTGGGGTTCAAACCCAACTCTATTGGCTTATAGAGTTTGATGAGCTGATGGGGTATGAATGAGACCGTGCTCTGTGGGTGAAATGTGTGACACCTTTTGAGGTGTCTCTGGTTGGAATTTCCTAAGGAATAGACAAGCCACCTTGGGTATGGTGTAAACCATAGCATAAGATACTCTTCAGGGGACTTTAGGACAGCAAATCTTCATGTTAATATGAAGCATGAACCCTGAAAAAAATAAAATAAGTACAGATTTCTGAGTAACTGAGAGGGAATTGGATTTAATACTGTGCCCAGACACCTTATAGATACTGGCCAAAGCTAGAAGTGACAAATGCTACCAAAGCATAGATAGAATTTTTCAAGACCTTGAAATTGCCCACATCAAATGAATCATGCTGATCTTGAAAAAAACTAACTCAGTCCTATGACCATGCTACTCAGAAGAATCTGTCCTCTCAGCAGCCACTTTGTTGAGTTGTAGAGGAAAGGGAATGGATTCTCTGTCTTTGTAAACAAAGAAAGCTTAGAGATAGCAGGAATAAGAGAAACACAAGTCTGATAAAACAGGAAGGAGATGAAGGGAGACCTTTTCAAGCCTAAAGACAATTGATCATTCAAATTACCCTGTAAATACATATTATCTGTAAAGGCACCTTTTACCGTACTGCCCCAAAGAATGCTCATTCCTTGGTCAAATAAGTTTGAGAAATTCTGAATGTTATATTCTTATCCTAAAGGCTCACAACTCAGATCAGCATATTAAAGACACTGATAAATCCGGCAGGATGGAGACCTGCTTCACTTTAATAGCATTTAGGTTGGCAGAATTGAAATTCAACCCTGGTCTATCTTTGAAGCTCATCTTCATAACCACTCTGCTGTACTCCTCTATTCTAAATGAATATTTTTCTCTTCAATTTTGAACAAGCTAAATTAAACATAAAAAGAGAAAGTAAAACACACATATCTATATGCCCAACACTAGAAATTAAGAAGCATCAACATTTTGTCATTTGTTTCTTATTTTTTACATAAAAAAAAATGGAACGAGAACATTCCAGAGTTGAAGAGTTACAAAATTGAATTCCCTTTTGTTCCCCTTCTCAGTCTCTCCCTTGCAAACACTATACTGAAATTGGTATATATTCTTAGAAGTGATGTTTTTCTATTTTATAACATACATGTTCGTAAGCAGTATCTAGCATTCCACTTTTTAAAAATGTTATATAAATACTATCATACTATATGTATCATTCTAAAATTACTTTTTTCATTCAATATAACATTTCTAAAGCTAATCTAACTATTATTTAAACTGTTAAGTGGCATTTTATCATATGAAGACAACAGAGTTGATTTATTTATTTTCTTACAGATGGACATTAAGTTACTTCCAACTTTGCTATTACCAAATAATAGTGTAATAAATATTCTTGTTCTTGTGTCCTTGTGCACTTCTAGGGAGATTCCCTAGGGTATATACCTAGAAGCAGAGTTTCAGGGTCATGGAGTTTGCATATTTCCAATCTTACAGGAGACTGCCAAATTACTCTCAACTGACCTTCTTGTCCTTATTCTATTTAGCCCACACAATCCCAAAACACAAGAGAAAAATAACAGAGTTTTGCAAAAAGAGTCAGCAAACTTGAGGTCCAAGCTCTAACTGTGACCTTAAGACAGTCACTGAAAATTTTTCCTTCTTAGTTTCCTCAGCTGGAAAATGGAGTTGATAATACTTTGCCGAACTTATTCCCTGGGCGTTAAAGGTGAAGACAAACAAAATTGAGACAGTGAATGTGCTTTGTAAACTAGGAGTGTTGAACCATGTTAATTATTTCTGTTAATAAATACACACACATAAATCAATCATTTTTTCAAATATCTGAGTGTCTACTGTTTAGCATGCATTAGTAACAATTTAGCTCTTACACAAAAGAAAATGTAGGTTAGTGACTATAGTTAATTTTTTTCAGTTTCTTAAGTGCCACGGTAGTAGTGATAGGGAAAGGAGGCAGGAAAATTCTGGGAAGAAGAGGGCAGGTCCCTGGCAAGTGCACCACCCTAAAGCCTGGAATCATGGCCCAAAGTGAGAACACACATTACTGTTTTCCCGCTTGAATGTTGCCACTTCCAAAACCACCCATGGCCCACCCTGCCCCTAATCCTGTGCCCATAAAACCCCCCAGGCTCAGCCAGCAGAAGAGGCAAAGAGGAGAAGCAGCAGGATGTCATAGACTATGGTTGGACATGGAGAGAAGCAGCTTGACTTCATAGGGTCATCTTGATGGCATTGCTTCAGAGAGGAGTCCAGCTGGGAATGGCTGGATTCTGGAGAAAGATGAACTTCCTGCTCTGTCCCCTTTCAGCTCCCCTTCCTGCTGAGTGCCACTTTAATCAGCAATAAAATCCCCCACATTTACTATCTGCAATTCGTTTATGCAACCTCATTCCTCCTGGATGCCGGACAAGAACTTGGGTATGGGAGCAAAATGCTGTTGCACTGACCTTCCACTGAGCTCTTAACACTTAAGCCATCCACAGACAGCAAAGCTAAAAGAGCGTTAAATATAACACTATTTCTGGAGCTTCAAGGGTTGCAGGTGCCCCCCTAGATGCTGCTGCAGGGCTGCATGGAGCTTTGCTCCTGCTGATGCCCAAAAGTGCTCGTCCTGGCTCCTGCACCCTCTCACCTGTGCCTCCCATCCTGTGAGGGTTGGAACATAGCAGGACCAAGTGAGTGGAGTCTGCCCCTGCTGGTACTAAAGCAGCCAGATAGTTCTAGTACTAATGCACTCCAGTTCCTGCCTGCAAAGGGGTCAGGGAAAATTTCCTGCTTCATTTTGAAGGATTGTCTGGAATACATCAGAAGGGTGAGTACATGCAAAAAGGTAGATCTCTCTCTTCCTGCCCTCAGACTTTCCTGTGAGCTATGCCACTTGCAGGGAACAGGATGCAACACTGCCATCTCTATCTTTTGGGTAAAAGGAACGTTGGCTCTGTTTCTCTCACAGAAGTCTTGCTGTCGCATAGGACCAGAATAAAGTCCTGAGGCAACTGAATGCATCTGGCCAAGGCCACTCCTCAGTGTTGCCAGAAGGCCCCCAAATCCAGTCCCCAACTGCCCATCAAGTCGTTGGACAAGAACTCCAGACTTTTCTATGGTATCTTTCCTTTCTTCTTTCACAGTTTGAAATGGCTCCTATCCTTTCATAATGTTAAGTGTTTTGCTGCAAACTGCAGAAATATTAAGTAGAATGAGCGTTGGCTCCAGCAATCAGATATGCAATTCAGAACAATCTGATTTCCATTTGTTCTTGGAGATGCCGTCCCCTCCCCAACCCCAACAGCTGCAGGCACACATGGCACGCAGTGGCTCCCATCTTCATGCCCTCCCCTCCCAGCTGGGGCACTTGGGCACATCTGCAGCATGCACATGCCACGCCCAATGGCCACAGGCGGTGGGAGAGAACCACCGCCGCCACCAGGGCTCCAGGGCAGTCTTGGGGGCCAGGGACCCCATGTGGCCAGCTGGCCAGAGTTTCCTGCTCACCACCCCCTCCTGCCAAGGGCGCATAGAGCCATCCCTCCCCTGACCAAGGAGTTCAGCTTGGTCTGAACTGGGGGAGGGATGCAGTGATTAAAGGAACCAATTTGCATAGGGCAAGGGGTTCTTCTCCTTAAGCTGTTTTTTTCCTCTTTCCTTTTCTATGCAAGAGGGTTCTTTTGCTACCTCAGCACTCTGCTTATAATAGGGAGGCAACAGAGGAATAACCTCCACCAGCTAACGACTGCAAAATTGGCAAGGGCCATCTAGGGCCTAATCCAAATGAATCCATGCCACTCCTGAGATACCATTTTTGTCCCAAACTCAATTCCAAACTTTGGGTTGAAGCCTTAGAAAGGAAAACCAGATCTGAGGGATACAAAGTGAGGCAACAGGCACCGTATAAATGCGCAGGACCAATTCCTGCAAGTTAAGCTCCTGCTTCATGGAAGGAGGCCATGTGCCATGGCACAGATAAGGCCCAGGGAACTCAAACATTGCCGACAGTAGGGGGGATGGAGGCGTGGGTGAGTGCAGACAATTTGTAGTCTCTAGGCCTTCCTTGCTTCATGGGCGCAGGTCGCAATGGCACCCGTGGGTGGCGTCCGTGTAAGGTTGCCAGATCTTGGGGATAACAAAACAGAAAAGGGGGATGCCCGCTTTCTCTCTCCCTCACACCCTGAGTTTTCACTGAAAGAAGGAAGGAAAATGAGGGAAGCCTATTTCCCTGTCTTTCAGAATGGACAACCAGCTATCTTCACCATCCTCAGTCTATACTCCTCTGGAGTGTATCCCGAATCACTGGGACTGCTTTGACCCTCAGACTCTGGAAGAAAAATGCCTCATAGCCCTCTGCACAAAGATTTGGCCAAACTATAATCTGCAGGAAGGACTGGCTTGGCCTCAGGAAGGAATCATTCATTTCGATACCATCCTGCAGTTGGACCTTTTCTGTAAACATGAAGGCAAATAGTCTGAGGCCCCATATGTGCAGGCTTTCGAGACCTTGCAGGGCAAGTACCTTGCCAACAGTGTAGGATTGATCCAGCCCTCCTACTTGCCCTCTCAGGAGAGGCTGCTAGGGGCAATCCCAGGGAACTAAAGAAATAAACCCCAGAGGCACCTCCAGCAGGGGAGCCAGTTCCCTCCAGCCCTGCTCCTCTGGGCCTACCCTGTTCTCCCTTTCCAGCTTCTCTCTCACTTGCTCCCTCCTAGAAATCCTTACCCTAGACAAGCCCCAGTCTCACTCTTGCCCCTCCAACAAATACCTGGTGAATTTGGCCCCAGTAAGGTCCAGGTCCCCTTCTCTCTGCAGGACTTAAGGCAAATTAAGGGGGATCTTAGCAAGTTTTCAGATGACCCTGACAGACATATAAAGGCTTTCCAGAATTTAACCCAAGTATTTGTGTTTTTGTTGTTGTTGTTATTGTTGTTGCTGTTGCTGTTTTGAGATGGAGCCTCGCTCCGTTGCCCAGGCTGGAGTGCAGTGGCGTGATCTTGGCTCACTGCAACCTCCAAGGTTCAAGCAATTCTCCTGCCTCAGCCTCCTGAGTAGCTGGGATTACAGACACCCACCACCATGCCTGGCTAATTTTTTATACTTTTAGCAGAGACAGGTTTTCACCATGTTGGCCAGGCTGGTCTCTAACTACTGACCTCAGGTGATCTGCCCACCTTGGCCTCCGAAAATGCTGGGATTATGAGCATGAATTCCCGGCTGAACCCAGGTTATTTGAACTCTCCTGGAAAGATGTTATGTTACTTTTGAATCAAATCTTGACTAACTGAGAAGCAGGCCACTCTACAAGCAGCAGAGGGATTCGGGGATGAGCTTTGTATCACACATAGTGTCAGGGAAGGGGTTGAACTTTATCCAACTGGAAGAGAAGCAGTACCATTGGATGACCCTGGATAGGATCCCAGTGATGAGATGGGAGAATGAAAGAGGAGTTACTTTCAGGTGTGCATAATAGAGGGCTTACGCAGGATTAGAACTAAGCCTCTCAATTATACCAAGCTATCCAGGACAGTCCAGGGATTTGATGAGAATCCTACTGCCTTCCTGGAGAGGATAAGAGAGGCCTTCATAAGGCACACATCTCTATCTCCTGCTTCAGTTGAGGAACATCTAATCCTAAAAGATGAATGTATTACTCAGGAAGCCCCTGATATCAGGGGGAAGCTGCAGAAAAAGGCCCTGAGACCAGATAGTACTTTAGAGAACCTCCTCAAAGTGGTCACCACGGTCTTTTACAGTAGGTCACTGGAATAGATTCTTAAATTTATTATACCCAAATAAAGACCTGGGAAGTTGACAGAGTTATCGCCATCAACCCAGAAGAGCACCCAAAGTTCCAATGTAAATAGATGGGGGACATCAAGCTAAAAATCACAAAAGATAAGTTTTAATAATTAACCTTCCATGGATATCCTCCTTATAGTCTTGCCTATGCTTGCTGTTTTTACTTTTTTTCTGTTCTATATCATGGGGTACAATGTTGTTTTCAGAACGGTTAGTATATTTCACTTATTTCTGTAAACTTTGGCACTTGATTCTCTCCTTTTAGCTCCTCTTTGTATAACACACATTTGATCCATGCATACTTAACCTTGTAAAACTTGTTTCTTCTCACCGATAAGCCATCAAACTCTAAACAGGCAACTGGAGCCTTGGACGATGGCTCCCTTTTGCTAGGAACTCTTAGGTAGACCTCTGGAAGAAATCTGACTCCCATTCTCCCCAAAACAACGCCCTCTGGCAGCAGGAAGTAACTAACTTCCTGTATTCTAACTGCAGTTAGATGTGCCTCTTCAGAGGGGGGAAAAGACACGGACAGGAGGCAGGGAAATTCTGGGGAGAAGAGGGCAAATCCCCACCCTCAAGCCTGGAATGGTGGCCAAAAGTGAGAACATGCATTCCTGTTTTCCAGCTCTAATGTTGCCTTTTCCAAAATCACCTATGGCCCTCCCAGCCCCCCATCCTGTGCCTATAAAAACTCCAGGCTCAGCCACCAGAGAGAAGAGAAACAGCTGGACACTGGAGACTATGGTTGGACATCGGAGGGAAGTGGCTTGACTTCAGAGGGACAGCTTGATGGCATTGCTTTGGGGCCAGACTCCAGAGGAAGATTATCTTCCCACTTCATTTCCTTTTCAGCTCCCCTTCCTACTGAGAGCCACTTTCATTGGCAATAAAATCCTCCACATTTACCATCTCCAATTTGTTCATGCAACCTCATTCCTCCTGGATGTTGGACAAGAACTCGGGTGCAGGTGCAAAAGGCTGTCACACTGACCCTCCACTGAACTGTGAACACTTAAGCCATCTACAGATGGTAAAGCTAAAAGAGCGCTGACTGTAACACTCTTTCTGGGGCTTCAGGGGTCTCCAGAATCCCCCTAGACACTGCCATGGAGCCACACAGAGTTTTGCTCCTGCCAGTGCCCAAAAGTGCTAGCCCCAGCTCCAGTTCACCTGTTCTCCCCCTTCCTGTGAGGGGTGGAGCACAGCAGGACCAAATGAGTGGTGTCCATCCCTACCAGCACTGAAGGGGCTGCTGGCTATTTCTAGTGCCCGGGCACTCGAGTTTCACCCATGAAGAGGTCAGAGAAAATTTTCTGCTTCAGTAGGTGCTTTATCACAAACTTCTCATTGTTTATAATTCTAAAATTCACTTGTCAATTGATTGGTTGAAATTCAAAACAAATTTTCTTTTTTGTGTTATTTATGTATTATTGTTACATAATAATTGTACATGTGACTTTGTCCATTAAACAACTATGACGAAATAAGCCAACAACTGAAGAACAAAAGGAAGAATGAAATAATCTTCATTGTGAACAATAAAAATCATTCTACAAAGCAAGCTTAAGCATGGCTTATGATTCTCTTAAGTTGTTTCTAAAGATGTACCACTTTTGAATTTCTTGGGGTTTGCAAACTCAAACTAATAAGACAAAACAAAACAAAAAACCAAGGCACTTGTAATCTATCCTTTGATTTTGAAGGAGGTTGATAGAGTAGGATAAATAATTCTTTCACAAAGATATTTCACTGATAACGTGTTCATGTATTTATTCAAATTGAATCTGTTTTCTGAAAACAGCTTTATTATCTCCTAGTGTTAGTATCTCACTCTGCTTTTAATTACACATAACTGAGTAGTATTCACCATCATTTGCCAGCCAACCAACACAGCACTATGTTCTTCAAAGAACAATGCATGCTCTGATTATCTTTACACTGAATTGTTCACCTGATAAAAAATGAAAATATATACCTGTAACTTTTTGTGAGTTTCCTGTTTCTATTTCTGCTCTGAAGAAAGTGGCATGAGTTAACTAATAAATTGGCAACCCCACTAGCTCAAAAGCACTCCCCTGGGGAAATACGTGTTAAATTAGCATTGCTGATCAATGCTTTCAAGAAGACTATACAATTATAGCCAGATAAACACATTTCACATACAATTTGAGGATTAATATTAGTCCCTAACAACCTAGAAACCAAGATCATAATTACAGACTGCCATTTACCCTCATTGTCCAGGTAACTGGCCCTCAATATATGACCAGTTTGAAACCTGGGAGTCTTGAGAGAAAGCATCGGGTCTGCTGCAAAACAAATTTTTCGAAAGAACACTGATTAGGTGATCTGTATCCAAGCTTGTCTGTAAATATTTTAAGGGCAAACGGAACCAACATATACAGAGTACAAGGTATATGTAATAGAAGATATGCTAAATAATTTTGCACATATTATGTAACATATTCTCCCTAACAATCCTGTGATATAGTCTTAATAACCCCATCTCACAAATAGGGAGCTTAACTTAAGGTCCAGAGAAGTCAATTAAACTGCCTGAGATCACACAACTAGAAAACAATTGAGTCAAAATTTGGACCCAGGACTGGTGCTACACAGAAGTGCAGTGGTACTTCACCATTTACAACACCAAGTCTATATGAAAGTAAATGCCAGTGAGTGGCAAGAAAAGGTGTGATAGCTCTGAGAATGTGTGTGCCCCTGGCCAGAGCCACTTCAATCTTCCAGTAACTCATGAGCAGTAAATGTGGCAACTCAAGTATTAGTTCTCTGTCCAGCAAGCATTAGCAGAGAAGAAGGAACTACAAAAAGAAAACATGTTTCTTAGGGATTACAGACAGAACTGTTTTCCAAGCCTGTCAGAGCAGAGTGACCATCCTGTAATGACTAACATCTGTATAGCTCTCCATGGCTTACATACGGAAGGTATCTGTAAAATGTAGAAAGATGAAAGAGAATTTTGATGTATGATAGTTGGGATCTTAGAGACTTTCTCATCTTTTGTTGTTGTTGTTGTTCAAATAAGTGCTCATAAATCAGAGAGTATGTCTACACTATATATATATATTACTATGAACATGAAGGTATGAGAGAACTATTGAAACTAAACATGAAATCAAGTAAACCTCTTCAAGGACAAAATTTCTTTCTATCAAACCCCATTAAAATTGTATGTGAAGCTGCAGTAACCAATTGGTACAAATAATATAAAGAAAATTCCCATTCACATCAACAACAAAAACTAAAAGAAAATTATAGATCAAATTTCACTTAGAACATAGTCTGGTTTTGATATCATTGTTAAGCTGGCCTTACAAAATATGTTGGCTGGCTTCCCATCTTTTTTTATTGTTTGGAACAATTTGAATAAGATGGGAATTATCTATTCCGTAAGGTTTTGCTGGAATTCACCCATAAAGTCATCCAGGCCTTGTGCCTTTTCTTAGGAAATATTTCTGGCTTCTGTTTCAATTTCTTTTAGTTTATTGGCCTATGGTGTTGGGCTCATTTTGACAACTTATATTTTCCTAAAATATTCTGATCATTTAGTTTCTCTATGGTTAACTTTTAGTTTTATGTTACTGCATACAGTGAACATGGTTTATATAATGTCAGTCTTGATGAGGCCTTCCTTCGTGGCATGGTATATAACCATCTTTTGCACCTGTTCCTTGTCTCTTTGACTAAAAGCTGTATTATTCCTGTTTATTGAATTTAAAGTCCTTTAGTTGGTATTTGATCCTATATACTTCAGTGTTGATAGTTTTACATTTATTCTTATTATCTTAATTTATGTTTTTCTCTTGCCATATTATTGCTTTACTGCCCTTGAGCATTTGGATACACTGTGCACATTTTTTGTTCTATTTTCCCTCTACTGCTTTAAAGTTATACATTCTGTTTCTCTTTCCAAAATAATGTAGAATTAGTCAGCATTTCTATTCACCCCCAGCCCAAATATGACAAGAAGCTTAGCATGTAGTTACTGCTTTTAGCTAACCCACACATTCCCAAACTCTCAATGTAGCCTTAGTTACAACTTAATAATTTTGTGAAATGGGGTTTTTAAAATACAGTTAGTATTTATAGCGTTTCCTTTGTTCATCATTGATTCTTATATTCTACTATATTCTTAGATTCATTTTTCTTCTGGTTAGACTATATTATCTAGTACTAATAGTTTTCCTCCTCCTCCTGAGAGGGTCCTTGATTGGTAAAGTTTGTGTGATCTTGTTTGTTTGAAAATGTCTTTACTTTATGCTTACACTTGAATGAAAGTTTGCCTGATTATTAAATTCCAGATTTAATGGCAGTTTTTCCTCAAGTATTCTGAAAATATTTTCTATCATATTCTTGTTTCTAATATTGTTAGTGAAAAAAAAAATTTAAACTGATACTCATTCCTTTGGAGATAATCTCATCATTTGCCCTTGTAGCTTTTAGGAATCAATTTTCTACTTTTTCTATTCTAAAGGTGTATGACAGTCTAAGGGTTGTTTTGTTTGTTTGTTTATATGAGATTTTATTTGCTGGACTCTTTAAATATTCTCTCTCCTCTATTTTAACTATTCTGTCTTTATGATTCTTCTATTAGGTGAGTACTGGAACTTTTGGATCGAGTTTCCATGTCTCTTAGCTTTTCTTTCTTCCTTTCTACCTCTTTTTTATTAATATTTCATGTGGTGTTTTGAAAAAAAATTCTGTGTTTAGGTTTTTGACTCAGTGGTTTGCTCTTCAACTCTATCCAGTACAGTATGTTGTTTACCATACCTAATGAATTTTTATACACAAGCACATATGTACATACACACATGGATGTACACACATATATATATACACGTACATACATACATATTTCATCCCAGGTTGTTAATAAGTTATTATTTGTTTGTTTACATTCACCTGTTCCTGTTTTATGAGCTACTGTTCTGATTTCAATAATTTTTGTTTTACCCCTTTAAGGATATTAAATTCCTAAAGTCCTTTTCTCTCTTCTCTCTTTCTCTCTCTCTCTCTCTCTCTCTATATATATATATATTTTTTTTTTAATTTTTATTTTTTGAGATGGAATCTCACTATGTTGCTCAGGCTGGAATGCAGTGGCACGATCTCGGCTCACCACAACCTCCACCTCCCAGGTTCAAGTGATTCTCCTGCCTCAGCCTCCCAAGAAGCTGGGACTACAGGCGCATGCCACCATGCCTGGCTAGTTTTTGTATTTTTAGTAGAGACAGGGTTTCACTATGTTGGCCAGGCTGGTCTCCAACTCCTGACCTCATGATCCACCCGCCTCAGCCTCCCAAAGTGCTGGGATTACAGGCATGAGCCACTGCTCCTAACCTATATTATATATTTTTAAAACTTTTACAGTTCAATTTCATGATGAAGGCTTTTATAGAAACATTAACAAAATGCAGGAATCTGCTACATTTCTTTTTTAGTATAATTCAATAGCTTAATTATTATTTTATTTTTTAAACTTCGTGATCCCTTAACAATCTTTAAATCGTGACACTAACCAACTATCTTTACTTATGGTTCAATTACTGTTTCCTTTCCTATTACTTTTCTAATTTATTTATTCTATAAAAACAGCAAAGGTTTAATGATAACAGGAAGATGTTTTGCTTTATAGTACCAGATGCTTAAAAACCTGGATACTGTTAACTTTCATGTGACTTTCATTTTTGCATTTTCTTTTGTAAAAGCCAAAGTTGTATTTGTTCTTTTCAGAGTTGCCCAGCTCTTTTTCCTTTGTCCAAAATGGTTCTAAATAGAATATAATAAATCAGTGTAGAATCAATTTTATTCTAAATGAAACCCAAAAAAGAAAAGTGCCTTGCATCATTAAGAAAAAAAAAATCCTCAGTACCTCTAAATTAGTATGTAGAACAGTAAAAAGTTAAGATTTTCTGTAATTCATTTTTATTTTTATTTTTATTATTATCTTATTATTATTATTATTTTTTTTTTGAGATGGAGTCTCACTCTTATTGTCCAGGCTGGAGTTCAATGGTGCGATCTTGGCTCACCGCAAACTCCGCCTCCTGGGTTCAAGCGATTCTCCTGCCTCAGCCTGCCGAGTAGCTGGGATTACGGGCATCCACCACCACGCCCAGCTAATTTTTTGTATTTTTAGTAGAGACAGGGTTTCTCCATGTTGGTCAGGCTGGTCTCAAACTCCCGACCTCAGGTGATCCTCCAGCTTCTGCCTCCCAAAGTGCTGGGATTACAAGCATGAGACACTGCACCCGGCTCTTTTCTTTTTAAATCATAAATTAGTTTAAACTGAAAGTATGAGGCTTCCCAATACCTTAGCAAATTATTTGAAGTTTGAAATATTTACTCTTTCATTTTATGTTGCCTTATGATTCTGCGAGATTGTTCCAGCAGAGACAGAAGCTTTTCTTTGAAGATGCATTTATTGGGGAAAGTCATTTGCAGGATTCTACTGTATTTTAAATTAGTATTTAAATCGGTTATTTACATTCGCTTAACCCAAATTTCTCCCCAAATTTGCTTTAGCAAAGTGACTTTATGGGTCATTGTTTCTCCATGTTATTATTTATATGTGTAAAAACTGGTCTAAGAAAAATATTTTTGCCATTTTTACTAATGAAATGAGGGAAGAGAGGAGTGTTTTTAGCTTTCTATAGTTATGACTTTAGGGTAATAGAAACAAAACTTCTTTGCATCTCACTTTTCTCAGTCCTCTCTTGAGGTGCTTTACTGATGGGAATGATTTCTATATGTTCCCTTGGCTCCAAGAGGTCCTATTGCACCAACTTACTTTCTTTGCTTTCCTCTCTATAATGTAATGATACAGTACTTTTTTTTTTTTTTTTAAGATAGAGTCTGGCTCTGTCACTCAGACTGGAGTGCAGTAGTGTGATCTGGGATCACTGCAACTTCCACCTCCCAGGCTCAAGCATGACTCCTGCCTCAGCTTCCTGAGTAGCTAGGACTAGAGGCACATAGCACCAATACCCTTGGCTAATTTTTGCATTTTTACTAGAAACGGTGTTTCACCACGTTGCCCAGGCTGGTCTGGAACTCCTGAGCTCAAGTGATCTGCCCACGTTGGCATCCCAAAATGCTGGGATTACAGGCATGAGCTGCCGCACCTGACAGTAAAAGCTATTTTATCCAGCGGGAGAGTGGAAAAGTTGTTGTTGATTAAGAGTTAATTCCTGTTGATCAAGATTGTGTCCTCTTCTGATTTTCTTTCCATTCTCCTGTCTTACCACCCTGAAAACAGCTATTTTTAATCCCATAGTGGTCTAGTATTCTGTTGTGTGATTAGGTCACTTGGTGTACAGTGGTCTAGTGGAGTCAAGATTCGCATTGGGTGTTCAAAAATTCCAGCTGGTAAAGTACCAATAACATAGTTTTCCTGTATATAGATCACTATAGGATAGGTCAGCAAAGATCTCTATTGCAATCTAATAATAATCTATGCTGCTTCATTCAGCAGAAACTCTGCTTAAATGAATCTTCATACTAGTAAATTCGATTTTTTTAAATGAAGCAGTTAATATTTTTAAAAATTAGTTTCATAAACACACATATCCTGTCTAGCAGTCTGGCCAAAAATACAGATTTGGTTATTGGTATTAATTTATAGCTGGTAATTTGCCACTTTTTATAACCACTATAATTTTTATGTTGTCACTAAAGTGCCTGCTCAGTACTGTCTATTAAAGACAGACTCTCACAAACACTAGAAAAAGGAAATGTCCTCATCCTTAGTACAGTGTTAATGTAGACAAAATAAGAGGTTTATTCTTTCTGTCATATAAGAACATTGCAAGTTTGTTTTTTTCTTGAATCTTTTTGTCCACCTCATGTTAAGCCAGTTCTGGTACCACTTCCTATTCTTTCTTACTTCAATTTGGTTCCATTTCTATGATTTCTTTATTTTCACTGATGTTTTGTGATGGTTAAGTATAATAAATTTAACTAACTCTGATTTATTTTCTACAGTATTTGAATAACATACGAGTGACCACCCAGTCACTATTACATTAAATATGTAATTTGGGCACCAAATTTAAGGTGGAACTACACAAAAACAGACTTCATCGCTGTCCATTTTTAAAGTATGAAATTTAAATGTTGAAAATATTCAATCTGGAATGGCAGTATTCTTACCTTCTAATTTAAGTTAATTGGTTCATGTTAATTTCTTATCTATTTGATGTTTAAACAGCACTTTCTTCTACTTGTATCTACTCTAAGATGGAAATGTTATACCATGATAGCTTTTGCTACCAACTCTCAACCGCTTAACTTACAGAGAAGAATATTCATTTAGGGGGATTTTGTGCTTTATCTGAGCTCAGAAGTAATGCCAGAAAATGTTAAGCATGTACTTTTTAAGAACATATAAGGATTTTAATTGTCCTATTACCATGCTATTTCAAGTGAACTAGAAGTATTTCACAGTAGTCTTGAATTATAAGGTTGAGATGTATGTATCAGGACCTCAACTTAATGTAAAGTAAATGAGGAGGTTACCTGGCAGACTTTTTCTTTTTAACTTTTATTTTAGGTTCAGGAGCACATGTGTAGGTTTGTTAAATAGGTAAACTTGTGTCATGGGGGTTTGTTGTACAGATTATTTCATCACCCAGGTACTAAGCCTCTTACCCAGTAGTTATTTTTTCCTGGCAGATTTTTAAAAATAACTGGTTTAATCCATAATCCCATAACAAACATAGCTTCACTTCAATATTTACTTTATCTGTCCATTCAACAATGCTCCAACAAGAAGCCAAGAAGAAATTACTTAGAATTACTAAACAATTTTTTTATTGATTAGAAAAATTACTTTCTAGGGTCTTTGAAGCCTGGATATTTTTTGTCTTCCCTATCCATGGAAGCTAAAAAAAATCATGCAAAATATTCAGGTTTATATATTAACTCTCTCTTACAGGAAGTTGCCATACCTCACAGTTCAAAGTGTATTCTATAGATCAGCAATGTTAAACTGATATGTAATTGTAATTTGCTAGGTAGCAAAAATGATTCAAGAAGAAAAACAACCTACCATTTATTTACCTTTGTACAGGCGATTGCTTAAGTTACCCTGCTTTTAATATTTGCACTTGGATAAAATGCCTATTTATATATAGGAAAGTCACAGTGCAAGATGCTGCTAGCACAGGCACAAAGTATTAGAAACTATTTTGTGAAGATTAATGATTGTATTAAGTAACTGAACAAATAAGGTCCTTGTCTGATTGGTTCACCAATGCTATTTCCTATGATAAGTTTTCTACTTCTTGACCTTGCTGTGACCCTGTTGCAGTGTAGTTATTTCTCATGGGTTTACTGACGTTTGCTTGTGAGTTTATCTTCTGCAACAGAATTCTGATCCCTGTGTCTTGAGCTATAGTGTCTTCCCTATGGCTTATGGCTTTCCATTTTGGGTCCCTGCCTATACGTGGCTTGTTGTGAAGCAGTCCTAACTTACTTCTGGGATTTCCACTCTCCATTTTTGTCTATGGATTGGCCTTTGAATAAAGAAAAATTATCTTTCTGTTTCAAAATGTAATTTTTATTACTTCAGTATTTAAATATGTCCTTTATCTTATTTTCCTGGGCCTGGGCAAGAAGGAAAGATTTCAGTATGTGCTCATTCAATTTTATTTGTACTTCTAATTGTCATTGCCTTGTCTAGTTCAATATGATAGTATTCAGCAAGACAAGGTTCACAGTAGCTATATCTTTATTGTGTTTCAAAAATAATTTGTTATATGGAATGTTTTTTCTTAAATTTTGCTTTGAGATTGACATTCAAGTCTTTAATCCATCTTGAGTTAACTTTTGTACATGATGTAAGGAAGGGGTCCAGTTTCAACCTTCTGCATGTGGCTAGCCAGATAACTGGCTTCTCAGCACCGTTTATTGAATAGGGAATCCTTCCCCCATTGCTTGTGTTTGTCAGGTTTGTCCAAGATCAGATGGTTGAAGGTGTGTAGTCTTATTTCTCTTTTCTGTTCCATTGGTCTGTGTCTGTTTTTGTACCAGTACCATGCTGGTTTGGTTACTGTAGCCCTGTAGTACAGTTTGAAGTTGGGTAGTGTGACTTGCTTTGTTCTTTTTGCTTAGTATTGCCTTGGCTATTCAAGCACTTTTTGGTTCCATATGAATTTTAAAATAGTTTTTTCTAGTTCTGTGAAGAATCTCAGTGGTAGTTTAATAAAAATAGCATTGAATCTATAAATTGCTTTGAGCAGTATGGCCATTTTAATGATATTGATTCTTCCTATCCATGAGCATGGAATGGTTTTCCATTTGTTTGTGTCATCTCTGATTTCTTTGAGCAGTGGTTTGTAGTTCTCCTTGTAGAGATCTTTCATCTCCCTAATTAGATGTATTCCTAGGTATTATATTCTTTTTGTGACTATAGTGAATGGGAGTTGGTTCCTGATTTCGCTCTGGGCTTGACTGTTGTCGGTGTATAAGAATGCTAGTAATTTTTGTACACTGATTTTGTATCTGAGACTTTGCTGAAGGTGTTTATCAGCTTAAGAAGCTTTAGGCTGAGACTATATGGGATTTTCTAAACATAGGATCATGTTGTCTGCAGCCAGAGAGAGTTTGACTTCCTCTCTTCCTATTTGGATGCTCTTTATTTCTTTCTCTTGCCTGAGTGCCCTGGCTAGGACTTCCAATACTATGTTGAATAGGAGTGGTGAGAGAGGGCATTCCAGGTTTACAAGGGAATGCTTCCAGCTTTTGCCCATTCAGTATGATGTTAACTGTGGGTTTGTCATGTATGGCTCTTATTATTTGAGGTATATTCCTTCAATACCTAGTTTATTGAGAGTTTTTAACATGAATGGATGTTGAATTTTATCAAAAGCCTTTTCTTTCTGCATCTGTTGAGATAATCCTGTGTTTTTTGTCATTAGTTATGTTTATGTGATAAATCACACTTATTGATTTGCATATGTTGAAACAATTTTAAAGCCTGTTTGGTCATGATGGACAAGCTTTTTGATTTGCTGTTGGATTCAGTTTGCCAGTATTTTGTTGAGGATTTTTGCATCAACATGCATCATGGATGTTGGCCTCAAGTTTTCTTGTTACATCTCTGCCAGGTTTTGGCATCAGGATGATGCCGACCTGGGAGACAACCTAGACCAATACCATTCAGGACATAGGCACAGACAAAGATTTTATGACAAAGGTGCCAAAAGCAATTGCAACAAAAGCAAAAATTGACAGATGTGATCTAATTAAACTAAAGAGCTTCTGCACAGCAAAAGAAACAATCAACAGAGTAAACAGACAACCTACAAAATGGCAGAAAATTTTTGCCAACTATGCATCTGACAAAGGTCTAATATTCAGCATGTATATGGAACTTCAACATATTTACAAGAAAAAGTAAACAACCTCATTCAAAAGTGGACAAAGGACATGAACAGACACTTTTCAAAAGAATACACAAATGTAGCCAAGAATCATGTGAAAAAAGCTCAACATCACTGATCATTAAAGAAATGCAAATCAAAACTACAATGAGATACCATCTCACACCAGTCAGACTGGCTATTATTAAGTCAAAAAATAACAGATGCTGTCGAGGTTGTGGAGAAAAAGGAATGCTTTTACACCGTTGGTGGGAGTGTAAATTAGTTCAACCATTGTGGAAGACAGTATGGTGATTCCTCCAAGACCTACAGACAGAAACACCATTCAACCCAGCAATTCCATTACTGGGTATATACCCACAGGAATATGTCATTCTATTATAAATACACATGCATGCATAGTTAATCACAGCACTACTCACAAAAGCAAAGACATAGAATCAACCTAGGTGCCTATCAGTGGTGAACTGGATAAAGAAAATGTGGTACACATACACCATGGTATACTATGCAGCCATAAAAAAGAAAAAGATCATTTCCTTTGCAGGAACATGGATGGAGCTGGAAGCCATTATCCTTAGCAAACTAACACAGGAACAGAAAGCCAAATGCCACATGTTCTCATTTATAAATGGGAGCTAAAACAATGAGAACACATGGACACATAGAGGGAAACAACACATGCTGAAGCCTAGTGAAGGCGAGAGAGTGGGAGGAGGGAGAGGATGAGGAAACATAATTAATGGGTACTAGGCTTAATATCTGGGTGATGAAATAATATGTACAACTCTCATGACACAAGTTTATCTAAATAATAAACCTGCACATATACCTCTAAACTTAAAAGTTTTTTTACAAGGGAAAAAATTGCTTTGATGTTATTATTAAAATATCTGTTTTCTCATTGAATTCACAACATCTACCACCGTTCATAATTTTGCTTTTAAACTTTCAAGTTATGTTAAATAGATTCCATGGATGCTTTTAGTTAAAACTAACATCTACTAACATCTGTCATCTTGTACTATATTAGTACTATATTGTTTTGGAGCTTTCCTTTTACTGATTTTATAAATTGCTACTTGTAAGATTTTCAAAATTATTTTTTAAACCTCAGTGACTTTTATCTTGATTAGGAATCAGAAAGTATCTTCTTAATTCCCTAGTTTTCTCCCATCTGTCCCTCATTTTATGGTCTTTGTTGATGTAATCCTGGATTTTAAATCCAAATAATTTATAATAATACTGTTTATTTTGTTTTCAACTGAGAAAAAGATTGAAATCCTGTAACCATACTTATGGTAATTTGGTCTTTTCTACTTTCACTGGCTTCCATTCTTACACCCAAAACATTTATACTGCTACTTTACTAGGCTTGATCATTTTGTTTTGCTTCTATTTTCAGTAGGTTAAAGAATGACTTCAAATAAAAATTTTCAAGAAGGGTACATGATTAACCTATTTTCTCAGTTTATATGTGTCTGTTTTGTTTATCATTGCATCTAAAGTGCCTGACATCGAATAAGTATGGTTATATTTGTAGAGAAAAACTCAGTTCAATAATGTTTTAGTACTTTCCCAGGAGTTCGAGGTCAGTCTCAAACTCCTGACCTCAGGTGATCCACCCACCTTGGCCTACCAAAGTGCTTGGATTATATGTGTGAGCCACTGCACCCACATGAAAGAGTAAGATAATTTGGTTGCACATAAAATTCTTGGCTTCTAATTATTTTTTCTACCTCAAAACTCTGTAAACATTGAATTTATCAATATGAAGAAGACTGAGCCTAGATTTTTCTTACTATTATTTTTTCTGTCTGTATTTGTGTTAAATTTTTCTTTATCCTCTTACTCCAGAAATCTCGCCTGGATGAATGTAAATTTAATTCTCTTTTCACTGATTTTCTCTTGGAATGGGGTGAGCCCTTTATATCTTTAAATATCTCTCACTTCATTTCAGTTAAGATTGCTCTGTCTTATATTTTTAATTAATAATTTGATTCTATTTGTGCTGTTTTTCCTTTTTTTTTTTTTTTTTTTTGAGTGGAGTTTTGCTCTTGTTGCCCAGGCTGGAGTGCAATGGCGCAATCTCAGCTCACCGCAACCTCCACCTCCCAGGTTCAAGCAATTCGCCTGCCTCAGCCTCCCTAGTAGCTGGGATTACAGGCATGTGCCACCACGCCTGGCTAATTTTGTATTTTTAGTAGAGACAGAGTTTCTCCATGGTGGTCAGGCTGGTCTCGAACTCCCAACCTCAGGTGATCCACCCACCTCAGCCTCCCAAAGTGCTGAGATTACAGGAGTGAGCCACCGTGCCTGGCCTTTCTTTTTCTTTCTTTTTTTTTTAATTTTTATTATACTTTAAGTTCTAGGGTACATGTGCACAATGTGCAGGTTTGTTACATATGTATACATGTGCCATGTTGGTGTACTGCACGTATTAACTCGTCATTTACATTAGGTATATCTCCTAATGCTACCCTCCCCCCTCCCCACATCCCACAACAGTCCCCGGTGTGTGATGTTCCCCTTCCTGTGTCCAAGTGTTCTCACTGTTCAATTCCCACCTATGAGTGAGAACATGTGGTGTTTGGTTTTTTGTCCTTGCAATAATAGTTTGCTGAGAATGATGGTTTCCAGCTTCATCCCCGTCCCTACAGAGGACATGAACTCATCATTTTTTATGGCTGTATAGTATTCCATGGTGTATATATGCCACATTTTCTTAATCCAGTCTATCATTGTTGGACATTTGGGTTGGTTCCAAGTCTTTGCTATTGTGAATAGTGGCGCAATAAACATACGTGTGCATGTGTCTTTATAGCAGCATGATTTATAATCCTTTGGGTATATACCCAGTAATGGGATGGCTGGGTCAAATGGTATTTCTAGTTCTAGATCCCTTTTTAAGGAGAATGATTTATTTGTTTTTTTGGTTCTCTGTTGTCAGCCTCCATATCTTTCATCTTCTCTTTCTAGTTTTACATTTTTTTTATTTTTTTCCTCCCTGAATTCTAGAGCAGCTCGATTTATCTTTTACTCCACTTCTGGGGTTTTGTGCAGCACTAATCATGCTCTCTACTGCCTCCAATGTGAATTTCAACGTCTTTATCCTATCATTTCCTTTTTCATCTCATTCTATTTTCTTTTTTAATTTTTTTATCATATTCTATTTCATTCTATCTTATTAATTTCATATTGGTTCATTTTAATTGCTACCTGCTATTTCTAAAGAATTTTCTGTCATTTCCCTTTGTATGGTGCCAGTTAGCCAGTTTAAAGAATAATGAGGATGACCCCCTAGGGCAGTGCTACTCAAAATGTGGTCTACGGACAGGTACTATCTATAAACTACTTGTTACTGGTCAATGATAAGTATGCTTACTTCTAAACTGTATCAGTGCACAATGGGGCCAGATAAACACTCTCAATTTCTGTACATGTCTCACCTTTAAAGGAGGGAGAGGGAGCATGCTGACAAGTGGCAAGAAGTCCCAAGACCAGCACTGGTCTGGACCACATTTGAGTAGCACTGCTCTAGGTGATTACAGAAAAACAAGATAGAAGGGAAACAGATCCTCTGTATCTTTGCCCTTTGTCCCAATGACACTCTCTCTAGACCATTATATGAAAGAGGAATAAACTATTGAAACACTTTATTTTTGGTTACATATATACATATATATATACGTGTGTGTGTGTATATATACATATATTTATTTATTTATTTATTTTTGAGACAGTCTCACTCTTGTTGTCCATGCTGGAGTGCAGTGGCATGATCTTGGCTCATTGCAACCTCTGCCTCCCCCATTCAAGTGATTCTCCTACCTCCCAAGTAGCTGGGCTTATAGGCACATGCCACCACACCTGGCTAATTTTTGTATTTTTAGTAGAGACAGCCTTTGCCACATTGGCCAGGCTGGTCTCAAACTCCTGACCTCAGGTGATCCACCCACCTCAGCCTACCAAAGTGTTGGGATTACAGGTGTGAACCACCACACCCAACCGGTTACCTTTTTTTTTTTTTAAGAATTTTTGCTTACACCTTAATTAATACACTACAATAGGCCATTTTCAGAAATAGGTTCTTCCTTTGAGTATTCCAATACTTTCCTTTATTCTATAATTTTTTATGGACCCCACACTGATTTTATTTCATCTTTAATCATTCTTAAGCATGAAAAACTGTTTTTAAACAGAGTTTGTCCACAGAGAAAGTATGTGGGTTGGACTTATTCTATGGCATGTGATGGAAAAATCTCCTTTTCAGCTATAAAATTGGTGGAGGTGGGATGTACAGGGTGAGGTTGGGTCAGTGCACTTCATTCCAGCCCAATCTCCAAATTGTATCACAATTTCACTTAACACACCTCTTCTACATTCATCGCCTTGTTCTCTGATATTCTGAGCTCTGGGTATTTATTTAAAGCTCATTTCCTATTATCCACTGTTAAGTTCTTTATTTCAGCATCTGCCTCTTCCCACCATGGGCGCACAAGCGCGCGCGCACACACACACACACACACACACACACACACACACGCGCACATACCCATGCACAAAGGGCTTTATATTTTGCCAGGACCTGTGTGCTGGGAAGGAGTAGGAACCTATCAGAATTGTGCAGGAGGTGAGGCACACAGGAGGGAGATAAAGTTTAGAGATTGCTCGCACTAAATCAAACATCAGTGGGGGTCCTAGGTTTTTTTGTTCTGTAGTTTTCACAACGGGACTTGCTAACTGATTGGATATGAAAGAGGAGGGAGAGGGAGCATGCTAGGAGAAATCCGAAGTTTTTAGTTTGAATGACTGGGCAGATAGAAAGTATAGTATTTCGTTAAAGAGGGGCAGATGTGGCTGGAAAGAGGATGATTTTGGTTTCATACGAGCTACTGTTGCAATATCTCAGTAGAAATTTCTAGTAGAAGGATGTTTATACAGTCAAGAGGTATGGACTGAGTACATAGATTTAAAAACTATCAGTATGTGAGTAAGAACAGAAGCCATGGGCATGAGTGGAACTGCTTGAATAGAATGGAAGAGGAGGTAGCTCAGATGAATGCTAAGGAACTATTTAAAAGGTCAAGTGGGAAAGAAGGAACAAGAGAAACAGATAAAGACAAAGCTACAGAGGAATGAAAACATTAGAATGTAGTCATGGGAGCCAAAGAAAGAAAATGCCTCAAGAAAGAGAATATCCCACAGGGACAAATGCCACTTAGAGGTTAAGCCAAATAAGTTCTAAAAATCAGCTCTCTTGATTGTAGAATTAGGTTGACTACCCAACTCAATTTTCAATGTTATTGTGAGTTGTTTCTAAATCCTTTAATTTATATGTATTTTTGTGGGAAATCAAGAAATGCTGCAGTGAAGCTGTTCTCCAGCTGGCTTGCAAAACAGAAGTCTATACTACTACTGAGGTTTTTGTTGTTTTGTTTTGTTTTTAGTATTCTTGCAATCCTTCTTTATCGGTCAAGGACCATTTGGTTGCAAATAATAGTATCCCATTCAAATTAGGGTAAGACAAAAGTGGAATGTTTTTAAAATAATACAAGTGTAAATTCATAGAACCCAAAGTCAGGAAGTCTAGTGAGGCCTCATAAGAGACTGGAATGAGGAACTGGAAAGTTGTCAGGGACCAGGATAGCTACTTTCTTTCTGTGTCTCTTTCCAAATCCTGTGGTCTCTTGTCTCTGTTTTTCTTTCTTCATCTTCTAATCTACCGGTCTCTGCAATCCAGATCTCTATTTCTCCATGGACAGAAAATAAAACAGCCCCCAAGACATCTCTACCTACCTTCTCTCTTTCAGCCCTACCTAAGCCTGCATAGCATTCTTGTGTCCCAATATTCTAGAAGAAAGAATTGATTGACCAAGTTTGGATCATGTGTCCATTCTGGATCCTACTCATTGTGAGCAGAGCAAATCATGTGTCCTTTCCTTACTGGGGAATTGAGAGCTCACTCTGACAAAGAAGCACAGACAGGGAAATTAACTAAATTGGCTGCTGCATCTTCTTGATCCCATCAAGTTCATTTTTCTCCTCAACTTGCTGTCTTCACATTTCATCTTGTGTATTTTCATTCCAGAATGTCCTCTTCTCAAGATTCTCTGTACTTATCTTTAAAAAGTCTGTGTCTGCTTGTAACTTATTAACAATTCTTCTGGTACCCATTAAAAAACCATTTTGGAGATAATCATCTTCATGTTCTAAGCCTAAGACATTCATTCCTCTTTTCTGCTATAACTTTTCACAGATCTAGAGAATTTCTCTTTTTAGAGTGTATTTTCATCCCTCTTGCAGGTTTCCCTTTTATTCTTCAAAAAGGGGGTGTATCAGTTCATATTCACACTGCTGATAAAGACATACCCGAGACTGGGAAGAAAAAGAGATTTAATTGGAATTACAGTTCCACATGGCTGGGGAGGCCTCAGAATCATGGCAGAGGGGAAAAGGCACTTCTTACATTGCCGCAGCAAGAGAGAATGAGGAGGAAGCAAAACTGGAAACCCCCGATAAACCCATTAGATCTTGTGAGACTTACTCACTATCACGAGAATAGCACAAGAAAGACCAGCTCCCATGATTCAATTACCTCCCCCAGGTCCCTCCCACAACACGTGGGAATTCTGGGAGATATAATTCAAGTTGAGATTTGAATGAGGACACAGCCAAACCATATCGGGGGAGATATCTGTAATAAGTGTTTGCTGCTAATAGGATGTGTGACTTTGTCCCAACCTATGAAAAATACCCCCACTAAAATACTAGGATGAGGAAGGATGAGTTGATGTGAACAAGTTCTTGCCCAAATACCATCATGTTCCAGGCCCGCATCTGGTGCTGCTCTAATAGAGTGAGATAGTAATTTTCCCTCCCCTTTTATTCTCTAAACCAATCAAAGACAAAAAGCTATGGTTCCCAACATACATGAATGTCTGGATCTTTAAGATATTTTAGCTTTCTTTCTTTATTGTTATTTTTTTGACAGAGTCTTGCTTTGTTGTCCAGGCTAGAGTACAATGGCACAATCATGGCTCACTGCAGCCTCAACCTCTTGTTCTCAAGATTCTCCCACCTCAGCCTCCAGAGTAACTGGACCACAGGCACGTGCCACCATTCCCAGCTCATTTTTTATTTTTATTTTTTTGTAGAGATAGGGTCTCGTTTTATTGCCCAAGCTGGTCTCAAACTCCTGGATTCAAGCGATTCCCCTGCCTTGGCCTCCCAGAGTGCTGGGATTACAGGCATGAGCCACCACACCCAGCCAGATATTTTATCTTTAATCTGTCAGAGTTTCACACACAGTATGTGGCAAATGTTTAGTAGTAGTTTGAATCTTTTTTATCTAAACTGCGAATTTGATCATGTCATCTACCTGCCTATAATTCTTTAATGTGTCCTTGAATGCAGGAGAGAATTCAAGTTTCTTTGTCTGGAATTTCAAGCCCTTAATAAATTGGCCCCTACTTCTCCCAACCCCAGGAGAGAAGTACTAGCTATATCCTCACATGCATTCTAACCATCTGCTTGCGATTCAGCTATCTACAATGCACTCTCATGCTTCCACATCTGTATTGCCTATGTCATTCTCTCTGCCTCAGTCCTCTCTCCCCTTATCCCTCTTTCTGCAAGGTAAACTCTCACTGAGCCTACCAGCCTCAGCTCCATCATAAATAAAGTGTCTGGGGCAACCTTCTCTGACACTTGGACAGAGTTAGACTTTCAGTCCTCTCTGCTCCCACGGCACCTACACGTGTATATGCTTCTATTAATGCACCTGATGCACCTGGTTGGAATCATTTTTTTTTTACTTGTCTGTTTCCTAACTACACTGAATGCTCTTTGGAGACAGGAACCACGTATTTTTTATCTCTGTATGTCTAGTTTCTACCTGGAATCAGGTGATAATTCCTTAAATATTTAATAAATGAACCAATTAATGTTTCAGTATTAAAAGTGCAAATATAAGAACGAAAACACCCAGGTTTGTAATACAACCCACAGTCATTATTTTAATATAAATTCATTAAATAACCAACTGTTCACTATTGTATGTTCAATTCCTTTTCAAGAAGCATGAGTAGTTATAGAGCCTCTTAGTCCTTATTCATAATAACACATGTGCATCCATGAACACCAGTCATTTTTAATTATGTGCTCGGAAACAGGGAGGTAAATAAAATGTGTATTTATTGGCAAAGTTCTTCAGCTTTCTCTTTTGTCACATGAGCCAAGAGAAAAATGGATCATTGTGGTAGCTCATAAGGGAAATACTAATGAATACTCTCTCCTTTCATATGCTATTTTGAAGCTTACAAAGTACTCTCACATCCCATGTAATCCTTAAAACAGTCCTGTGAGTTAATTAGAATGAGTATTGTAAACCTATTTCACAGATATGGACACCTTAAGGATCAAAAGGTGAAATGATATGCCCAAAGATTATTCTGCCAAAATGTAAAAAAGTAGCCCCAAACTCAAATCTTCTACCTCCAGTGCTTAAGTACTCATTTCATTTAACCAGCTAGCAGAAAAACCCAAGTAATGTATACATTCAGCAGCTTAGTTCCAAGACTACAATATCAGTAACAATTTATTTTGGTTTATAATTTATATGCTATACAGAAGGTTTCACATCCTTTCATTTGCTTCATACAACAGCCTTGTAAAGTAGACTGGACAAATATTCTTATACCTATTTAGTAGATGAGAAGTCTGAGGTCCACTGAGACTAGGAGATTCTCTTCAGGTGAAACAAAGTTGGTCAGTGACAGACCTAATTCCTGATTCTTTGCTCTATCCATTCCCCCTAGTTAGCCAGAATCTGGAGATAATTAAAAGGTTCACCAAATCTTAGAGAGTTAGCTAATTCTGGAGGAAGCCAGAAAGATAAATAGAAGTAATTAGCTCATGTCTAGACAGCTCTAGAGTTGTCTCAATGGCAGTCATCCTGATGATGCCATCCCTTTTGTTCAGATTTCTTAAGGGAGGGTCTAAATGGATCTGTCATATCCCTGGTTGTGTTTTGTTCAGAGTAGCTTAATGTTGACTGGGAGGTGTGTTTCTAATTCAAATGGAAAATCATATACTATCAGTCTAGAGAAAATGTAAACTGTTCATCACTTAGGAAATGTATTTCGAGCTCTTTGAATTTGTACATTTCTCTCTAATGAACGTTAAGCCTGGGATTTATATATTCCTTTCCTTGCACCTGAGCACATGCACTTCCCCAGTATACATGTTCACGTCTGTGTTTGCACACGCACACAGATCATACACAAATATGCACATAGCATTGCATGATCACCCTTATACACGCACATACTTTAAACACACACACACACATCTTTTGATTATACTCCCCTTCTCCAATGGCAGGATATGTAGACATATAAGACATATGCATATCCATTTGGATAATGTCTCCCCTCCTGCCCCATGCTGCCTCACACTCCTTTAATTAAACATACACATACACACTTACACACAAAATGTCAAATTTCACAATGATTAAGAGTTATGTCAACTTTCGGGTCCTGAATGTGCCTGAAGAATTATTTGAGCTTCACATGAGGGGCTGAGACTGCCGAGGGAGGATTTTCAGATTCTGAAGTAAGGAGGAGAGGGAAGCACAGCAGGAATGCCAGATGGGAGACTTTTCTATTAATAAAGTCAACAGCTAGAAAGTCATTCCAGTTGAAGGCTCCTATCCACAAATGTCTCCCCCACTCAGATGTCATAATATTTCACAAAAACCTTCCCCAATGAGCTGAGCTTGGACACTCTCAGGTAATCCTTCACCCCAGATAAAGTCCTCATGGAGGAGTAGAAAGACCACTGGACACTGGAGACAGATACCTAAGCTTGACACCCAGTTCTCCCTCTGTCATAGCCTATTTTCTGTTGCTATAATGAAATACCTGAGACTGGGTAATGTATACAGAAAAAAAGTTAATTTTGCTCACAATGCTGAAGGCTGGGAAGTTCAAGATCAGGCAGCCCATCTGGTGAGAGCCTCAAGCTGCTCATAACAGAAAATGGAAGGAGAGTGGGTGTGTGCAAAAAGGGACCAAACAGGAGGCCAAGAAGCCTCACAAATGAGCACAAATGCTTTGCAAATATCACTAGTAAGCAGTTTCTGGGTAAAACCGTATTTCACTTTGGCAATTTGTGGGGGCAGGCTTTATAACAACCCACTCTCTTGGGAACTAATCCATTCCCAAGAGAAGAAGAGCTCACTCATCCCTGTGAGACAGCATTAATCTATTCATGAGGAATCCACCCCCATGACCCAAACACCTCCCACTAGGCCCCACCTCCCAAAACTGCTGCATTGGCAATTAAACTTCATCATGGGTTTTGGCAGAGACAAATCACTTCCGAACTAACAGCTTCTTAAACTTTCTGAGCCTCAGTTTCCTCACGTGTTAAAAATGAGATGATAATCTTCACCACTTAGTATCATAGTGAGAACTAAATGAAATGTGATGACATATATATATATATATATTTATATATATATATATATATAAAACCAATCACAGTTTCTGATACACAGCAAGCTCTCAATTAATGATAGGACTAATGTTATGTTATACTCTAAACATGAGATGTTACACAAAGCCAAATTGTCTAAGGCATACTTTTTATAAAATAGATATTTCAGTTGAATTCCTCATTACAACATTAACAACATTGGGAGAAAAAAACAAAATTTGGATTGTTGATAAAAAAACTAGTCAAGGATTTAGGAATCTTTTGTATGATGCTTTGATTTCTCAGTATCTAGAAGAAATGATTTCTGTTTTGTATGCTTTTACTTAACCATATACATTTTGAGGAAAAACAAAAACAAAAACTGATTTCCCAGAAAAGGTATGAGAATCAAGAATCTGGAGATCTGAGCTCTTTTCTAACCAGACAGTGCCCTAAAGTGAGACACAGGTGAAATGAGTATTGACAAGGCAAATTTCAGAGTGCCAACAACTAGCTAGTGTGACTATAAGTTCGGAATATTTGCCCTCAATAGTTTTTAAATTGCCCATAGAAAAATGAGAAAAAAAGTGTCTCAAAGATCAACTAATAACTTGAATAACCTCCACATCAGACTATCAAGCAGTGAGGTCTCTGTGATACAGTGAGAAATAAATTGGAGTCGAAGTCAGATGCTTGGGATACCTATTGAAGCTTCGGTTTCCTTATCCTTCGAATGAAGTTAATATTAGTATCCATCTAGTAGTCTTACTATAAAGATTAAATGAGCTCTGCATGTAAAGTGCTTACAGCAATGCTTAGAACACCTAGTAGTGGTATTTTTACCCACTTCATAGGTTTATTGTAAGGGTGACATAACTAACTGCAAATATTATTTTTAGTTTTTTGTAAAATATATTTAATATCAGCCAGATGTATTTTGAGGGTGGGAGGTTCCTAACTCAAATGTTCACTTTTGTTCCTAACTCAAGGGTTCACTAAAAGGGAATCTCTATAAAATTTTATATCTAATTTTACTTTTTACATCTAAAAAATTAGAATGTTGGACATGCTCTCCCTTCTTCTCTTCTCTCTATTCCTCTTACCTCCCCTCATAAGCACTCAGTTCTGCTCCACTTCACTAAAGAGAACCCCTCCCACCCCACCCCCACAAATTGTTAAAATGAAACAACTTTATACAGAAACTGCTTACCAGCAATATTTGCAAACATTTGTGCTCATTTGTCAGGCTTTCCGGCCAAATATGGCCATCCTACAAAGCTGTAATAAAACATGAAATACACATTTCCATAAAACAGTTAATAAAGCTATAAAAGTTAAATAGCTCATAATAAGCAACCATATAAAAACATGCAGCATCCTAGCTCTGGATCATTAACTTTCAACAAAGCTTGGAGGAAAATTCATTCCATCCTTCTAAACTGCCCAACTCACAGTGTGGAATTGAATCAAGGGTATTGTTCCCAGGACTCCACTTTGAAGCCAGAGAATTTCACAATAGCTTCAATGAATTGAATCTAACATGATCAGATTCCTCTTACCAAGGTAACAATTAATTTACAAGGAGACTTATTGAAGCTCTTGGAATCCCTGCATTCGATTTGAGAATAAAATGGGCATTTTTTGCTTATATCCCTAAGTGTGATATTAAGCAAGGCGTGGACATTTGGTTTTGCCTGCCCAGCATCCAATTTTCCTTCCCAGTGGTATCTTATTTCCGTTCAGGGAGATTCTGTTATAATGGATTGTTGGGAGTGTGTGGGTATCCTAAAAAATACAGCCTCATCTTCCACCAGTCAGTGACAGAGTGTGTGATCAACCTATGCCAATCAAACTTTGCTTCTAGGACTACCATGAATCTTGATCAGACTGATAGCAACAGGCATGAGGTGGGGAATCAACAGTTGGTAGTCACTGTTTTTCTCATTTCACAGTAGCAACCTCTTGGGGCAGTTCAATAATTCCTGCTGCCTTGCCCCCTTGACCTGTCCAGATTCCACTACCTATCAGTCTCCAACTTGCTAGCTTTCTCTTACAAATTGTAAGTACCCTATCTCCTTCTAGCAAATTCCTTTTCTGCTCAAGTTTTCTAGAGCTGTTTACTATTACTTGTCGTATAAGATCCTAAGTGCAGAGAGTACCAAGTAATAATTGTCATTGATTCTTTTTTATTTTCAAGAAAATAAACACACATGATACAGAAAAATACCACCAAAAGTAAGAATTACACAACGATAATTTGTCCACCTCACCATTCCTCCATCAAAAAAAAAATTATCACCTATCTTGGGTTTGTCTAATAAAAATTATGTCTGAAAGAAATTAAATCAAATGGTTGTCAAAATTTAGAAAGTATTCAACGAAAGGAAATTCATAAAACCTATATCAAAAATTTAACTGAGGAGGTATAGACTAGAAGTTTCTATTCCACAAAAAAATGATTTCGAATCTCTTAATAGCTGAGAACTTTTATAAATATTTGTAGCTGGGTTCAGTGAGTCACCTCTGTAATCCCAGCACTTTGGGAGGCCAAGGAGGGCGGATCACAAGGTCAAGCGATCAAGACCATCCTGGCTAACACAGTGAAACCCCGTCTCTACTAAAACAAAAAATACAAAAAATTAGCTGGGCGTGATGGTGTGCACCTATAGTCCCAGCTACTCAGGAGGCTGAGGCAGGAGGATGGCTTGAACCCTACAGCTGGAGGTTGCAGTGAGCCGAGATCGCACCACTGCACTCCAGCCTGGACGACAGAGTGAGACTCCATCTCAAAAAAAAAAAAAAAAAAAAATTGCCTAATGGCTTGAAAGGCACCAAGAAGAAACAAAATCCCTGTGAGTTGAGACCTTATAGATTACAGTTACAGTTGGTGGCCCCAAATTGTTTGAGGTTAAGAGGATTTATGATTTATAAAAGACTAGCATTGTTAGCCTTTGCATAAAACAGCTACATCTCACAGGCTCATTTTTACTGGGAACAGTTCACTGGAGCCAAAATGATATAAAAAATGAAATGCCAGCCTCTATACCTTGTTCAAATGCCTTTGCCTTTCAGGCCAAGTCATGTTAAGTGGAAAAAAAATCAGTTAGAAACTTGGGAAGTAAACTGGTATTTAATACAATTCCATCAGATCATTTTCTTTCTCCCTGAAGTCCTACTCACTGAAGAAATCTTAATTAAGAAGAAGGCAGAGATTTTGTCTAAATGCATATGTGATGTATTAAATATCTGACAGGCCGTTTGCATGCTGACTTCACATGTGGGCCGGGATGGAGCACCAGGCTGTAACTAGGCTCAAGGGCAGCTTGAAGCCATCACTGCTGAATAATGGCTGCTGTCTTTTTAAAACTCTCGGAGGTTCACATTGTAGGTTCCCTTCCAGTTTCCAGTGGTATGAGAGACACCGCCAGTATAAATCTTGTTGTCACAAAAGAACAAGTTATAGTATATATTCAACCACACACATACAAAAACTTTCAAATAACATTAACTTAAACCCACAAAACCAAGAAGAGTCAGAAGCAAAGCTGAAACTCTGTCCTTAAGTCACCCTCATTGTGTTTGGATCTTGAAGAATCTCAAACTCATCACAAGGTATCACCAGGGCTGTGTCTACACAATACTAAGACAATAAGTCAAATTGGCTTTAAAAAGGAAAAAAAAAAAAGAAAAGAAAAACAAGAGAAAAAATATCATAGTTCAAGTTGAGTTGACAAAATACAAACCAGTCTCCTTTTGTGATTTTTTTTCATCTTAATATGTGGACCTAGACACCCTATCCAATCCCCATAGAGTACCAAATGCTGAAAGAAATAGAAGGGAAGACTAAGCCTGGAGCAATTTGAAGATTTTCTTCCTAGCATCATGGGTTCTTCAGAAAGACTTTTATGAAAAATAAAAAGTGTTACTATTATCTGGCTCTGGTATGCATATTGTCTCTTGGTTCATTCAAGAGTCAAGTCTTGAATTTTTCCAGGGTCACTTGATCCGAGTAGTTAGGAGACCTGGCTGTTCTTGGAAATGATTCTGAAGAACTGTAGGCATTGTCAAATCTGAGGCAGGAATGCCGTTTGTGAACCTGTAAGTGTAGGTAGTTAAGGGCCTGTGTTTTACAACCAGACAGACCTGTGTTTCAAACCCAGTCCGGTAATCCCTTACCAGCTGTGTGACCTGGGGAAGGGAGCTCACCTCCCTGAATAGTGGATTTTGCACCTGTAAAATGAATCAAGGAACACCCACCTGGCAGGGCTGTCATGAGGATTAAGTGAGAGACTCATGAGGCTCTGAGCACTGTGCCTGGTGTGTGATAAACCTTCAGTAAATGGTCCCTATATCGGTGAGCATCAAGCATTTCCAAAGGGAAAAAATAAGACAAAAACTCTTTAAGATCAAGACAGGAGGAGGCTGAAAGTTTCTAGATGCAAAAAGAATTTGCTTTCCTGATACATAAAATAACTTTCACACAGGGAAGAGACTGCAAAAGTGAATCATTCATTCCACAAATATGCCAGCTATGCACCAGGCACTGGGGAATTTGAAGATCAACAAGATAGAAATGGTCCCTGCCCTTCCAGAAAATAACAGTCTAGAGGGGATGCAGACACAGAAACAGGCAATTACAGCAAGGAGTCTGGTCAGGGTCCCATCTCTCTTACACAGTGCCCTGGTGCCCCATCCCCACCACCCACCCCCAGAAACCACATCGGAGCCCCATCCTGTGCTCACATCCCACTTCCTGCCAATCCAAAGAGGAGACTTGAAATCATTGACCCTGACCTTCCCGGGTTACAAGTTCTAATAAGATGAGCACACCAGCTTCCAGCCAATGACTGAGCTTTAGAGCTCCACCTTCCTAGACTGCTGTTATGACCTGAATGTTATGAGCTAAATTGTGTCTTCCCAAAATTTATATGTTGAAGCCCTAACCCCTAATCCCTCCCAATGTAACTGTATTTTGGCCTTTAAATAAGTGATTAAAATAAAAATGAGGCCATTAGGATGGGATCTAATCTAATCTAACTGGTGTCCTTATAAGAAGAGAAAATTTGGACACACAAACAGAGATACCAGAGGTGCGCACACACACAGGGAAAAGGCTATGTGAAGACACAGGAAGAGGATGGTCATGTTTAAGAAAAGGAGTGAGGAACTATAAGGAATAAAAATACATTGCCAGGAAAAAAAGCATAGTATGTAGAATTATGAAGTTTTAGAGCTGGAAGGAACCTTTATTTTTATTTTTATTTTTTGAGATGGAGTCTCACTCTGTCACCAGGCTGGAGTGCAGTGGTGCAATCTCAGCTCACTGCAACCTCCACCTCCCGGGTTCAAGGGATTCTCCTGCCTCAGCCTCCAGAGTAGCTGGGACTACAGGCATGTACCAACAAGCCCAGCTAATTTTTGTAGTTTTAGTAGAGATGGGGTTTTACCATGTTGTCCAGGATGGTCTCGATCTCGTGACCTTGTGATCCACCCCCACTCAGCCTCCCAAAGTGCTGGGATTACAGGCGTGAGCCACCACGCCTGGCCAGGAAACCTTACAGGAAACGTTTTTATTCCTTTCATTTAACAGATGTGTATACTGGTACCTAGAGAATTTAGGTGATTTGTCCAAGATCACAGACATGACTAGAACTAGAACTGAAACTAGAAGCCAGATTCCCTAACTCCAAGTCTATTAAACATCACACATTGCTCTACCTTTTCTCCAATTATTTTGATACAATAATTAACTTACATAAAAATACCTCATATCCGAACTTCCGGTTGAATTGCTGTTTATATAAGAATGTATTATAACTATTTGAAAAGCATTTCTGTAGCAGGCAAAATGTAAAAAGATGTAGAAACGTGGCCATGTACATGCCCAGCGTTTCTCTTTTTATCATTTCTTCATTCATCCTTTGGCCTCGTGCTATGTGTTCAATGCTGTGCTTGATGCAGAAGAAAACAAGTAGAAGATACAGTCCCAACTTATAAGGAGTTCTGTGCACACACTAGTTGGGAAGACATTTCTGTAAGTAACTGTTCAGTTGGTTACTTAGCAAATATATGACGAGCCCCTGCTCTGTACTAGATAACTCTGTTAGGTTCCAGAAACGTAGTGGTGAGTTTGGGTAAGGTTAGGCTGCTGTAACAAAGGAACCAAAATAATCCAGTGGTTTAAAGACTGAAGTAAATGACTTCTTCATGTAATAATTTGAGGTAAGTGTTCAGGTTGGTGGGTAGCTCTACCTCACTTGGTCCCGTGGGCCTACATCCCTCACCCTCTGCCATCTCCTGCAGCTTTGTCATCCAGCCTCTATATGGGGGGCACTGAGTCATAGTTGGCTCCAGCTGTCAACAATAGAAAGGAGAAATAGAAGTGGCACCCAGCATTTGTGCCACATTTGATACGCCAAAATTTAATCACATGGCCACACATAGCTGCAAGGGAGGCTAAGAAGTAGAGGTAGCTAGGCAGCATGCGTCTAGCATAATTCTGTCACCTTGTGTCTCCCCACAAAGAGGAGAATGGGCTTGCAGAGATGGCTAGTTGTCTTGGCCCCAGCATGCAAAGCCTTCACAGTATCTCTGTATGCATCCACAATCTATCTAGGGAGACAAAATAATAAAATCCTTACAAATTACAGTAAATGTCATAAAGGAAAGGTACATGATCCTTAAGAACATAGAATGGGAGGACTGACCGGGTCAAGGCCGGAACATCCAGTCAGCAGGAAGAGCCCATGAAAAGGCCTGGATGCAGATGATGGGGGAGCTGGTTAGAAGCTCAGATCCTGGAGCCAGACTTCCTCTAGAAGACTGAAGAAGGTTTGAGTCTTAGCTCTAGAACTTACTGACTGTGAGACCTTGGAGGAGTCATTTAACCTCTTTATGTCTTAGTCCCTTGTTTGTGGAATAATAAACATTATTATTATATAATATAGCAATAACTATAATTATTATATCAGTACCTTTGTTATGAGGACTAATTGTAAATGCTATACTATAGGCACATACTAAATATAGCTAACACTACCTAGGGATATGGGGAACATCCATCTCAGGTCAGAATTTTAACAAGTAGTAATCTAGGTGAAGAGCTGTCTGGTAGTGGTTATTTAGGATTTTCTAGGCAAAGACACAGGCTTTTATTATTGCAAGTAATTCAAGAGTTTCTATCTCTTAGTCTGTGAAAAAACCCAGGCTTGACCAAATATGCTCATTCCATGGAACGAGGGGAAATGTCTAACTAGTCCATCTTTGTGCTGCTGCCACCAGAGTAGGAATAAATCATGTTATTTGTACATTATACATTGGTACAGGAATTCTCAAGGGGTGGCAACAAAGAACTTCAATGTATATAGTCAGGTGGACATTCCCTTTTTTTTTTTTTTTTTTGTCGACTCAAAGGAAAAACTTCCCCTTCACTGAGGGTTTGCTGAAAATCAACTGATCAAAGGCAGATTAATAGGGGGAAAAGCATACAGGTTTATTAAATCATAGTTTTATATGACGTGGGGAACTTCAGCATGAAGACCTAAGGATATAGGGGGAACTATCCATTTTATGTGTAGGTTAAGGAAGTATGGACAGCTGTGTAGAAAGAGGATGGAACAGAAAGGCTATGACCTAATGCTACTAGACTAAGTGGCGAAAACCAGCAAGGACTGTCTGTCTAGATTCTTCTTGGCCTCTCTGAGCAGCGTTCCTTCCTTCTGGGTGTGGGGCAGGACCTTCTCTGGAATGAGGATCTTATGACCTGCAATCAAGCAGGTCAGATAATTTATTTAAGTCTAGTTTTTACACAGAAAGGAGGGAAGGGGTTAGAGTACTATTTTCAGGTTTTATGGCCGGCTTTGGTGAAAAGGGGGTCTGTTTTCTTTTTTTTTATTATTATACTTTAAGTTCTAGGGTACATGTGCACAACGTGCAGGTTTGTTACATATGTATACATGTGCCATGTTGGTGTGCTGTACCCATTAACTTGTCGTTTACATTAGGTATATCTCCTAATGCTGTCCCTCCCCCCTCTCCCCACCCCACAACAGGCCCCGGTGTGTGATGTTCCCCTTCCTGTGTCCAAGTGTTCTCCAAAAGCAATGGCAACAAAAGCCAAAACTGACAAATGGGTTCTGTTTTCTACAACCCACTTTGGGGAAGAAGGATTCTAATGTCTACAGCAAGCCTCAGGGTAGACTGAGGGGCAGGAGGGCAGGAGAAAGTGACAGAGAAACGTTTGCTTCTGAGGCTGCTGCTGAGGCCTTCATTTTGAGGTGTTATATTTTGAGCCCCAACAGTCTGTGCATATTCCTTTGTGTTTTCAAAATCAGTGAATTTCAAATCTAAGTTCCCCTTACACTGCGCAGTTCATGTGTTCTACAATGGTCATTTGGGGCCTCCTCTCATGCCTGGCATTAGATAGATCCGGGGTCTTCTGTAGGACCCTGAAACAGGGAGTCCCCCTTATCCACCAAGCACTGTAGAGATGCATTAGTTCTGTTTTCTCTTCTGGTGGTCCCTTCAGATCGTGGGACTGCAAAGTGACTCTGGGGAGCCCAGTGTTTATTTGTGGCCTCTGCCACTGTCCCCTCTGAGATCAGCCACCTCCTTGGAGCACTGCCAGGGAGTGACGATGTAGGAACCTTGTCCACTGCTCCCAGAAACCACAAACCTCTGCCCCCTTCCTACTGTCTGAGATTTCTTTTTTTAGCTTGGGAGAATCTTCCTCCCACTGTTTACCTTTTCCTCAGGGCTATCCTCTCTCTCCTCAAACTCTCTAGACTAGAGCACCTAGAAAATACCCTCAGTGGCATGGAATTTTGAAAACAAAAGCCAGGAAAGACAATTGTTTATATCCTTCATTCCTTGCCACATACCTGCCTGAGACCAAGGAAGCAGGCTCCTGCTGCCTGCTAAGTTGGGGAACTGCAGAGGAGGAAACCCAGGAAGAAGGAATGAAATGGGAAATAATTATCTTGCTACAACAATGGCACCTGTGTTTCTGTCCACCTAGGGAGCCATTTTTATCAGAAACTTCCAAATTTGCCTCTTTCAGAGGTCTCTCCTTCCCTTTCTGCCCCAAAGTGCAGGACTCCAGCAACAGCAAGTCGGATACCCTGAGAAGAGGCCCCCAGACATTGTGTGTGCATGTTTGCTTGTTTTAGTGTGCTTGCATTTGTTTCGATTAACAGTTGCACTAGTTATCAATGATTAAATGTCTGCAGTTTTTTCACATAAAATCAGGATATCTTGGCTTTTTTTTTTGGACTCTTCCAAAGTACCGAAGCTGCATTCCCAAATGGCGACAGTGGAGCGCTGACTAGTGAACCTTGTCCTCCTTCAGATGGAGTGCGCGTCACCTGGTTTCCTACAGAACCCAGCACCCCTAACTCCCTAAAATCCAGGTCTGGTGCCAGATGCCAAGTATCATTTAATTGGGATACTGTTTTCTAACCCTACAGATCAGAGGAAAATAACTATTTTATGGACCCATGTTTAATGTAGAGAAGTTAAAGGCAGACCAAGAGCAAAGAGGGCATTTTTGCTTTAGGAAAAGTGGGAGTGAGGGCATTTCCTTGTGGAAGTGAAAATATTTGCACATGTTTAGTATGCGTGCGAAGTGTGTCTGGGTCTGAGAATACAACTTCAGAGTAGAGTTGCCAGATGAAATACGGGATACAGTTGAATTTGAATTTCAAATAAACAATGGATTTTTTTTAGTGGGAGTATGTCCCAAATATTGCACAGGCAATATACTTTTAGTTTAAAAAATCATTGTTTCTCCAAAATTTAAATTTAACTGGAAATTTTGTACTTTTTTCCCCTCCTAAATCTAGCCATCTTACCGGAGAGGCTGTTGGAAATCAAATCTGTCTCCTTGCTCATTTTCTTTACCTGCCATGCCTATTTCCTGCTATGGTGGTGCAGGGAAGGTAGAAGCACAGGCTCTAGAGAATTCAGAATTGCAACCTTTAAATGTAGATAGCAAAGGCTGCATTTCGAATCTAAATATGGACCTTGAGCAAGTACAGACAAAGAGAATGAAGCTTCTTTTTAATAAGGATCTTAGTACCCAGAGAGAAGACTTTTGTGTGAAAATATCAGAGATTTGGCCAGGTGCAGTGGCTCATGCCTGTAATCCCAGCACTTTGGGAGGCCGAGGTGGGCAGATCACCTGGGGTCAGGAGTTCAAGACCAGCCTGGCCAACACAGTGAAACCCCGTCTCTACAAAAATTAGCCAGGCATGATGGCGCATACCTGTAATCCCAGCTACTCGGGAGGCTGAGGCAGGAGAATCACTTGAACCCGGGAGATGGAGGTTGCAGTGAGCCAAAATCATGCCATTGCACTCCAGCCTGGGCAACAGAGAGAGACTCTGTCAAAAAAAAAAAAAAAAAAAATTCAGAGGTTTTAAGAACATAAGATCCCAGTGGATAGTTTTTTGTTTTTTTTTTTAAATCGAAAACAGATCTGAACAAAGATAATTCCCTAACCACAACTCGTCAAGGGGTTTTAGCAAATGCTTAGTGAGAAGCAATTAGACATTACTATGTGCCATATAGTTTCCCAGGTCACATATGATTGTGTTTGTGTGATCATTAAACTAGTTGTGATCTTCATTCCACTCATTCTCAATTAAATCTTTGTTAAAGAATTGGAACCATTCACAGGAAGTGTTTTAGATAGATTCCTGGGCTGCGTGTGTCTGGGTTCTACCTGAATACCACAGTCATGACTTGGGTTCTCAGAGCAGTTAATATTTTGAAACCCACAGGTTTGGGATATTTGGAAACAGATGGCTGATTAAGAACCTGATTCCAGGCAGGGCGCGGTGGCTCACGCCTGTAATCCCAGCACTTTGGGAGGCCGAGGCGGGTGGATCATGAGGTCAGGAGATCGAGACCATCCTGGCTAACAAGGTGAAACCCCGTCTCTACTAAAAATACAAAAAAAAATTAGCCAGGCACGGTGGCGGGCGCCTGTAGTCCCAGCTACTCGGGAGGCTGAGGCAGGAGAATGGCGTGAACCCGGGAAGCGGAGCTTGCAGTGAGCCGAGACTGCGCCACTGCAGTCTGCAGTCCGGCCTGGGCGACAGAGCGAGACTCCGTCTCAAAAAAAAAAAAAAAAAAAAAAGAACCTGATTCCTGTCTTACAGTATGAAATGGTGTATTAGTCAGGGTTCTCTAGAGGGACAGAACTAATAGGATGGACGTATATATGAAAGTGAGTTTATTAAGGAGTACTGACTCACATGATCACAAGGTGAAGTGCCACAATAGGCTATCTGCAAGCTGAAGAGCAAGGAAGCCAGTCCGAGTCCCAAAACCTCAAAAGTAGGGAAGCTGACAGTGCAGCCTTTGGTCTGTGGTCAAAAGTCCAAGAATAAAAAAGCTAAAGAACTTGGGAGTCCAACGTTTGAGAACAGGAAGCCTCCAGCACGGGAGAAAGATGGAGGCCAGAAGACTCAGCCAGTCTAGTTTTTCCACGTTCCTCTGCCTGCTTTTATCCTAGCCGGGCTGGCAGCTGATTAGATGGTGCCTACCTGGACTGAGGGTGGGTCTGCCTCTCCCAGTCCACTGACTCAAATGTTAATCTCCTTTGATGACATCTTCAAAGACACACCCAGGAATAATACTTTGCATCCTTCATTCCAATCAAGTTGACATTCAATATTAACCACCACAAATGGGAACTTGAAAATATAAATGGGCACCCCTGCTATCCAGTGACCCGCTGATGAGTGGCAGAAAAGGACATGTGAATGGATTGTTATAATACAGTGTGGTAAATCTGTGATAGAGGTGGGTGCTGGATCCTACAGGGGTGAGAATTCTGTCCAGGTTTGACATGTTCTTGGAAGGTTTCCTTAAATAGGTAACACCTGAGCTGAGTCTTAAAGCATAAATAGAAGGTGAGTGAGAAAAGGGCAAAGGTGCACTCTAGACAAGGAGGTCATTACACACAAATCAGAGGCCAAGAGAGCTACAGTGCCACCTAGAAGTACAGTCATCACTTGGCATATGCCAGGGATAGGTTCCAGGGCCCTGCCTCACCCCTCCCATCTACTCAAATCTGCACATACTTAAATTCCACAGTTGGCCCTGCAGAACCAGCATATATGAAAAGTCAGCCCTCCGTAATACATGGGTTTCACATCCTGCAAATACAATTTGAGTTTGGTTGAAAAAAAATCCGTGTATAAGTGGACCCACACGTGTGTTGTACAAGGATCAGGTGTAATGAATGGCCAAGTGCCAGGCAGGGAGAGATGAGAGATGAGGCTGGAGAAACAGGTAAGAGCAGGTTGCCAGGGCTTTGTGTGTCATGCTAAGAAACTCAGATTTTCTTTCATGATCACTAGCAAGCCCCCAAAGCATTTTAAGCAGGAGTGACTGGCCCTACTTGAATTTGAAGTCAACAATAAGGAGAGAGCAAACAGAGCAGCTACAGGGAGACCACTTATACGAGTATTACAGGATCAAGGTGAGGGTTGACCAAGACATCAGCTACATCAGTGTGAGAGAAAGGGAAGAAATTAGTGAATTTAATACATAATTAGGAGAAAAATCAATAGGATGTAGCAATTGATTAAATGGGGGAATATGAGGAGCCTTGGATGAGATCAAGTAGCCAAAGATGACTTCCAGCTTGGGTGATTGGGCGATGCCAACTAAAATAGAGAATACCAGAAAGGGAAGAAGATGAATTAAATGCCTGTGGAATATCCAGATGGAGATAATACAGGAGGCAGGGCTGTTTGTAAGACCTTCAAAGGCCCAGCACTTATTTCTGGAAGCCCCATCCCACATCATAGCAAATATACTGAAATTTATCCACGTCCCATTAAATATAACTTTTGCAATAAAAATTTGAGAGGATTTTTACAGTTTTGATTTTTGAAATTTTTTACAATTCATTTAACTTTTGATTGGTTATGGTTTTTCCAATTGTGTGGAGATTGAACTTTTTAAAATAACAAATATATTTTTGTCATGAAATTGACATAATATTGTGTTTTAAATAGGCATTAAGTTTGCCTTCACCAGGTGTTTTTGATTTTGGAGTCCATTGTTCTTTGATTTAGGTCTCACAGGTATTGGCAGGCCCTTGTAAAGCTCAAGGATATGGGCAGCTAGCCCATTGTGACTAACACAAAATGGCCTTGTGAATAGACAGTTGAATAGATGCTCAGGAAAAGTAGATTTTTACAAAGCAATAATAGATCAGTTCTGGGTAAGACCATAAGAGTGAATTTAAACACCCCAAGAAAATAAAAATTGAGAAAAGAACTAAAGAATAGAGAAGGGAAGAGCTCCAACATATGACAAAGTTGGAGAAAGGAGGATTTTTCAAAGGAGAAGATAAGAATGCAGAGAAAAGCAGGAAGAAAATGAGGTCAGAGAACCGAGACAGCTAAGTATATAAAAAAGATTATGATTGATCATCAACGTGCTGTCAAATGAAGAGGAGTGGTCCATCTAATAAAAACAAGACTGAAAGTCCCCAGAAGATTGGGCTGGTTATCTCAGCTAGTGAAGAGCCACAGCTGATCTTACAGAGAGCATCTCTAGGGACAGGGAGTCGTAAACCTGAGAGTTGAGGGAGCTGAGGAATGAAAGGGAGATGAGAAAGTTGAAGTAATGACTGTAAATATTTGTATGAGATGGAACGAGGAAAAATAGAAAAATTGCTAGAGTAAGACCTGGCCCAAATGAGACAGTTAGTGTTTGTTCAGAATAGGAAAGGTTGGCGCACTCTTCCAAGCCAAGGAGAAATGGCCAAGACAGATAAAGATATGGAAGTTAATAAAGAAAGGATGGTTGGTGGAAGATGGCCTGGCAACACAGAAGAGAGTAGAGCCCGATCCGAGGGCCAGGGTGTTCCTTGAATGGGTAAGAGGATATCTTGTCTCCTGGGACTGCAGCACACAGACATACTAATTGTTTGGACTTCAGCATATGCTCATTTATTACCATTATTTCTCCATCTGAACATGTCCTGTCTTTCAACAGGACTGTAAATCCCAGAAAAGATTTATCTTTTAACCCAGCCTTTTGCTCCATATATGAGGAGCCCTTGTTTTGGGTTAAGACACCTTAGAGATCATGTAGAAAATTCTCTCTTTAAAAAAGAAAAAGAGATTTCAAAGACATATGTTCATGTTTTTCATAATAGCAAAAGAGATTCTCCTGATTCCAGGGGCAAGAATTTCTCTTTCTGGCAAGTCACATAATTAGAAGAGGAAGAGGAAGAGGAGGAGGAAGTAGTTGGTCTAAAACTGAAAGGAAATTGAATTCCCCTTCCTAGTCAGTTATCAAACATCTCTGAGGTTATCCAAACCCTGCTTGGCCTTATTGATAGCATTTATTCATTCAGCAAATATGTGTGGAGCCCCCTCCTTGTGCCAAGCCCTGCGAGTCTAGGCTCCTATGTGGATTGACAAATTCTGAATGACCATTAGTCAATATATAAAGCAATTATCTTTATTTGCCCTCAGATGCCTCCTTCCAACTCCAAAGGGTGCTCAACTGCTCAGCAGTTCTAGAACTTAATGAGAAACTCTCTGCTAACCCTGTCCCAAGTTTTTCTCCCCACCGCAGAGCAGATACAACCCGCTTTGAAGACTCGGGTTGGCTCTGGGTTAGAAGTGGGTTTGGATTGGTTGTGTGGCATGAGCTGCAGAAGATGAGGAATGAGCATACTGACGTGAACCCATATTAGTCAGGAAAATTCTAAGAAACTGTTCCCAAAGTGAGGCGGTAAGAGGATTTTTTCTCCTCTATTAGACTTATATAACTTGTAAAATAACAGGCTGCCATTTTAGAATAGTTGGTGTTGGCATGATGTTATCGTGAAAATTACATGAAACTATTCTTTTTAGAAAATATTACTTCAGGTTTTAGGTTAAAACTTGATGCCAAACACAGATGAGTAGTTGGTTTACACAATTATCGCCTTTTTCTTAGAAGTAAGAGCAAAACCTCAAAACATGCCACAGCAGAAAAGCTATTTCTGTCACTGGCTAACAATTGAAGGACATCCATAAACCTTTGGAAATTAATATCCCCAGGAAAATCTATTTGACGAAAGTCACAAGGAAGTTATTAACTAGAGTTAAGTCACTGACAAGAGATATTATTAATGATCTCATCAAAATTTTAAGTGCATTTAACTATCACATTGCAAGCCTTATTATTGACGACTCAGAGAATATTAAATTATTCTACAGTAGTTACTTGGCTAGAGATCAAATGAAAAAAGATGAAAAGCTTAAGTTCTAGGTAATTCCATAATTCTTTAGGCTTCACACAATTAAAAAGTTAGAATCATTAGCCTTTCTGTCTCCCCGACCCCCAAATCTACTGATTGTTAATGCAGTGGGTTTCTTTTAATTGTTCATTGTTCCCTGTTTCTCTTCCAAATGCTGACGCAGGAAGGATGAAAGTCAAAAAATCTTCCAAGCTTTGGTTTTCCAAAAGCAGTTCAGGAAGTTCAATTTATTTTCAGATTGGAAGAGATACTTTCAAGTACACTAGGTCTTTAATTGCAACTCCTCAAGGACTTTCCACAAGAAAAAGAGGCATTCTCCTTCCCGCTCAATTTTCTCTCTTTCTCTGAGATCTTGACCCAACTTTCAGGTTGATATCAGGTTAAAATCTAGGCCTTGTCTTTGTTAATAACCCCAATAAGTGCTGCAGCTGGGCCAAGCACCAAGGATGGGTAATAATAAATTGTGTGTGTGTGTGTGTGTGTGTGTGTGTGTGTGTGTGTGTGTAAAACCTTTTCAGGAATATATATTTTATAATCTTCTTTTCTAAATTGTACATTTCTGAAGATAGGTAAGAAAATATTCTCTTCACTTCAGAGCCCCTAGTTTGACATTTACTGAGTTCCTTTCATGCATGCAGCACCATGCCAGGAGTTGGAGAGACAAAGGTCCATGTGAGATGGTCCTAGTTTTCAAGAAGATGCAGAAATAAAAACAAGCCATTCAATACTCCGCAAGATGAGTGATGCAAACAGTGTACTGGAAAGTCTAAGATGCAGAGAAGAGTGGAGTACCTAACCCATCACAGATGGAATTAAGAGAAGTGCAAGGAAAGCATCCTGAGGGGGTGATGCCAGCAGTGAACCTTGAAGAAGGAGTAGGGACTAGGCAGGAAGGAAACTTGCATTTTTCAATGTCTACAATGCGCAGGTGCTTCACACATGGTTTCCCATGAAATCTTTTAACACCCTGGGGAATAAGTATTATGAGCCTCTTTTTGCAGATGAGGAAACTGAGGCTTAAAGAGAGTAAATAACTTCAGTAAACTTGCACATGACGGAAGTGAGATTCCAAGTTTTTGCCCATAACCACTGTAGTCTATCATATCTGCTGTATCCCCCTGAATCTTGTATCCTGGGTCTGCCATTCTGATTTCTGTAGAACTTTTATAGACAATCCCCTTTGCACACAGAGACCTGGCAAACCACATGCTATAGTTTGTCTCAGCCAGTGTTCAGGATTGCTGCGGGTGGCCACAGGGCATCAAGTATTCTTGCAGACAGAACCTTTCCTGCAGGCTCAGCACCCTTCTCTTCCATAATGTGAAGCATTCAATGCACAGACCACAACTTTTGGCACTTTAATAACCATGCCTCCCTTGCTAATTGGCTCATTCATAATGAGATGGAGAATTTATTTTTCCCCTCTTAACAGCTTGTGTCAGAGGATTCTTTTCAGAAGAAGGATCATCCTTGATAAGAAAATGTCTTGAGAAGCCATCTTAGGATAGCCGAGTCCCCATGGAGCATAAATGTAAACTGGTGTCAAAGCTTCAAAGAAGGGAACTTAGTAAATTCATGTAAGACAAAGAGAGTTTAGTTGCTCCTGAGACAATGGAAGGAGAAAGGGAGAAGAAACTTAGAGAAAGTGTAGATAAGAGAAACCTATGGTGTGATGTGACTTTTCTGTGACTTTCAACTTCCCTGAAAAGACTCTTGTCACACTAAATGCTTGGTAAGACTAAATGCTCAGGACTTTTCGTGAAACCTGGTGAAGGAGAAGTTTCTATATGCAGAAGGGGTCCTGAAAAATAAGCCAAAGAGAAAGTCTAGAGGCAGAATGTGTTTGATCTACAGAGGTACTGATTTGATCCATCAAAATGTTGTATTGCTATTGTCATTGTCATTGTTTTTAATCTGAATACATTGACAACATTGTAAAATTCAGCTTATCTCACTTTTTAAAATCCAGAAATTTTTTCTTGAAATAGAGTAAAGTATCTGGGAAATCTGGGACCACAGTCCACAAGGAAATAATTGGCAGGAGATGGATAAGACTGCCATGTTACATGAAGCACACAGTGTCCAACTTGCCAGTCCCCACCACCCCATATTACCCTATGTAAGTGAGTGAACTTACCTAGTTTCCCTCATTTACATTATCTATCTGGCTGCAATAGGCTTCTAAGTTTGTTACCCCTACCATAAGGCTGAGAAACAATCATAGATCTGTTGGTGGTGGGAACTGGGGTTGCAAGCAATTTCTTCTTCTTGAAGACAAGGGGCAGAGAGACCCCAGCTAACATCTGGGTTGTGAAATTATGCTTTCTCTAGCTAGCAAAGGAGGCCAAAAATGATCAGTCATTAATGATTAAGTAAGGACTTTAAATGTAGTGTATCTTCTCATTCTCACAAAACACCTGATCAGTGAATATCACAATTACTTATATTTTACAAATAAACTAAGAATCAAAAAGGTTAACCTGGCCAAGATCCAGTCTTCTTTAGATGAGAAATGAGGTGTGAAACTGGGACTTCAAGGACTCCATTCTTTCTCTGTGTCTCAACCCTTTCCTAGACTGTGAGATCCACTGCATCTTCTTTTGTATTCTCCCACATTATCCCAGCTAATCACCCAATGAGTAGACAGTTGGTGACCTTTATTGAGGCAGCTGGTGGCAAATTGTACAGAATCCTTTGGCCATGATTGATTGAGTCTTTTTGGCTCTAAGTTAAGTGGCATGGGAGAGTTGGCAAATGCTGGTCCCCTCTCCAGGAGCTCTGTCCTTTTAGTCTTTGGCACATGCCTCCATGTCTATGTTTTCTATAACATGCCCCAGATGTGGAATAATGGTGCGGCAAAGCGGGAGTGTACAGCTTGGGATGAACTCGGGGAAGGGTGGCCAGGAGGACTGGCCTTTGAAAGTCACATGGATTTGAGAACAATGACTGGTGAACAATGGTTGGGCAAAATGAAAGAAAATTAAAAAGAGAGCAGAGAGAAAGGAAAAAAAAAAACTACTGGATTAAAAGCAGGGACAGCATAAAGAAAAAAGAGAAGCAGAAAAGAAGAAAGAGGAGGAGAAAGAAAGAGATGACTGTACAGGTGACTAAGGGAGAAAATTACCCCCTGCAAATAACACAAAAAATTCCACTAAAGAGACAAGAAACAGCTTGGAAGAGAGAGAGAGGACGAGCTATTCCTTTGCTCTCAGGTCCTCTCTTCCTACATCCTATATCTGCACATTGTGGCATCATGCAAATCCTTTTCTTACCTCATCTACCATACACAACCTCCAAAGGCATTACGTTTCCCCTTTCCAGCCTAGGCCTGGATAAATACCTCCTTAGCCCCTTTGGCATAAGCAACAAGCTTGAATTTTTTTAAAGGACTTTACTAAGAACCAAGGAAAAACAGAAGAAAATATACAAAAGTGTAGCAAATGGCTAAACATATCACTATAGCTTTCTAAGAATAAAATACCAAAATATGATGTGCAAGTTGCCTGATCCAACCCTAATTCTATCGTTCATTCATTCAGTCAATAATTACTGACTGCCTATTAAGTGCCAAGCACTGTTTCAGGTGCTGAATATCAATCAACCAGCAAGACAGGAACAGTTCCTGGACTGCCCAGACCCTTCTCTCCTGTTATCTTTCACCAAGCAACCTGCATGGCCAACCCTCTGCATCTTCTTCTACATGTATGTGTTTATACTCTTTCACTTGTGTATGACTGAAACCCGATTCAAACTATCTTAAGCAAAATTGGGAATTTATTGGCTCATATAATTAATATGTGGCTTCAGGCATGGCTAGATCCAGCCTTCCGGATTTTCTTCAGGAACATTCTCTTTCTCCCTCTGAGTTCTGGGTGCCTCTTCTTTAGCTTCATTTTCAGACAGATATTTTCCATATGGTGGCAAAATGGTTACAAGCAGCCCTAGGCCTACCACATGTCCTTACCGTGCCTGTAACTCAGAAAGCATCTTTACTAATAAAGCCAATAGAAGTCCATGGGAGACCTCTGATTGGTCTGGCTTAGGTCATACAATTATCCCTGAATAAATTATGGGATCAATTTCAGTCCCATATGTAACTTAAACATACAGTGGTGGTCACAAACATGAACCCACAAAAAAAAAAAAATTTGCAGTAGGTATCCTCACTCCTTTCTCTGATTAACTAAGGATCAGAAGTTTTTGAGCATCTTATTTGGAAATCAAAGGAGAGAGGGAGTATTCTTAAACAAGACTAGGTTTAAGGACCCACTTAATGAAGAACCAGCTCACTGATCCACCTCCAATACTTCCTCAAGGAATTTTTCAAGGTCTCAGCTGACACTGATGTGACTTCTTCATCTTTGCATCTCCTAGAGGGCCCAGCACAGCAATTTGCCTACAGCAGGCACTTTGAAATGCCAGCTAAATTGTCCTTGTAAATGCAGTAGAAGGAGAAAAAGATTAAGAAGAAGTAGGAAAAGGAAAAAACAAAAGGAAAGGAGGAATAAAGGGAGTACAACATGGTGTTTCAGAGCCCATATTCCAAAGTTTCTGATGTTCAAATCCCACACTACTATCTTGCTATCATGGACAAGCAGTAGACACTCTGAACCTCTGTTTTTTTATCCTACAATGAGTGTAACGATACTTTCCTTGCAGGAATCTTGTAAAAATTACATGCAAGGATGGTAGTGAAGCTCTTTAGCCCAGCTCCTGGTAGGTGACACTCATCTAATGATAATTTCTAACATACCTTTCTTTTATCCCCAGTGATACTGCTTGGGGTAGGGGGATAGAGAGGGGCCAAGTGAGGCCCTTCCCATAGGCCATGAACAGCATTCTGGAGAAGTTCAAAATGCGTTCCGAAAAAAAAAAAAAAAAAAAAAAAAGCCTACAACCAAAAAACTCAGACCATTTCTAGAACCCAATCCAAACCAAACCTTCTTGAAGGTCATACGTGTTCTGAGGTTTCATTCCACTATTTTTCACTTATACAGTCCTCAGCCCTGCCAGGGCTGAGCTAGAATTTGAGCTCACCATAGCCAAATACCACAAGGGGAAAAAAATGCCCAAGCCCTTTGCCCTGAATATATTTCCAGCCCAACAGAGAACTGAAAGCCCTGGAAAGCTCTAGGCAGCCAGTGACCCCAGCAGCCACCTTTTCAGAGTAGCTTCAGGGCATTGGTTTGTGGGCCTCAGGTGCTGACCACAGCCTTCAGCCTCCTCTGTTACCTCGATGGCCACATATGCAGAGAGGGCTCACAGCAGCCCTTGGGCTTTGCTGAGCCAACCACAGCTCTGATGAGAAAGGAAGGCTGCCAGAGTGGGATAAGTTGACTTGTTTTTCCAGAAAGTATCTTCCCTCCAGCAGGGCCAATGTGGAATATAGTCACAGAGCTGATACATGCGCACTTTCTTTACAGAAAAGAAAGTACTTCAGTTCTTATCCAGTACACTACATGCTCAGTAGTTTGCTTCTTGCCAAAGTAACAGTATGAAGGAGAAAACATCATGGGATCATTCAAGAAACTGAGTAAGACAACTTTTTACAAAGAGAGAAGGGAAAGAAGAGGGAGAGGGAGGCAGAGAAAAAGGGAAGGAAGGAGGGAGGGAAGTGGGGAGAGAGATAAAAACACTGACATCTTTTGGAGGTGAAATGGAATGCTGTGCGCTATCTTAGAACACCTTGTGCTTTCCAGTGATCCCCACGACTTTGCTGGAAATGAGGAAAGTAGTTGTAGGAAGAATGGGTTCTAAGAAACAGGCTTTCTGCACTTAAGAGTTTCCTCTTAAGGCGAAGATGAACTGAGAGACAGGAATCTCTAGTTAAGATGGCCAACAGACATTAATTACCTTGGGTAACAGGTAATGGGTAAGAGACATTGATTATCAACATTGATTAAGCCAATGTTTAAATTTCTGAAAAAAAAAAGTGTGCATGTGTGTGTGCATGAGAGAGAGAGAGAGAGTCTAAAGCCTTCCTTGTATATTACGCACTCTGACTTGGTGGTTTCAGTGCCTAGAGACAAAGAAATCTCAAATCTGAAACCCAGCTCTACCACTTACCAGTTGTGTGACTTTGGGAAAGCTATTTAAGCTCATCTTTTTTTTTTATTGGTAAATGAAGATAAACTACAGCCTATTGATGAGGATTAAATGTGATAACATTCGTAACACATGGTGCTGGTACATAGTAATCACTCAATAAATAACTATAATCATAACTATCATCAACACTATTATTCCCCAAAAGATCTATCACTCCAAAAGAAGTTACAAATCATTGGTCTCAGTCATTGCCAAGCTCCATGCCAATTCTAGAAGTCTGTCTATCTTTCTACTCCAAGTTACCAACCTGCTCTCAGCACAATGTTCTTCCCACTGAGAAAAGGGAGAAGACAAAAACTGCATGCCCCTCCCCTCTCTGATCTTCTCCTTTGCACCCTTTCCTCAACACCCATACACACATATGCACAGCCCTGATCAAGGCCAGTGATTTCAAGGAACATTTATTATATGTCTATGCTAAGCACTGGTATCAAACACACAAGAAAGGTCCCTATAATGACGTGAGATCAGCCAAGACCATGACAGCCCTGGTCGATGGAAGTGATTCTCAAATTTGAGTGAGCATCAGTCACTGGGAAGGCTTGTGAAAACACACACTGCTAGGCTATATCCCCCAGAGTTCCTGAGTGAGGCCTGAGAATTTGCACTTCAAACAAGATACTGATGCTCTGGGTTGGGAGCCGCACAGTGAGAACCAGTGGCCTGGGATTAGGAATGTTTCTCGAGGCAACTTCACAGCCACTGCTGGGAGGTGGTGTCATAGTAATAGAACCCAGAGCCACTATATGAACTGTGTACAACTGGGGTCAAAGTCATCTGAGATTCTATTCGAGATGCTGGATATCCCCCAGGATCTTGAGACACTGGGGAAGGAAGGATAAAAGTAACTGATGTCTCAGCATTTATCCTGAAAGTTCCTAGAGAGCAGGGACTGTCTTAAGCTTCCCAAGACACACATTTCCTCCTCCCTGCTTCTAGAATCAGGATTTTTTTCACAGTAGACTTTCAGTTAATATTCACTGATTGAATCAGAGGAGGGACCTACCTGCAAACTGGGCCGATAAAGCAAACTGCAATCACTCAATAAATATTTATGGAGCACCAACTTTTTACAAAGAATTCAAAGGGTTCCAACCTCAACTATTATTTATTATTACCAATACTATTATGCATGAGGATCTAGCACAGTGCTTAACACATAGTGAATTCTCCATGAATGTAATTTCCCTTCTACCCCCTGATTACCAAAGTGGTATTCCAACCTCCACCGTCTCACTCGTTTCCTAGCCCTCTTCTCCTTGGGCAAATGATTTTTGCTAGTGCTTCTTTGAGATAATTATGAAATTTTTTCAGTTTCCTACCCCACACACATGACTGCAAATATGCCCATTTCTCTAAACATTGTTATCTTCCTCTCTGCTATTTTCAAAGAATAAATGTCCTCTAAAGTTAATCCTTCCACTTGTCCTTTGTTTAGCTGCCCTTAGGCACTTAGGTCCATTAATAGTGCTCCTCTTCTTTTTAAATCTTGAGCCTCCCTCTCTCCTCTGATTCTCTCACCTCATAAAAAAACAAAACAAAACACCACACATTCTTTAAAAAAAAAAAAAGAAAGAAAGAAAAAAAGCAAATACATCAACAAATGTCCCCTCTCTCTCCTCCATCTCCATGCAGCTCCTGCTCTCCCTCTCTCCCTCCCTTCCCAGGCAAATTCTTGGAAATCTAGGCCACCCCTTGCTGATTTTACTTCCTCCTTTCCTCACCCACAGCAGTCTGGCTGCCAGCCACCCTTCCAATGACTCTGTTCTTGTCAAGGTCACGCTGACCTCTGTATTTACAGATCCAGTGGTAGCTCCACACGCCTTACCTTACTTGACCTTCCTAATCCATTTGGCACTGGGGCCCACTGCTTCCTTGAAACTCCCTGTTCCATTGAATCTATCCTTCTTTCCAACTGTCTCCCACACACCACTCCTCAGATGTCCGATGAGCACTTCAAACTCTGTCAAAATGAACTTTGTCTTTCCATGCAAACCAAACTATCCTCTTCCATTTCTTATTCATGATGATGGGTACTGATATTCACCAGCTCACCTAAACCAGAAACTTTGAAGTCATCCTCAATTTGTCTTTCTCTACCCTCCATATATAATTGTTCACTGAATTCTATTATCTATATTCCTTTAACAGCTTTGGGATTCAACTGCATCTCTTCTTTCTACTACTGCTGCCTGTTTTCAGGATATCACCACACCCATCTGAATTATTTCAGTGGTCTCCTAAGTGGAAGGAACATCTTCAGCCTCTTCTTACACCAAACAATCTGCCGTAAAGTAAGTGGATGACAGTATGGCATAGTAGTTAAGGGGACAGACTGCCTTGGTTCAAATTTAGGCACAAGTCTTTATCAATCAAGTGATATTAAGCAAGTGACTTGTCTTCTCTGTGCCTAAGTTTCCTGGGCTGTAAAATGGGGATGATAATAGTAATCTTCCCCATAGGGTTTTTATAATATCAAATGGCTTTACAGTATGCACAACAGTGCCTAGTAAATAGTAAATTTTCATTAAGTATTGTTTATTATTATTATTATTATTATTTACTGCTGCCAGAGTAAACATTAAAAAATAAATTTAATAAATCACTCCCTCATTTTAAAATAAATCAAGTCTACAACACAACAGACAAGGTTCTCCTTGTTATGTTCCCAGCCTGCTCCTTCAATTCAATCTCACACTCCACTCACACTCCACTGAAATTCACACTCCAGTCATATAGTGCAAATCATGCACTTGTAAATTCCTGAAACTCCACACACAATTTCTCTGTGCCTGGTATACTATTACCCTTCTTGTATGCCACATAAACTCATATTCATCCTTCAAATCCCTTCAATCATCTGTGAAGTCTGATAATTTTCTACGAACCCCAAATAGAAAAAAAAATCACTATTTTCTATTAACTTACGTAATACTTCGCACATACATGTTATATATACATATGTGTGTATATACACAGACACATACTTCACGCTGTATTGCAGCATGCAGATACTTGCACATCTGTCTCTTCTAGAATGTAAGTTCTTAGAAACAGAAACTATCTGACTTAGCTCAGGGTAGAGAGAACTTGCCTCATAATGGGCTCTTATGACATTAATATTTTATATTCTTATGTGCCTCATAATTTCCAAAAAATATTCATAGCAGAGAGTCTCCAAAGATGGCCATCACCAAGACCTTCTCCCACTGTATGTATATGGTGCTCCATCTAGCAAGAAATAGGAGACTGTTTCTTTCCCCCTTGAATTCAGACTGGCCTTGTGTCTGCTTTGACCAAAAGAATGTGGTGGAAGTCACATGTTGGAACCCTTGGAGAACTGGCCACTTCTGTTTTCTCCCTTTAAAAAATCAGCCACCATGTAAGAAGTCCAACCACATTGGGACCCAGGTTACAAGAAAGTAAGAGCCTTAACAACCAGGGGCCTGTGGACAACCAGAGGAGGCCATCTCTCCCTCTTCTTCCTCATCACCACCACTCAGGAGAAAAAGCCCAGTCATGTTTCAGAGCCAGTCTGCCCCCATTTTTGGGTAGGGTGAGCAATTGTCACCCTATTTGCCAGGGATGTACCTGGAATATTTGCAATTTTAGCACTGCAAGCCCCACATCCCTGGAACCCCTCAGTCCTGGGCAATCTGGGACAGTTGCCCACCCTCCTTTCAGGATACCTGCCACTGTCGCTATCCTGTCCTGGATCTCTGGAGTGAGCCATTCAACTGTTACCCCGAGAGTTCTCTGGGTTGGAAAAGGAAATTTCTTTCTTCCAGGGCCAATTTCCTCATAAGCCAAAGAATCACTCTCAATTCTATTTCCCATCTCTAACCAGACCCAGTCACATGATCCAGTAGAGCTTGCCAGAGGTTATAACAATGAAACCAACTAATACAATGAAGACTGTCCCAAAATTATAGAATATAAATTCCCTCTAATTATCAATGCCCAATGATATGAAAGCCCAAATGTTAAACCTCAAAGTCCCCTTATAAAGCTCAAAGTACAAAAATCTAGATACATAAAATAAAAAACTCTTTTCTCTTCAATTTCTTTATCTGCTCAATCTCAGACAGACGATACATGGGTTCTTTCAGCAAATTCTATCCTATCTTCCTCAGGAACTGATAAAGTTCCCCTATCTCCTAAAGTACAAGGCTTCAGCTCTGCCAACACCCTCCCCATATCAACCCACCACAAGCAAATCTGCGCACTCTAGCTATTACTACACAGTTCAGTGACCTCCTCAGAACACATCCAGTAGATAATTCAGACATATAGTGCTGTTGTCAACCACAGACCACCATGGGGACATGATGTTATCTGGGAGAAGAAGGTTGAGAGAAAAACATCAATGGATCAAGATAGGAACTTGAAAGGTAGTTCTTTTCACCCAAGCCAGTGAGAGATGGAAGGCATTGTCTCAGAGGGTCTTGTCTTAGCTTCTAAGTATCCAATTCCCATATCCAGGTAAGACGACTACTCATTTTCTGTCCTTGGAGGTCCATAACGTTTTTCCTTATATTTCAACTAGTTTCTGTGAGTTTCTGTTCTCTGCAGCCATGGAACCTTGACTGAAACATTATTCTTAAGAAATTACTTATTAGGGATGGTACTTTTCTGTATACCAAAGATCCCATTCATTTGGTCCCCTGAAATGTCATCTTCCACAGATTGAAGAAGCTATCAATAAAGTGCATGTTCAATACAGTAGGAAAATGAGTTCTGGGAATGTAACTGGGAAGATAAGAAGCATGAACAGAATTTTTAAAATTTTAATGACTAAATTGCATTTTTACTCATTTATCAACTTTTTAAAATATTAACACTGTAGGATCTATAACAGCATTTCTATTTTAGGGGGAAGCTTCCACAGACATGTATCATAGTGTGATTTAAGATTTATAAAATTTCAGAATGCTCAGAAATATCTCTGCCCAAAATTACAGCCCTTATTATGGTTCCCAAACTGCAAACATGTGAAATAGATGAATACAAAACAGATGGATCAAAGGACATTATATGTCTTTTTAAAAAAAAACATAAAACCCTAGAGGTTTCAAGAATAGCAATGGAGAGAGAATCTTCATATTGGAGTGGGGGTAGGGATATTGAATCTTACAACCATGGTGCTTGTTCCAAAAATTCACGTTCACCATCCTGTGAACATCTCTCACTAAGAACAATTACCACTGCTATGGTAGCCTAGGGAAGAGCAGAGGGCACTCCTCCGTCTCCCCCCACCACTTTCACTTTCTGGTCCAAGTATGGACACATGAACCTTCCCTAAATAGTCTGCACTACAGCTTCAGACCAAGCTGGAATGTTTAAACAAGACCTTTCTAAAGGCTCAGTAATAACAAAAGGAAATAAAGAGCTGATGTAAGTGGGAATCCTCCCTATCCCTGTGTTCTAGAAAAAAAATTCATTTAAACCACCTGCTTTGCCCCCTCCATCACCAATTACTATTACCACGGCCCCCTACGGAAGTCCAGAAATTTGTCAGGATCCTGCAGCCTTGGGTTCCTCCTGCCTGGTATCCTGTTCACAGATGCAGTCTTTGCTTCTGCATTGACTCTAACAGTACACAAGAAATCAGCGTCTATTCACACTTCCAAAAAAGGCTCATACACACACACACATACACAATACAGTACGGCACAATCTAGACTCTACTAAAAATTTAATATGGGAATCCAGAGGAAGTGAGGACTTATATCATATATATCAAACGAATGAAAAATCTCTTCTTGAACATCTGTTATCCCAAAATCCCCTTCTCATTTTGGGCCACAGGGCATCTCTTCCTTTTGCCCCTCTCCAAGAAATGCCAATGTTCTGGCTCCCCAGCTCTCTCTCATCTCTCTGTCCTTCCAGTCCTCTCACCCCCTTATCCCTTCTGGATCCATACAAGCTCCTTTCCTTGCCTCACACATAGCAGTTTAGCAATCATCTTCTGCTACTTAAATGTGCCCTTGGGATCTCAGCCTCCTCCACTGGAAATTTGCCAGAGAATTTCTTCCATCTAGGTACAGTGTATTTCTATGAATAATTCTACTGAATAATACCTTTTCTGTTTTTGCATAGAAATAAACCCAGAAAATAATATAACATTAGAGAACCTACTTTACAAATATTACCTACCTTCCATGGTCACAGACCTCAACCTATCCAAGTTTCAGGCCTGCCCGCAAATGCTGGGCATCATATTGAAACCAGAACTATCCAGAGACACAGGTTCCTCCATGTCTAGACTCAAGGGACTAAAACTAGGACAAAGAAGCTTAAGACCTATTTTTTACTATCTGAGAACCTATCTGTTAGTCATCTGGTTGACTCAGGAAATGGCTTCTCCTTTCTGAGAAAACCATACCTTCCCATATGGGCATGACCTTGCTCAGGAGGCTATATATGGTTACATAGCAGAAGCAGCATCGGGCCAGCTTCATGGGTGTGCAACCTGTGCAGTCACACAAGGTCCCAGGCCCAGAAGGGCCTCATAATTGGTTTGATGCTCTGCAGTCAATGTCTTAAAATTTCCAATCATCATTGAGCAAGGGGCCCTGCCCCACATTTCCATTTTGCACTGGCACCCACAAATTACGTAGCTGTATGTGAATGTACCTTGTATTTACATAACAGGAACACATGCAGAGAACAGGGAGTGGGTCTGTTCATCATAATGGCCTTAGAAACAGCTGTAGAAATGATCTTAGTAGTCATTACATACAAATTTTCTTCAACAGATGAGAAAATGGAATTCCAGAGATGTGAAGTGAATGCCAGTCTCACAGCTCATTGGTGGGAGAGCCATTGCTTTGTCCAACTCCAGGGGGCACCAGCCTCATTGTCTTGCAGCTTCCCAGGTTACCATCCACCTTATTTTCTATGTGAATGGTGGCTCAGAGGTACCCACACGATGGCTCAGCACTAGGGTCACCAAATAAGCACCCTGTCGCCCAGCACCAGCCAACCTCCAGGGTACATTCTCCCTGCCCAGGCCTTTCTTTTCTTTCCTCAGTCCACTAGAATCATGCACTTGGGGACAGAAAAGGCCAGATTGTCAAAAGAAGTAACCAGAACAGGTGCTTGGAGAATTAGAGGTTTCTAAATGGTGAAAGAAACCAGAAATTCATAAAGAAAAGGAGACTCAGAAAACATTTTTTGTTATAAGTTAAATTTCGTAATGCTGGCAGGAAGATGAAAACACTAGAAAGGCAAGGCTGGAGTGGGTGGCTGACAGCTGTAGGCAGCTGGAGTGCAGAGGAAGAATAGGAAGACCATTAGTGCACAGCAGTGGGAAAAGGACCTGGAAATAATGAACGGAAAACCCTACTGAGGAGCGAGGTGACACAATTAGAGACACATAATAGGCCAGTAACACAGTTACTTAGTGCCTTTATTCTCCGCTAAAGAAGTTTTAATTTGCTACTAAGAATTTTTATGTGCTAACATATGCTGCCTAGGGGAAGGAACACGTTGTTCAGATCTCAAGGTCATTGGAGCTGGGTTTCGAGGCTTCTCCAAATAGGGCATATCTGAGTCCACTTCTGGCAGGAGGTATGATGGAGGCAAGACCTGCCTCAGAGAACAATCCTGCTGCATTCATTCATGTATAGACATTGTTCAGCCCCTGTGAATGCATGGTGGTGTTTAGGAATTCTCTTTCTATTGGAAGATCAAAAAGAATAACAAAAACCTTACAAACTACAACCCATATTAAAGTTCAGCCCCAGGGGGTAATATCAGATGGGAAATATGAATTTAGTGAAAAAGCATCTGAACATTTGGAGTAAATTTGAAAACAGAACCATCTGGTATATAATCGGATCCATCCAGTAGACTCCACACTTTGTACCACCAGCTGCTGTCAAACATGAGATTATGAAACCTTGAAATAAATGCTCCCCTAAGCCTGATTTCTTGTTTCAGGGTTAACTTGAGGCAGAGCTGCAGACTGCCGAGATGAAACGCTGGGATCTTCTTATAGAAGCTTTTCTTCTAGGCATACTTCTTCCTTTCAATTCAGTTATGCATGGTGGATATAGAGGGGACTCCAAACCCAAGAGATGAGATTGGAAGAGGGGCCTATGAAGACAAGTCTTTTTTTTTTTTTTTTTTTTTTTGAGACGGAGTCTTGCTCTGTCACCCAGGCTGGAGTGCAGTGGCGTGATCTCAGCTCACTGCAAGCTCTGCCTCCCAGGTTCACGCCATTCTCCTGCCTCAGCCTCCCAAGTAGCTGGTACTACAGGTGCCCGCCACCACGCCCGGCTAATTTTTTGTATTTTTGGTAGAGACGGGGTTTCACTGTGTTAGCCAGGATGGTCTCGATCTCCTGACCTTGTGATCCGCCCACCTCGGCCTCCCAAAGTGCTGGGATTACAGGCATAAGCCACCTTCTTTAGTGTAAATCCTGGCTTCTCTCCCATCTCCATAAGTGGCTCTTCACCCTCCTTCCATTCATGATTCCTCCATGGCCCAGCATAGCTGGATAACCTCAGAAAAGGCATGGTAAGAGAAGTAACAGCCTGTATTTAAATGGATGTAAGAATCAATGTTCTAGGGCTTTCTTTAAACTTCTGGTTTTAATAGGAAGAGGAATTATTAGAGCATTAAGTAGTCTCGATGAAAAGACAAGTGGGAAAGAAACAAGAACATTCTTCCTACTTCTACTCCTTAACTTTTCTTATTTCTTTTGTCCATCTCTAGCTCGTAATGTTTTAAAAACTGTTGGTCTGAGCAGATCTTGCTTCCTTTCATGACAGAACTATCGTGAGTGTGGACAAATACAAGGTCCCCGTTGATTTCAGTCTCATAAGAGAGCACTAACCTATGAGAATCTGGAGTGCACAGTTGATCCAAGAGTTTCCTTTTATGTCGTCAAAATCCAGGAGCCATTCTCAGCCCCTCACTCATTACCTACATCTAATCCATCAGCAAGTCCTTTTGGCTCTATCCCCAGACATATTTCAAACTTCTCTCCACCCTTATCCCCTTTGTCCCAGCTGACCATCTCATAAGTGGTCCTGCCCTGCTCACTGTTGCCCCATCTCTGTCCTGTCTTCACCCAGTAGCAGAAGGGAGTTTTGAGAACCTTCACTCAAATGACGTTGTCCTGCTTCAAACCCTCCAATGGCTTTCCTATTGCACCTAGAATAAATCAAACTCTACCACATCCTAAATGATCTGGCCCCTGCCACCTTCAGACTCATTTATTATCACTGCTCCTCTCACTTACAGCACTACAGAGACACTGGCCTTCTTGTTTCTTGAATAGGGCACATTTGTTCCTAGCTAAGGGTCTTGGCACGAGTCATCTCTATGCCCAGAATGTTTTCTTCCTGAGCATAGCTTTTCTTCGTAGCTTCCAGCTTCTTGCTCTGACCACCCATGTAAAGTAGCTGCTGCTCTTTTCTCATCATCCTATTTCCTTCATAGTACTTAACACAATCTGAAATTAGATACCTTATGTATTTGATTATTTGTTCATTTCTTGCCTCGCTTCTCTCACTAAAATGCAACCTCATTAATTGGGGGTGTTTCTGAATTACTCATTTCTGTGTCCCCACCAATGGTTAAAAAATACTTGTGAAATGAATGGATTCCTGGCTGGGGATGCCACAAAGAGATTTAATAGATTAAGGACACTTTATGTATTTACTACATTAAAGACATTTAATACATCCTATCTCTTTTCAAGGCTTAAAAGTTCAATGATGTTTTAAGAAATTAGAAGAAATAAGACCTGATGTTTCATAAGTCAGTAGGGTGACTATAGTTTATGATAATCTATTGTATATTTCAAAATAGCTGGAAGAGAATAATTTTAATGTTTGTAGCATAAAGAAAAGATAAATATTTAAGGTGATGGATCGCCCAATTACACTGATTTGATCTTTACAAATTATATGAACATATTAAATTATCATATGTACCCTGAAAATATGTATATCTATTATATATCAATAAAAAATAACTTTTTTTTGAAAGTTCACTGATTTCAGAGCATTATTTGAAAATATGGGTCAATATATCGCTTTTGTTTGATAACTATAGACATGTTTATCAATGAAAATGATTTGCCTAGATGTCATACACTCCCAGTACAGCTCATTTTTCCACTGGCATGTAGTTATCAGCACAGTAACCACTCCCGTGCTTGCTTGTGAAGTATCCAATCATTTACAAAGTGCATCCACCCAGTGACATCCTGAACTCCTTTCACAGCAGCCCCCTGTGGTCATCAGGAGAAGAATGACTTTTATTTCACCAGTGGGGAAACTGAGGCTCCGTGTCATTAGCTGACTTCCCACAAGGGTTCAGAAACAGGAAGTGCACTTGAGCTCAAGCCTCTGGCTTCCCACTCTGCCGGGCTGCCTCTCATTATCTCATTTGTTGCTCACAGTATCCCTGGGAGGTCAGAAGGGCAGGATCGTAATCCCTGTGACATTCCAGCGAAGTCTTCACATTACTCATATGCATGCCAACCCTGGCTAGGAAACCCCCATGTGCACAGATCAAACTGAAAAACAGGATGACACGGGTTCTCTTAATGCCACACAAGTGGCAGGGCAGGCTCTATCAAGTTGCTGCTCTGTACGCAGCACAAAAGATGAAATGATGCTGTCTCTAGCCCCACCTACCCCAGCACCCAAATCACAGCCTTCAGGGTCTCTCGGATTCCTCTCTCTCCTTTACCATCACCCACCTACCTCTATATTGAGTCAACAAATACTGTCAGTTCTCCCTGCCGCTTATCATCATCTCCTCTCTTGGGCCACTCTTCATAACTTAGCTGTGAATCAGACTGTCTGAGATCAAATCCCTGCTCTACCACTTCCTAAGTGGAGTGTGACCTTGGCAAATTATTTTACTTCTCTACAGCACAATTTTCTAATCTGTAAATAAGTAGTAAATAGAACTGACCTTGTAGGAGTGTTGTGAGGACTGAATTATCAATGTATATAATACATTCAGAACAGAGGATGCACCATGGAGCTGTGAGCTATAATTATTATCATTAGTGTTTCTAGGTTCTTGTTAACTTTCCTCTGAATTATTGTTTTAGCCTCCTAACTAGACCCCCTAACTTCTATCCTGACTTCCCCCTCCAATCCATTCTCCATCCCCAGCCAGAGCTGTGTTTCTAATATGCAAACCTGACTGTGGCATATTCCCTGCTTAAAAGCCTTTATTGATTCCCATCTCACAAAAGGTACAGATTTGATCCGTTAGCAGGTCACACAGGCTGTGCCATCCTCACACATGTCCCCTCCCCACCACATTCTACCCTCTAGCCATATTGACCTACAACTCTCCCTCCATAAACATGATAAATCCTTGCACACATCCCTAACTTGCTATATTCTGCCCCTGCTGCTGCTGCTGCTGAAAATTGAGTTCCCTCTGCTTTTACTTGGAAAACCTCTACCCAAATTTTAAGCCTCAATTTAGATGTCACTATCTCTGTGGAGTCCTCAGTCACTTGCTGGCAGAAAGTAGTCTCCACCCCCAGACAAAGCTCCATAGACACCTGGCATTGCCTTCATTAATAGAATTGTTGAACCTTCTTCTCCACCTTAGTACTTAGTACCACACAAGGCACATAGTAGTTGCTCAAGGACTCAGTGCTAGACTATTTTTATGTTTTTTCTTGCCTCTACCATGTGTCATGCCCTAAAGACCAACTGAGAAATCACAATCAACATTAACATTGGGATTTTCCAAACGCTGGACATACCTGTTGACTTTGGTGCACCAGCTCTGATTGCAGGGAGCAGAGGTGTTTAGAAAGCTGCAGAAGAGATGACTCCCGGAATCTGCACCTGACCTCTTAATTCATCCCCCAGCATGGTGCCTTTGCAGCGAATGTCCTCACAGTCCACAGGAGCCAGAAACCCAGGCAGCATTTTTTATTCTTGCTTCATCTGAACCATAAGCAAGTCCTGTCCTTTTTGCCTCCCAAATATATCCAAATGCATCTGATTCTCTTCTTCTCTGCAAGCCACTATTCTAGTCCAGGCCACCACCTCTCACCTAGACAAATGCCACCCTTAGACAGTCTTCTCCTTCAATGATCACCCCTCTATGGGCCACTTGTAACAGACTTTCTTAACATATAAAGTGGGCCATGTCACCCCTTGGCTTAGAATCCTCAGTGGCTTTTCACTGAAGTTTGAATGAAATTCAGTCGTTTCCTGAACACTGTGACCTGGCCCACAAGGCCCACAAGGTCGTGATCTGGCCCCTCTATCCTTCTCCCACCTCACTTTATACCTCCTCAGGTTTACTCATTTGGTTACAGCCTTACTGGCATTCCGCCAGGTTGTAAAACACATCAAACCCTTTTATACCCCAGACCCTAGGCACCTGCTGTTCCTACCATGTTAAACCCTCTTCTTTTTGTTTTTCATCCTCTTGTCTCAAATCAGAGCAGCCTTCTGTGTCTACTTTAACTGAGATAGATCACCCACATCAGTGATTTTCTGTCTTGCCTCCCAAGTTATTTCCTTAACAGGACCACATTTTTTTTTTTTTTGAGACAGGGTCTCCATGGACTCTGTTGTCCAGGCTGTGGTCTGTTCAACCACAGCTCACTGCAGTTTCGACCTCCCAAACTCCCAAACTCAAGCGATCCTCCCACCTCAGCCTCCTGAGTAGCTGGAACTACAGGAGCACGCCACTATGCCCAGCTTTAAAAAAAAAATTTAAGATGGAGTCTCACTATGTTGCCCAGGCTGGTCTTGAACTCTTGGGCTCAGGCGATCCTTCCACCTCAGCTTTCTAAAGTGCTGGAATTATAGGTGTGAGCCACTGCACCCAGACTACCTTTTCTAATTATTGTATATATTTGTTTCTTTGCTTATTTTTCTTGCTCTTTTCTCCCTCTACATAATGAAAATTTCATGCAGCCAGTGATCATGTCTGTCTTATCACAGCAGTAGAACTTAAAAGCAATGCCCAGAACATAATAGATGTTCAATATATATTTGTCAAATAACTGTTGAATCTGTGTGATTTTGGACTAAGAAATGTTCTTTACTTAGTTCTGGGGAGACGGATTCAAATGCCAACATGAGAATTGCTATAAACATTTGAGGAGTCTAAGTGTGTAGACCTGACCTATAGGAAGGACCACTTATGCCTACAGCTAACACTTTCTAACTCTATGAATTTTATTTCTTTTGTAATTTTGACACAGCTTCTATTTTTAGAAAAACAAATAACAGAGAATAGGTTTCAAAAGTGCATTCGACCCAGCAATTCTATTACTGGGTATATACACAAAGGAAAATAAATCATTCTACCAAAAAGACACATGCACTTGTATGTTAATCACAGCACTATTCACAAAAGCAAAAACATGGGATCAATGTAGGTGCTCATCAATGGTGGATTGGATAAAGAAAATGTGGTACATATACACCATGGAATACTATGCAACCATTAAAAAGCACAAAATCATATCCATTGCAGCAACATGGATTGCAGCTGGAGTGAATTATCCTAAGTGAATTAACAGAAGAACAGAAAACCAAATACCAGGCATTCTCACTTATAAATGGGAGCTAAACATTGAGTATACATGGACGTAAAGATGAGAACAATGGACGCTGAGGTTACTAGAGGGGGAGAAGAGCATGGATTCAAAAGCTACCTGTTGGGTACTATGCTTACTATCTGGGTGATGGGATCCTCTGTACCCCAAACCTCAGCCTCACACAATATACCCATGTAACCAACCTGCACATGTCCTCTCCGAATCCAAAAGTTGAAAAAAAGTAGCTTTGAAAAATGTATTACTGCGTGATGTTATACACATACATATCTCTGTGTGTGTGTGTGTGTGTGTGTGTGTGTGTGCATGAAAAGTAAAGATTTCCAGAGGAAACAAAGAGAGAAGAGGTGGTTATAGACATATAAATGGACTTGAATAATTGATATGTTACCCATGAGTTTTGTGAAAGAAAAAGGGAACTTTGTTCTATTTCTCTAGGTTTTAAAGAGAAGGGAAATAAAGCCTCATAAAATTTATTGCATTGCTCAAAGATGATGCTGTGGCTCTGTGTGTGTGTGTGTGTGTGTGTGTGTGTGTGTGTGTGTGTGTGTGTGATGGAAGAGTCAGGAAATGGCAGATTGATGACCCAAGCAAAACCCAATCACACAGTGGAGAAGCTCTGTGGACTGACTCATACACTTTGCAGATTTCCTATAAATTTGTAACTACAGAAAAGAGCCAAATAGATTGGATTGCTTTCTTTGTTCTTTCCTTCCTTCCTTCCTTACACCCACAAATCTTGGTAGAGTTTCTGTTGTATAACAGGTAATAGGCACTATTAAACCAAAAGTGATAAAGACATAGTCTCCTGCATTCAGGAAACCCACATGCCTGTAGAAAAGACCGACGTGTAAACAAGGACTAAGCCAGAAACATCCCAGCTACGAAAGCAGGTATGAATTACAGTAGCAGCCATATGAATTTTACTTAGGTGTGGCTAGCACACAGGGTTATGGTAAGGAAAGCTTCTTAGTGATGGTAAGAACGGCACTGGGCTTTGAAGGTTACATGGAAGTTTGGTGCTTGGTGCATCGTCAGTTAAGTACTGATATGCCAGGCAAAGGCAAGAGCCTGGGAAAAGATCCTACACTGTCATCCTGGGTCCTTCAGCTCTATTACATTTGTTCACCTTGTCATAAAGGGCAGCCCTGCCTAGGCCTAGTGCTGGGAGGGAGCCAAATGCCCTTGGAGAATTGAAATCTGCTAAGGAAACACAAAACAGAAATGGCTTTACACTGGAGAGAAAGTAATCAAGGAAAATAAATAAATAAAAGGGATCAGAGTAGCAGAGACTTTTTAAAGGGGCCCCCAAGCCCTTTGTTTTCCAGATGAGAAAGGGATTACCTAAAAGCAGGCATTAGAACCAGTTCAAGGCGCCCTCCCTTCATCACGCTGCCCTCACCTCCCGCATCCTACCTGTGGGTGCTGCAGAATCAACCCACATCTCAGGAGGAGGAAAGTGCACTGGCGGCACCACCAGGGAGTTCAAGTTCAGACTCGGCCACTTCCTTGCTGGTGACTTTGACTTCTCTGAATCCCAGTTTCCTCACTGGGGAAGCGAAAGTGAGGATATTACCTACTTTGCAAGACAGTGTGAACAGAACAGAGAGCACGCAAAGCTGCGCTTAACAAGTCTCATCACACAGCCCGCTTTTGTAGTGGCGAGGCAGCACCTGGAGGGAAGGCCTGCGCCTCCACAGGTGGCTGATGACGGGGCTCTCCAGCCTCAAACGCTGGAAGGCTTAGTGCCTGGAGTGCCCTCCAAGGGGTGCTTGCTCCTCTGCCTGCCCTTGCCGGGCCCCTCACCCGACGCCGCGCTTCACCCTGACACACACAGACTTTCCATGGCTGGTGGTCATGCTGCCCTGCCCTGGGAGCACATCTGCCCAGGATCACAGAGATGTCAGGGGGAAGCCGCTCTGACTTGATCTCAGGCACAACCTGACACTGGAGTTTTCTTTCACCAGTCAGCAGAGGAAACATGTGGGATGAATTAACTAAGCCAACCAGGGAAAGCAACGAAAGCAACGGCAGTTGGACTTCAATCGGTTCCCAGACAATGGAGCGTGGGGTGAGCCCACCTCTATCCAGCAGGGCAAGGGGCCTCCCAGGTACATTCAAGGACCCCCCACCCCATCCCCTAGAGAGTTGTCCCACCCTCAGGCCTAGGATGTGGGATTTGAACCCAGGCAGTCTGATTCACAGCTAAGGATTTGATCTCTCTCTATATATTTTTTTAGGAGACAGAGATAATAGTGACTTGACAGAGACAACGGGGGGAGCTTGAGGAAGAGCAGCCTCAGACCTTAGCTTCATGTTTGCAGGTCAAGAATACTGGGGAGGAAAGTCAGAAGGAAAAAAAGAAGCCCTACATTTTATACTTATAGTCCAGGTGAAGGTTAGGCTGGGGAGAGAGTTCACAGTCAAGGAAAAGAAGAACTGGAGCTGTAAGGGCCTGACTACCCTGAGAAGCATTTCTTTCCCATCTACAGGTAAGTCTGTCCTCACAAGTTAATCAGTAGCTTCTTTCCAGCCACCCATTCCCCAGGGGTCAGAGAGCTAAATCCTGAATTTGCTACTACTCCTTCCTCCTCCCATCAGCTGAAACATCCCAGATTTTCAGCACAAACTTCTCCATCGACTACCCTGACCAGGGCCAGGTTTTCCATGGAGGCATGTATGCCTGGCCAGGTGATCCCCGGTTTGGAAAGCACAGTCTGCACTGACAGGTGTCTGCCAGGGCTCACACACAACTAACGCAGAACATCCTCTCCTTTCTAGGTACATGGTGTAAGGGGCTGGTTAAGGAGCAAGGGGGATGAAACACACAGTGTCCTTGTATCTAACAAAACACTTGAAATGGGAAACAAGGAGGGGCACTGATAGATCTTTCTCCTAACTGGAGACTGCTGTCTCAAATCTTGCTGGCAGACAGCCACACTAGGGTGCTTTTGTGACATCCTGCTGCTTCCAACCAAGTGAAATGAATTTTTGTCCTCCTTGGGGAGAAATGTTTCTCTAAGACAGCCTGAAGGAAGGAAGACAGAAAGTTAAAAAGAAGATTAAATATAACCGGCACTGATATGGAGTCTTGAATAACCTTCAGAAATTCCAATAGCATTATTGCCTCTGCTCTCATCAGAGTTCCACACCCCTTTTCCCTGCCAGAGCACGCTTCTAGCATTTTCTGCAACTCCTCCAGGTTCTCTCTGAAGGTGAGGCAGCCCACCGAGGCTGTCTCCATTGCCTGTCTCTGTGATTGATGGTCACCATCATCCCTCCTCCCCTAGGCGCCTCAATCTGGACGCACTTAATCAGGTTCTGAGATCATGCACGGGAAAAAGAACACATCCTGGAGAGTTGGCTGGCTGGCCGCACCACCTCCAGGGTCACTGAGAGCTAACTGACGCCATGAAACATGGAGCACAAAGCATGGGTCCTATTTTCCAAAGGATTCCAAGAAGGGGTGGGCAGCCATAAGCTCCGGTGAGTTCTCCTTGGTAAAATCTTCATGGGAACCCGGCCACTGTGAATGCTAGATTTTTTAATCACACAGGGAGTGTCTTTCTTTCTTTTTTTTTTCCTTCTTTTAAACTGTGGTAATATATTCATGATATAAAATTTACTGTTTTAACCTTTTTTAAGTATACAGTTCATTGGCATTAAGTACATTCACATTGTTGTACAGCCATCACCACCATCCATCTCCAGAACTTTTTCATCTTCCCAAACTGAAACTCCATATCCATTAAACACTAACTCCCATTGGCTCCCTCACCCCAGCCCCTGACAACCACCATTCTACTTCCTGTCTCTATGAATTTGACTACTATAGGTAACACATACAAGTGGATCATACAATATTCATCCTTTTGTGTGTCTGGCTTACATTACTCAGTTTAATGTCTTCAAGGTTCATCCATGGTGTAACATGTATTAGAATTTCCTTCCTTTTTAAGGCTGGATAATATTCCCTTGTGTGTGTATATATGTATACACACACCTGAGTGTCCATTGACAGATAAATTAACAAAATGTGATATATAGATAGATCATATATAATATCATATATATGTATAGATATACATTATGTATATAAAAATGTGATTATATATATATATATCACATTTTGTCTATTAATTCATCCATCAATGGACACTAGGGTTGTTTCTGCCTTTTGGCTATTGTGAACAATACTGCTGTGAACATGGATGTACAAATGTGTCTTCAGGACACTGGCTGCCAATTCTTTTGGGGTATATGCCAAGAAATGGAATTACGGGATCATATGGTAATTGTATGCTAAATTTTTTGAGGAAGTGCCATAGTGTTTTCCACAGTGGTTGCATCTTTTTACATCCCACCAGCAGTGCACAAAGGTTCTAATTCTTCCACATCCTTGCCAACACTTGTTATTTTCTGTTGTTTGTTTGTTTGTTTCATAACAGGGCTTTCTTTTTTTTTAATTTTCCTTCTAAATGGACAACTTGTCTTTTCCAGTGTGAAGAATTTCCAGCTCACCCTACTTTTATCTGCCATGGTGTTGTGGGGAGGTCATCTTACTAATAATATTCTTGTAAACACTCCCTTTCATGAAGGCCACAGCCCCTGTGGGTCTGAGTTAAGAACTAAAGTGCTTTCCAGAGTTCAGAAGTTTTAGGAAATTTATCTCCTGATGGAAGAAAATCCTATAAGTGACTGCTCTTTTCCATTTTTGCTAAGAAAAGTTACTCCCCCTTTAGGAGGAAGAAAATAGGTGCAGGAATAAATAATGTGGGGAACTTAAAGAAATGAAGGCTGGGATGTCTGGGAACTCAGCTCCTCCTGTGCAGCTGCTGTGTGGATGTGTAGACTGAGCAGCCACTGAACTCACTGACCCTCAGTTTCCCCATATAAAAGTAAAGAGTAATGCTTGTACCATGGGATTAATACCACATTTATATTAAAATGTTCTTTTTTATATATAACATATCTTTAATGTATACAATTAAAAGCTGTGCAAACCCTTATAAAAATGGGATGCCATCCATACTTTTCTGTATTTTGGCTTTCTCACTCCACATTTGCTCATTGAATTCCCTCCAAATCAACTGGCAAGCTCTGTGTCAATCTTTGTAATGGCTTCATCCATGGTTGACTGTGCTATAATTTCTTAAACCATCCTTCTTGGTGGGAATTTGGCTTTCCTGTTCTCCACATGGCAGCTTGGATGTAGTGTGTGGATAGTGACTCTGCGGCTCAGTGTCCCCCAGGGGCACCCTTTCTCACTCAAAATAAGATCCAAAGGCCACACAGAGGCCCACAAAGTCCTAGATTATCTTTGTACCTCCAACAGCCCCAGCATCCCCTCTGCCCAGTATTCTGTGCTTCACTTGCTCTGCTCCAGCCTCACCAGCCTCTGTACTGCTCCTCAAACCTGTTACTCATGTTCCCATTTCAGGGTCTTTGCACTTGCTGTTCTTTTGGATCTAGAAGACTCTTCACAGGCATGTACATGGCTTATGCCCTCACCTCTTCCTGGACTCTATTTCAGCAAGGACTTCCCTAGTTTCCCAGTCTAAATAAGCAACTCCCCTCTCCCCTCAGCACCTCCTATTTCCCTTCCCTCCTAATTTTTTTTCCTAGCACTTATCACTCACTTGTGTATTATCTGATTCTCCTCATTAGAGTGTAAATGCTACAAGGGCAGGCATTTCTCTGTTTTGTTCTATATGTAGATAGATAGATAGATAGATAGATAGATAGATAGATAGATAGATAGATAGACAGACAGACAGAGAGACAGACAGATGACAGAGAGAGAGAGAGATGAAGTTCTATATCTTCAGTAACTCCATTAGTGCCTGGTACTTAGTAGGGTTTGATAAATTTTTATTGACCAAATGAGTGAGTGAATGAATGAACCTACATAGGTCAATGTGGGATGTGGGCCATCATGGAACACAGAATAGCACGTTATCAGAACCAGAACAGAGACCATTTTTGTGGCCATATGAAACTAAAACATCCCAAATTCCTAGCAAGGAGGGATTCAACACAACCTTGGAACTATACTGTATTTGAGAGCTACATATCAACCACAGATATACACACTAACTACTCACTGAATATAAAGAGCTCATTCCATGGAATAGAGTGGCTATTCTCATCTGAATGTGTGTTGTTCTTGTTATATCCATACACAAACCCATCTGGTTGCATGTAGAGAGGTCCATATCAGGTAGATTAAAGATGAACAAACACTGTGACAAAATGGCACAGTAACTGAAAGCTCTGGCCCTGGAACCTGACTCCCTGGGATTAAAGCCCACTTCCCTCTGAGCGAGCTTGGACAGATTACTTAACCTCTCTGTGCCTCAGCTTCTCATGTGTCAAATGGCAAGAAGAGTACGTATTCTTGTTGCAGGAGTCAAATGAGTTACTATATACGTAAAACACTTAGAACAGTGGGTGGCTAGTTTGGTGGCCTGTCTGGAGACAGACTGCCTGGGGTAAATCTTGGCTGTGCTACTTACTAGCCTTGTGATCTTAGGCAAGTCACTTAACCTCTCTGTGACTCAGTTTCATCAACTATAAAATGGGCATAATCACAGTCTCTCCTCTGAAGAATGTTGTGAGAATTAAATGTGTTAATAACAATATTATAATAACTCCACAGAGTTACTGTAAGGATTGAATGAAAGGATGAAAAAGGCTTAGTGCAGTGCCTGGCATATAGCAAGCAGTGATGGAGAGGAGGAGGAGTTAGAACAGGAGTGTGCTCAGGACATTAAGGGAGTACAGAACATACGCTTTGCAGGAGCCAAAGATAGAAAGGTGACGTTCAGGGGGCTGCAGTAGACTGTGTTAGCTGCTTCTCCTCCCTGGGGATGATCACACTTACCTCCCTCTAGGAGCAGACTTAGCTCGGTGACTCTTTGTCTAGCAAAATGTGACCAGAGTGCCATGTGTTACCTCTGGGAAGAAGCTTTGGAAGTCAGTGCATGGCGTCTCATGTTCCTTTTTCCTTGCCTCTGCCACCATGGAGCATGGTTTGAGATGAAGCCTCTGTCATTCTGAAGGACTGAACTCCTGTGATGATCAGACTACTTTTGCTGGCTTGAAATTAACATGAAACACACATGAAAAACAAGTGTTGTTTTAATCCACTAAATCTGGAACTGTTAGTTGCTGCAACACAACCTGGCCTAAACTGACTGAAGTTTTCTTGGAAGAGAAGAAATTTTAGCTGAATCTTAAAGGTTGAGAAAGAGTCAAGCAAAGAAAGTAGCGAGGCTGTTCCAGGCAGAGAATAACATGTGGAAAAGATCCAGAAGTATGAGGTGGCAGGGAATGTGCAAGCTGAAAGCACCTTGGTATTGCTAGAACCTCAAATCAAGGAGGAGAATGCCAAGAGATGAGTCTGACAGGTGGATGGGTGGTAGTCAAATCAGAGCCCCAGCATGCTGAGGTGTTCAAACTTTGTCTGTGGATTGTTGGGGAAATGCTTCAGCCATCCCCCATTATCCTTATGGGGCCGAAGTCCATGACACATTCCTTGCATGGTACCTAGTCAAGGGTCACATAACAATAACTGACTCCTCCTTCTTTGTCAAAATATAAGCTCACAGCTCTTCCATCTGGCATTTAAAAACCTACATAAATGAGTCCTGCCTATCCCACTGCCTAGCAACACGAATCCCTGGTCATAATGGCAAAGGTCTACTTTACTGTCAGTGGAATGTGCTTTGTCAGTCCTATTTTTCAACCTTTGCAATCTTTGATGCATTCATATTTCCCAGGTTCAGGAGAACCTCTTTTTTCCAAGTCTCATGTTTCCATATGGAGGTTCCTCCATTAGTTAATATTCCTGGCCTCTCTTGGTACCTCCAGTCATTTTCTCCTTGGGGTAAACAATGACTAACCTGACTGGTGTTTGGAGGAAAGAACATAATGTTGAGGGCTCAGCCACTTTTGAGTAGTTTTCTTTTGTGATCTGTCCATCACTGCTGACAAAAAACATTTTTACCTTCTCTCTGCCAGGATGTGGATCTCCAGGATCTGGATCTAGATCTGGATCTCCCTGTGGGAGAGACATTTAACTGCCTGTATTAAGACTAAGTTTACCTGCAAATGACAGAATACCCTAAATAACTAGGGTTTAAGTCAGATAGAAAATTATACTTTTTTAATGTAAGTGATATACAGAGGTAAAGCCATTCTGGATTACTATGATACTTCATGGCCATCAGAAAACCCCGAGCCTTTTGTCTTGTTCCATCATTGTCAGCATGTGGGTAGAACTCCAAAATAGCTTCCTGAGTTCCAGCCATCACATCCACCTTCCAGTTAGCAGGAAGAAGGAAGGAGATGAAGATGGACTTCCCTTTCAGGGCACTTCCAAATAGTTACACACACCACTTAAATCCTATTGGCCGGAATTTGGTCATATGGCCATCTAGCTGCAAAGGAGAGTGGGAAATATGTTTTGTTTTTGTTTTTGTTTTTTCCTGAGGGAACATGTGCCCCACCAAAGCCTGGGAACTCTATTACTAAGGAAAAAGGAGATATGGGATGGGGGGGTGGTGGTGCAAAACTAACAGTCACAACTATCTAATTCTTGAGGGAAATCTTAACAAATCCTCTTAGCCATGGTTGAGAAACCACATTCTCAACAGTTACTCAGTCATCAAGGAGAAATTTGGACCTCTCATTTGGCCTTCCCCCATGTGAGTCTCTCAATTGTTTCAAACTCTTAAATAGAAGAAGGAATTTATTTATTGAAGTCCAAAACCTTCAATGTATCACAACAAATCAGCAGAGACAGTAATCTTAATATATCTGTCTCAATTTTGTTCTGGAAACGAGGTACCAATACATCAAGGAAACGCATGCCATCTCCCCTATCCCAATAAAAACACTGGAAATAATTACAAATAATACAAGTATGAAAATATGACCATTTTGCTATATAAGATAAGCAACTTGTGAGAATAGCATATAACAATACTGACAGATTGCTCTGGAGAGAGACAAATGGAGAAACATGGTCTTATTCCTACCCATCAATTCTAAAGTGAAAGAAAGATGCTAGCCATGTATTCCCAAAGTGCAAAGGGTTGATACATGAAAACTTACTTAAGTGTGTTATAATTTTTTTATTAAGGTGAGGCCAGAGTCCATTTAATACTAAATTACCATGATTTTTTTTTTACCGGCAGAATTGTATCCATTTCATCTTAGACCAACAAAGCTATCCATCATTTTTGTTTAAGGGCACTCATTATTCAGGAGAGAGCATCACTGCTGACAAAACACATTTAAATAAGCAAGATTACTTCTCTTATTCACAGAATGATTCATTTCACGTCACACACACTTCATTTTTGACTCATAAAGTACGTCGCAACAGGCTTTGTAAGACTTATAATTATTGAGGCTATTTTTGGGCCGCTATTCACTGCCTTTTCCTAGCCTCTTTGCATTAATAACCAGTTTTTTCCTCTTCATTATTTAGTATCCGACCAAATAGGACTCGTGTCAGCCAATCGGCATCTTGGGTGATGACTCATTTGCATTCAAAAGCTTAAAAATATTGGGTCCTTATCAACAAAAATTAAGCTTGCTGCTATGGAGGAAGCACTGAGCTGGATCAGGGAATACAGTGGAAAGTAAGACGTGGTTTCTGCTCCAGCCCTTTCTTGCTGAAAATTTAAGTGTTAGGTTACATAGCCACTAAGATCCTTTCCAGCACTGAGACTTGTATTTTAACACAAAATAGTGATTGCCATGGGCCTTCCTGCTTACAGACTGTCTTCATTTGCATTTAGCTCATTTGAACCATGCAGCAACCTCAAGAGAGAGGCATCTCCGCTGTTGGCCCAATTAAACACACCAGAAAACTGAGGCACAAGTTAAAAATAAATAAATAAATAAATAGCCCCTACATAACTTTGACTTTCAACATCAAAATTTTTCTTAAAAATCCCACTCCATATATTTCACAATTCTGGAATTCTTCCAAAAGATCTGGATAAGAGTGTGCAGTGCTTTCAAAGAGTGGTGCCTTGAATTGCCTACATCAAAATCATCTGGGGTGCTTGTTAAACATGCAGACTCCTGGGTCCCATCCCAGAGTGACTGAGTCAGAATCCAGCGTGGGGCCCAGAAAAGTAACAGTTTAACAGGTGATCTCCAGCTTACTCAAGTTTGAGCTTCACAAAAGTAGCCCCCCCACAGGGAGAAAAAGAAGGGTAAGATATTCCAGGCAGGAAGAAGTGAGCAAGCTGAACTTTCCCATGGACATTCATGGGAAACCCAAACTCAGCAACAGGCAAACATTATCCATCGCATCAATTTCTAGATGATGTCACAGACGAACCATCGAGTTGAACATTTTAAAGGGAGAAGGGGGGCTGACACCTTCAACAGCTTCAGTCAGGTGCTGACTGCACAGCTGGAAGGTGGAGTCTGCCTCTCCTGAAACCAGGGACGCTAAATTTAATCCCAGACACAATCTGCTGCCAGCTGCAAAGGTGTTTTGTTTTTGTTTTTGTTTTTGTCTTTTTGAGACGGAGTCTCGCTGTCTCCCAGGCTGGAGTGCAGTGGCGCAATCTCGGCTCACTGCCAGCTCTGCCCCCTGGGTTCACGCCATTCTCCTGCCTCAGCCTCCCGAGTAGCTCAGACTACAGGTGCCCGCCACCACACCTGGCTAATTTTTTTTTTTTTTTTTTTTTTAGTAGAGACGGGGTTTCACCGTGTTCGCCAGGATGGTCTCGATCTCCTGACCTGGTGATCCACCCGCCTCAGCCTCCCAAAGTGCTGGGATTACAGGCGTGAGATACCACGCCCAGCCAGAGCCAGTAGATTTATGTCTTGCCATAGATCCTTTCAGGTAACACACAAAGACGTAATGGCTGCCTTTCCATCTAATTTCATATTTCAAAGTAGAACTATATGGTTCTAGCTAAGGCAGAGGGCTGGGGTCACCAGTACAAACAAGAGTAAGAGGGCTGTGCTCACCCAAGCGAAGGCCTAGGGGAGCCCCTGTGCTCCCTACGGAAGTGTTCTCCACGGCTGTTAATTCACCCAAGCAACTTTCTATCCTTTCCATCTCAGGGTTTCAAGTTCTTCTGCCATAAAACGAAGGTGTTGATTCTGCTCATTGTTTCCCAGAGTGGCATGAAACTGGTTCCATGAGAGGCTGTGCACTTAGAGAGCTCTGCGGTCCAGTAGGAAATGCTGTTTCCTCTACCCTCCTCTTAGACTCTCACAATGAAAGTTTATGTATTAAAGGGTTTGGAAAGTCCTGCAGTGAAGATAACTGCTTAAACTTAACATAGCATATCCCAAATATAATTTGACTAGAGAAGCTTCCCCACAACTTTTGTGTAGACATTGAGCTACATACTGACGGGAGCCATAGAAGAATGCAAGCAGGAACGCTAGCAACTTCCAGCCACAAACCCTTCAAATCCACATACATGCATGCTTCTTCTCTCCTCTCTGGCTACAATAGCAGAAGTGCCCTTTGTCCTGGATTCCATTCCCTCCTGCCTTTTCAGTAACTTTACACTATTCATTTCCACTTCTTTCCTGTATTTTCCAAACTCTTCTTCCACCCTCACAAACCATTTAAACATAGCCATGTGTCTCTTCCTAAAGAAAAACTCTCCCTGATCCTCACTTCTCCCCCAGCTATCCTCCTCCCTTTTCTTTCCTCCACAGCCAGACCTTCCCAAGAGAAATCAACTCTATGTCCCTTGTCTTTCCCCATGCATTCATCCAGCTTCTCCAACCTGGCTTGTGACCTCAACACTCAAATGGTTCTTGCTGGAGTCACCAATGGCCTCCATGTCACTAAATCCAAAGGACAATCTTTTGGTCCTTACCCTCCATCTCCTCTCCACAACATATAACACTGCTGATCAAGCCTTCCCTCTCAAAATGCTCCCTTCCCATGGCTTAAGGAATACAACCCTCTCCTGGAACTCCCTCCCACCCCTTTTAATTCTACTCCTCTGGCCTCTCCTTCCAAGATTCATGGCTGTTTATCCAACCTGCAACCTCTAAGTGTCAGAGTCCCTCAAGGTGAGTTTTCAGCATGCTCATTACCATCTCCAGTCCAATATTCTCTCATGAAGACCACGCTTTTATCTCCATCTGCCCATTTGACAGTTCTACTTGAATATCTCGGACAGGCCTCAAACTCAATATATTCAGAATGTGATCTTCCTTTTACAATCTGATCGTTCTCCAGTGTTCTTAAAGTTAACAAACCAGAAACCCATGCTTCATTTTTAATATCTTCCTTTCCTCATCTCTCATATTGACTCCAGCACTGGGTTCTAACTAGTTTAGCTTCCAAGCAGCACTCAAATACATCCATTTCTCTCCATTTCTACTTTCACCACCATAGCTGAAACTGACTCAGTTATCACCTGCTCTACTGCAATATCCGGGCCCTGTTTCCCCTACTAGTCTGCTCCTATTTTTTCTCCAGACTTCAACTAGAATTATCCTTTATTTAAAATCTGTTTAAGTAATTTTAAGATAAAAACAGAAATCCCTAACACGGTCTACAAGATCTTGCCCCATCTGGTCCCTGTCCTCCTCCCAGCTGTTCCTCTATCCACATAGCCTCTTACTCTTGGTACTGTGTGGGCAGAGATGAGGAATGGTGATGAACATTTTGCAAGGCACAGGACATCCCCCACAACAGGTATTTATCCAGCCCCAAATGTGAATAATGCCAAGGTTGAAAATCCAGGTTTGAGCTGATATCTTCCCCCTAATGGTTGACTTAAAATTCCAGGCTTAAGCCAATCAAGATATTCACCTGACCACTATTTAAGACCATCAAAGTATTCACCTGACCACTATTTAAGACAATCAAGGTATTCACCTGACCACTATTACTGGTCTAGAAGTGAACACATTTCCTAAATTGCCTTAATCTGATTGAAATGATGGACTTCTCATCACATGGCTGGAAAACAGGTGTGCTCTCTCTCTCTCTCTCTCTCTCTCTCTCACTCTCACTCTCACTCTCACTCTCCCCCTCCCTCCCTCCCTCCTTCCCTCTCTCCCTCCCTCCTTCCCTCTCTCCCTCCCTCCCCCTCCTTCCCCCTCTCCCTCTCCCTCTCCCCCTTCTCTCTCTCTCTCTCTCTCCTCTCTGTCTCTTTCCGACCCCAACATGGGTTAGAAACAAGAAAGCACACCACCCCCACCTGCTACTGACAGACAGCTTAGAAAACAGCCTAAGAACGCAGCTCACACACCAAGAATGGTCGAGTAGAGAAATAGAGAAAAACTAAACTTTATGGCATTGTTGAGCTACTGGATCATCCAGACCTGAAGTCTGCCTTACTGCTGAACTTCTTACTATATGAGATAAATAAATGTCCTAGTTGTATAAGTTAGTATAAATCATGTTCTTTGTTACTGGAGATACCTTGTGCTAATTGGCTTAAGCCTGGAATTTTAAAGTAACCATTAGTAAGGAGGAAGATGTCATTAGCTTAGACCTGGATTTTCAACCTTGGCACTATTGACATTTGGGGCTGGATCAACTTGATCTATATAGTTCCTTTCCGTCCTTATATTCAATGATTTTATGATTCTAGATATGGCTAAGACCCTTCCAGCCCCACATATATTCAGTGGAAAAGTAAGGAGAAGGCAGGGAAGATGACATTTTAACCAAATTAAAGAATACATACTTCTTTTCTTGCTTACCAGTTGGGCCGCTCCACATTTTCTATTCTTCTCAGATCTATCAGGACACGATGTTAGGCAGACAATTTATTTTACTAAGATAATGACAGGTGTGTCTGTGACCCCATCAACCTTGCCTTCTGCCTGTTCCCATGGTTCCAATCCCAAACAGCTGTTCCTTCCCGCCTCTGATGACCTGAACACTTAGGAGCCATCTATGCACCATGCAACCTTGTCCATCAGAGCCCCAGCCATGGGAACAGAGACAAGAGTCCACGAGGCAGCTGCTGCTGTCACTTGCCATGACCGCTAGGGCCTGTCTTTAGGACAAACTAGCCTATGCTGCTGAGTTCTGTGTTAGGACAGCATTTGAACCAGACTAGTGATAGCTAGGATTACTGAGTGCTTGTCATAACCAGCACCTAGCCTTGTATCTTATCCCACTGAGTCCTCCGGCCACCCTCAATGCAAGCACTATTATTAACCCTATGTTTTAGATGAGGTAATAGGCCACAGGACGGTTAAGTAATTAGCCCAAGTCCACACAGCTGGTAAATAAAGCCCTTTTTCCTGGCTCGTAGAGAATAAAGGTAGAGTGAATGAAGTCCCTGTGACTTATTTTGTTGTAATTAAATCGATCTTTTCAAAACACTTCAATTAAAAAACAATAGATATGGAAGATAAGTTAACCAAACAGTGCAGAGAATGATCAACTGAAAAGCGAAGTCTCCCTCACTTAGTCGTCACTTTGTAGTTGCCCTGTCCAGCTGTAAGGGGATAAGAATTGCAAAAAGTTTCTGGAAGATTTTTGCAGAAATTCTCTTTGGATGTGCAAAGAAGCAGTTCCTCCCTTTAAACCATCTGTTCCTACCGCCTTTTAAGGCACTAGTCTCAACACAAATTATCCTGTACCTTTCTCCAGCGTCTTTCTTGCCTTCCCCACCTCTTTGCCCCTTCCCAGAGGGCAGGAACTGCCTGTCGCCACCTCCCCCACAGTCATCTGGAGTACAATCAGGGGAGGAGAGCTCAGTAACCACCATCTCTTGAGGAGAGAAAGAAATAAAGACAAAAAAAAAAAAAAAAAAAAAACCTGAAAAGCAGTTTTCCTGAATAGCAGTATTTCCTGTGGCCCTATTGGGCAGCTGTTTCTTTCTCATGTTTGAGTTGTCACTGTAATTTCACAGGCTCTGACTTGTTGCCTAAATGTCAGGGTGAACCCTCAGTTGGACAGTTAAACAAACACATAAGGTCACTGGCAAAGAGAGACATTCCCAGGGATCTGTGTTCTGGAGTCCCCCAAGTGAAGATGGGCCCTCATGTTAATTTGGGGTCCACTCTGCTCTGCCTTCACCACAAACTGTTTAATTTGTTTTGTTGTTCTTTAAGTTAAAGGGCAGCTGTCTCGGAAAGCCCCTAAGAAATAACCTTTCAAACAGGGCCTTCCAAATGCATGAGCTCTTCCAAATGCATGTTGTATTTGAAGTGGTGCACAATCCCACTCACTACTAATCTCAGCACACTTTCCATATCTCCATAGCATTTCTCAATAGCAGCAGCTTAAGAATAGGGAGTAACAAAGATCTATTCCTCATAAAACCAGTGGAAATTGGGCAGTGGGTATTGGATCTCTTGAGGGCCCAATGAATGCTATTCACATCTCAGAAAGATGGAAAGCTGTGGCTCAGGTAAATGAAATGGGAGTTCCATGCCCACACCTGGAGGATTCCATGATCACTGGCTCATGCTACTTTCAGAAGTGTCCTAGTTTAGCAAGAAGAGTTGCGACCCTTTGGTGCACAATAAAAATAAACTAAGATACCTCATGATTACATACTTGCCATCAGTACATAAAGCACTCTTCAATTTTGGACCAGGTAACTAAGGCCTCTCCTTCCAAGATAAGGTATAAAATATGAAGATCTATTCTTGTTTTAATTTCTATTTTTTTTTTTTTGAGACAGGTTTTCACTCTGTCGCCCAGGCTGGAGCGCAGTGGCATGATCATGGCTCACTGCAGCCTTGACCTCCAGAACTCAGGTGATCCTCCCACCTCAGCCTCCCAGGTAGCTGAGACTACAGGCAGGTGACACCATGCCCAGCTAATTTTTTGTGTTTTAATAGAAACAGGGTTTCACCATGTTGCCCAGGCTGGTCTTGAACTCGTGGGCTCAAGCAATCCATCCACCTCAGCCTCTCAAAGTGTTGAGATGACAGGCATGAGCCACCATGCCCAGCCCTAATCTTGTTTTAGACACTTCCGTTTCTCTTTCAATGTCCATCACCTCCACTTTGATGCCTTCTACCTCCTTAGTCATACTCCACTCATCAGCTACCACTACCACCACTGAACAAGACATCTGGTACTCCCTAGTTGCACCACACCTGGACTGATATCTCAAATTCCATCTTGTATGCAATCCTAGAGCATAACTTTATAATTTTAGGAAGTCTTCGTTGATTCATAGTGCTTTCCTGGTGGGTCTTATCTAAGTTCAGAAGGAAAACTTAATGTTTCTCTCATGGGTACATAACAGGGGAGTTGGGTATCTGGATTGTTGTAGAATTGCAACCCTAGCAAATCCCTTCTCTCTAAAACTGACCTGATGTTTAGCATCTCTCAGAAACTGTAGCAGGTTCATGCTATACATATTTACTGAGCACCTACTATGTGGCCAACTCGATGGTTGGCACTTGAGATATATTCATGAATGATACAAAGAACCTCTGCCCTTGTGCAGCTGGCATTCACAGGCAGTAAAGAAGGGGATAGGAATGAAGGTGGAGACAGAGTAAATAATAAACATGATATGAGAAATACTATTAAAAAAAACAAAAAAAAAGGAGGAAAAGAGTAAATCAGGGTAAAAGTGATTAGAAGGGATGAGGGCTCAGATTGCTGTTTAAAATAGTTTAGGGAGGTATCAATAAGAAAGTGCCCAAATAGGTGGCACAGGCTCTTTAACATAGGTGCTCCTTGAATGCCTGCAAGAGGAAGGTGGCAAGTACAGCTGAAGAGGAATAAAATTGGGGCAAGAGGGAGGTAATAGGACAGTGACAGTTGGGGAAAGCAGATACTGAAGGAGCTTTTATTCTAAGGAAAATGAGGAGCCATAGAGATACATGTTGCTTTTTTGCCTGCCCAGCATCTTTGGTTACACTTCCCTAATTTTCCCACCCCTCCCCTGCTTTCAGTCAGATGGGTTAGGTGGGACCGATCAAATGTCACAATTTGGGTTCACACACTCAGGTATGGCAAATCAGTATCCTGGTCATTTGATCCATATTGAGCCTAAAGTAGACATTTGACCCACATTAAGCCTAAAATTCAATACCAGGATTTTCACTGAACTGAAAAAAAAGCGGGGCATGGGGGAGTGGGGTGTGATCTTTCTTCCTAGGTTGCCAAGTTGATGGAGTGTACATCTGGAGTTTTCAGCAGCCATTGTGGCCTCATGAAGCAGAAGCTTGCCTAAGAATGATGCCAGCACAGAGGAACACAGAGCCTTGGAACAGAGAAACAGAAGTCCCCATTGACATCGTTTGAGCACCTGGATTCAGCCTTGCCTGAAGCTGATGTCCCTAGCCTTTTTAGTTATAGGTTAACATTTCCCTTTTTAGCTTGGACTAGTTTGTCGGATTTCTCCTCTTTGAATGGAAAAAGTCTTGACTACAACACTAATGAATGCAAACGAGTTGTCTTTTACCATGGCCTTGGTGTCTTGTCTCTTCAGCCAAAGGAGTAATTAATGGAGGGTGAGATGGCAAGGGGTGAAATGTGAGTTAAGGAGTAAAGTTTAGGAGAACTGCTAACCATACTCCTGTCCTGTAGCTTTCATTGCCAAGACCATTAAATCCCTACCTGTATGTTCTGTCTCACCTCAGTCCACGAGAACTTTTCCAGGCACATGGAAATATTGGCGTCAAATTAAGAACCAAGTAAGTCTTGCATTGAAGCCCCTCTGACCTTGTAACCCAGCTCCCCAGTAACTGACCTCCCGTTTCCCCCTCCCTGCATGTCTAGGTCCTCTTTGCTTCCAAAAGATGCCAATGACTTGATTCCCTTCCCTAAACCTCAATTTCCCTGTGCCTGCCTGTGGTAGGTTGAATTGTTAGCTCTGATTCACACCCTTGCCATGGCCTCTTCGCGGGTGGAAGGTACTTCCCTACCCTTTGACTTTGGGTCTGGTCATGTGACTTGCTCTGGCCAATGGCATGTGGGCAGAAATGGCAGCATGCTTGTTCTGAGATTTGGCCTTGAGTGGCCTTGCGTATTTCCACTTGTACACTTGTGCCTTTGTTATCTCTATGAGAAGACAATGCACCAACGATCCCATTGTTGTCAGGAGGAAGAAGAGAGATTTAGGGAGCATAGTCTCTCCAGCTGCCATTGCCCTAAGTTGAACTACCCCAACCTCGTCACAGACCTATAGCTATAAACCTATAGCTATAAACTCCAGTCAAGCCTACATGAACAAACCGCAATCAATCTGCAAAAGTGTTAGCAGTAATAAATTATTATTATCTTAAGCCATAGAGTTTTGAGGTGATGCTATGAAGCATCTGCTAACTGATACACTGACTTCTTGATACTGACTGCCAATATCACCCTCCTGGCCTATATTTTTGGACATTCATTGATGATCTGCACCTCCAAGACATCCTGGACATCCTGGAGTAAGATATTTGGACTCTGCATATGTGAGAGGAAGGACCCCTCTTTTCTTCTCTGTACAGTTTCCAGATAAAATATAGGATGCCCACTTTAATTTGCATTTCAGATAAAAACTGAATATTTTTTGGTATAAGTATGTCCCAGGCAATATTTGCAAATTTATACAAAATTCAAATTTAACTGGGAATTCTGCATTTTTATTTGCTAAGTCTGGCAATTCTATTTATCTGCTACTCACTCTGTTTGGCTCTGGAGAAGTAAAAAGACACTCCCCCACCACAACACACACACACACACAAACATACACATGCTTCACTTCAGGTTTAAAGTCATATATTCTATTACTATATGGAAAAGTTCTTTGCAGTGAAAGTTTCGAGCACGTGCTTTTGTCAGTCTGTTTAAAGTGATTGCCCTGTGAATATTCTTTCTGAATTCCAAGGCACAGAGGTGAGGAAAGGAAGATATGTAGAATTATTTTCACTTTACACTCAGTTGACTGAATTAGGGTAAGGACTCCATTTCTCTCTAACCATCATGAAAATCAGTTCATTCTCAATACACCAGGGGTGAAAAATAGAGTTAAATACCAGAAGCTACGTATTGAGATTGCAAATGGCTGCTTATCATTCCTCGGTTCATAGAAGGACCATATCTTTTATTGTCAATTTGATTAAAGGCTTCAGCTTCAAAATAAAACTCGTTTCCAAGGGCCTTTCATTTTCCCTTTGATAAACAGGCATAATTCACTTTTCTTTAATGTTATTCCAACTAGCATTATGTTACAATGGGGTTTTTGTGATGCCCCAAAAACATTTTTGAAACTGTTCTTATCTTTCCAGGCTCTTGCTAACAGCCACCACAATACTCTCTTGGGCATAAGTATGCCTGCTCCAGCAAAGACTCCAGAAATAAGTTTCTGGCCTCTGGTAGTTGGATCCCCTGGGTGGAAGGGAGAAAAGGTTGCATATAAATCCTTTTCCATAAAAGGCTTTGTCAAATGGCTGAAACACAGCATACTAAGCAACTTGTTCCAGGTTCATTTTCAATCAGCATTTTGTGAGCACCTCCTAGGCACCAAGCAGTTCATATATTAGTAGCGCTTGGCCTTGGCTGCATATTAGAATCACCTAAGGGGCTCTATGAAATGACTGCTCTCTGGAGCCCTCCTTCAGAAATTCTAGCTCAATTGGTATTGTGTTGAGGTGGGGCCTGAGCATTAGTATTTTTAAAAGCTCCCCAATGGTTCCAAGGTGGAGGCAGCAAGAAGGGCCACTGATCTTTACAGTTTTGTTTATTCTGCCCAGCAATATGACAAGGGCAGCAGCACAGGGTGCCTATATAACATATGAGGCAGTTGCTCTCTACAATGCAGTCTCTATGACCACCTCCTGGAGCTTGGGCCCTCTTTTACGCTCAATTTCATACCATGACAGCTCATGTTACTAGGGCTTTGCAGGACTTGGTTTTGTTTTTTTAATTGAGTCCTCTAAAAAGAGTATATCAATGCTCCAAGCATTTCAGAAAATTAAACTTAACATACCAAACCATGATAGAGATATTTTAAACTTCATATTATAAAGTATTTAACATACCGTCAGTAAAGGAATAGTATAACTAGCCCTCATTGTCCATCACTCAGCCTCAACAACATACACATTTTCCTAGTCTTTTTTCTCCTCTATCCTCCAGACTTTTTGTTTGTTTTGTTTTACTAGATTATTTTAAAGCAAATCCCAGGCATCAGATCATTCATTCTCCTGGAACTACTCCAGCATTTCACTCTAACACCTAAGAACTCTTTTTTTTAATCATGGTAGAATAAACATAAATTTTACCATTGTAAGCATTTTTAAGTGTAAGTTCACAGGCATTAAGTATATTCACATTGTTGTACAACCATCACCAACCAACCATGAGCTTTTTTCATCTTCCCAAGCTAAAACTCTGAATTCATTAAACACTAAGTCCCCATTTCTCCCTGACTCCGGCCCCTGGCAACCACCATCCTACCTTCTTGTCTCTATGAATTTGACTACTCTAGGTACTTCCTATAAGTAGAATAATACAGTATTTGTCCCCTTGTGTCTGACTTATTTCACTTAGCATGATGTCATCAAGGTTCACCTATGTTGTAGTATGAAACACCTGAGAACTTCTTTTCCTTTAGCCAAACCATAGAACCATTATTACCATTAAGAAAATGAATAATAGCTCCTTAATGTCAACTCCTACCCAGTTTGGGTTCATTTTTCTTTGGTTGTCTCAAAAATGTCACTTTACATCTAGTTGTGGAATGAGGACCCAAACAGGATCTATCATTGCTTTTGGTTGAAACGTCTCTGAAGTTTCCTTTAATCTAACTCACCCAAAACCTGGCACTTTTCTGTGTTAAAAAAAAAAAAAAAAAAAAAAAAAAAAAAAAAAAAAAAAAAACCAGATAATTTGTCCTGTAGAACTGTCCACACTTAGAGTTCGCTGGTTACATCTTGTGCCCTGTGATGTGTTCAACATGCTTCTCTTTCCTCATTATTTCCGGTAAATGGTAGATAGATCTAGCGGCTTTACCAATAGCAAACTATTGTCTTATTTTCTGGAAAGAAAACTTCACAGGGAGTGCTACATCCATCATATTGTGCCATTCAGGAGGTCCGCACATAGGTCATCCTATGTTTAGTGATGCTAAGATTGCTGAACTGGTATCACCCTTATCCTTCTATCCCACTTCTGCATCCCACTTTTAACACTGAAAGAAGACTTACACGCCAGCTACTCGGAGTTTACAGCCCTCTGCCCAGCGTTTCTCTTCTGTTGAAAGCGAGGAACAGGTCCAAAGATGTTAACAACTTGTTCAACATCAATTGTTTCTCAATCAATATTTACCGAGCTCCCACTCCTACGAGAACCTGAGGCTCCTCCCATGTGATGTCTCTCCACTCTTCCTCGTGCTTCCATTTGGCTCAGTTCTTTTTTGTTTTCATTTTCCTTTTTATGCTTCATTGAGGTATAATTGATATACAAATAACTGCACATATTTATTGTGTACATTTTGATGAATGTGGACATATGTGTACAACCACGGTACCTGTCACCACAATCAAGGTACTGAACATATCCATCACCTCCAAAAATTACCTTGTGTTATTTTCTGAGTTGGTTTCTTTGTTTGTTGTAAAAACATTTAACATGAGCTCTATCCTGTTAGTGTAAAGTATACAATACTGTATTATTAACTATAGGTAATATGATGTACAGAAGATCTGTAGAACTTACTTGTCTTGCAACATTGCTGAGTTCTTAAAGGCTATGAAAACTGCCTAGAATAGACCACAAGCCCCAACAGGGCAGAAGATACTATCTGTTTATTCCCTCATTGAAATCCCTGGACAGAGCACAGTTCCTAGCACAGAGTAGAAGGATGATAAATATTTGTTGTATAAAAGAAAGGAAAAATGAATAAATGAATGATTCATTTAATTAATTTAATTAAAAGATGCATAAACTTTTGGGGTACTGCTCCAAATGTATGTTTTGTTTCTAATCTCCTTTATGATCTTCATAAAAGAGTGCCCAAAAAGTTCATATTAGATTCTGCCCATGATTTCATTTCAATATGAATTTTAGACACTTGTAAAAAGCAGTGACCCTTTGCCAAGTGCTTTTTCGAGGAGTTCTCACAAGAAGTCAAGGACTGGCACTGAGTTTGCCAAAGGGCTTTGAAATCTCTTATCTGGATGCTCCATTGCCCATCTGTAATTCCCAGAAAGCAGCCACAGTGAAATTTTTAAAAGGTGATTCCCATCATGTCAGTCTACCACTGAAAACCCTCCAATGTCCTTCCATTGTGCTACAAATAAAACTCAAACTCCCAGATGGGGCCCCCAAGTCCCTGCTCATCCTCCCTTGTGTTCTTCTTTCTAGGCTTATTTCTTAGCATCTCTCCTCCCACTCTGGCCTTGTTTCATTTCACTGGCCCCAGAACATACCAGCCCCTTCCCACCTCAGGCCCTGGTAGCTGCTTTTTTCTCTTCCTGGCCTGCTTTTCCCCAGATCCTCCCAAAGCTGGTTTAACCTCACCTGTTGGACCTTCAATCAACTGCCCTGGGACAACTCTATGTAAAATGGGCCTCTTCCCATTACTCTCCAGTCCATCACCCTGGGTATTTGCTTCATAACATTATCACCATACAGAATGAGCTTACTTACTTATTTGTTCCCTTGCTTATCTCTTCTCCATTAGAATAGAAGCTCCATGATGGCAGACAACTTATTTACCTTATTCAGTGCTCTGTTCTCTAAAATTAGCACAATGCCTGGTAGAGAAAACAGGCTCAGTAACTATTGGGTGAATGGATTAAGGTAAATATTTAAAAGCTGTGAATGCAGAATGCCTGAATTGCCTCACATCAGCCTGTCTGCCCCTACCCTGGTCCTCACCCCAGTACACTGCTAAGCCTCTTGACACACTGCCTTAGTCCATTTGGGTTGCTATAACAAAATACTATAAACACGGTGGCTTATAAACAACAGAAATATACTTCTCAGAGTTCTGGAGACTGAGAAGTCCAGCATCAAGACCCTGGCAGATTTAGCATCTGATGAGATCTTGCTTTCTGATTCATGGATGCTGCCTTCTAGCTATGCCCCCACATGGTGGAAGGGAGAAACAAGCTCCCTTGAGCCTATTTTATAAGGGCACTAATGCCATTCATGGGGGCTCTACCTTTATGTCTAATCACCCCATAAAAGGCCCCATCCCCTTTTACGATGACCTTGGGGGTTAGATTTCAACGTTTGAAATTTGTGGGGGATGTACATATTCAGACCACAGCACACATTATAGTTTGGCACGGCCCCAGACTCTAAAAAAGGTTAAAAGAACCCTGATTTGCTCAGCTCTCCAGCTCCATATTTAATTCCTCTAAGGCAACTGGGGGCTTCAGTATTGCAGTCAAGTGATGGGGCAAAGCTAGGCATGCCTGAGATTCGCATCCACTTATGCCAGTGCTCACCCGGCACTGGTGTCAGGTGAGGCTGGCAGGCTTAGGGACACTGGGGTCACGGCCTCAACCTCCCAGGTGTCTGGGGAAACCCTCACCCACAGCACACTCTCGGCCTCACTCTCTCCAGCTCATGGGGACTTCATAGAGAAACAGGATGTGAAGCTAAAAAGACAAACCCCGACCTGCCCATCCTAACCTGTGTGTGCCCCATCGTGCAGCCTGAGCTCTGGAACCACCACACATAGGGCAAAGAGAAGAACATGTCTTTGCACAGCTTCAGTCCTGATCGGGCAACTAGATCCCCGGAGAATATACTGAGTGGCAAAGCCTGAAGCTTCCACTGAGGATTAAGAGCAACAGCCCCAGTGCCTGGGCTCTGCTGGACTCAGTACAATGTGGAAAAATGTGTTCTCCTGTTCACATTTAAAGAACAGAATAAAGATTGCACCTCCTTCTACCTTGAAACTGAGGCCTAACTTCTGAGGCTGTGGCTTATTCCTGGTTCTAAACATTCATGTGATTTCTCAGGTCCTATGTAGACTCTGTCTTATTCTCCTCTGCTTCTCCCTCTGCCCTTTTCCTCCCACTCTCAGAATCAGGGTCCTGGTCCTTATCTCAGTCTCTGTGCTTGGGGCCATGCTCCCTGCTGAACAGGCAGTCCTTCTCTGGATCTACCTCCACACCTTCCCATCAAAGCTTTTTCCATTGCCAATTCCACTACCTTTGCCCACAGCAGCCAACACCCAGATGGTGAGCTATGTTAAGTGCTGTTACATCAAGAGCAAGCAACTTGGCCTTGCCCCTTCTGTTTAGAAGGAGAAAGGGGTGTCCACAAGATCTTGACAGGGAAGAGGAAGTGGTTCTCTTTCCCTCATAAGTACTAAAAATGGAAAGAAACACCAGCATTTCCGATTTGAACTATTAATCTGAACCACATGAAATCGCCAGTATGCTACCTACTAAAATCAGAAAGTTCATATTACCCTAACACATCTCCTAGACTGCCTCTCCCGCCCAGGCACACAAAGCTATTGTAGGCTGTTTTGGACTAATTTGGAGTGAAGGCTTGGACCAAACAACTCTGTGGAGGAGAAAGCCTTACCAACTCTTTTCCCATTGCTTAGGACACTTCAAGCAAAGAATTAGGAGGAAATACTGGTCATTCATTTACTCTGTCCACAAAAATACATTCAAGTTCTATTGTATGCTAGGTATTATGCTGTAAATCTAACATTATTTTTATACTATGTTTACTCCCAGCCTTATTTTTCCTTTCCAGGAAGGCAAACACGTGCTGGTGTTATAATGGAAACAGCACTGGTTTAGGGTCAGAACAATCACGGTTCGGCTCCCAGGTCTGTTTTTAATTAGCTGCATGACCATGAGGGAAGTCCCAGACTCTCAAAGTTATCAGTTTCTCCATTGATAAAATGGGTATAAACATGTCTGCACCATATGTTAAGGATGAAATAAGTTGATCCATATGACAAGTGCACTCGCTATGGGCAGTTTTCCTTCACTCCTCCTTTTCCCATAAACCTTTCATTTATTCTCAAGTTTCCTGGTGGCCTAGTCATGGCCTCTGGTTTAAATAGGCCTGTTCAGCTTGGAGCAGACTCTTATATTAAGTGGGATAAAAGTCTGGAGTAAGGTTCATAGACACTAGGTTAAGAATCCCTGATATATATTTAGGTGTTTCAATACTTACTGGATAACTCTAACCCCAAATGATCAATGTCACCGTTTGCTTTCCTGCTCTATTTCTAGACATATTATATAAACATGGCAAGATCAAAGAGCAATAGCAGTTTGGCTGCCACTTTAGACTTTGCCCCTGCCCGAAGCACTTGGCCAATGTAATCCTTGGTCATAATTAATTGTTGGCAAAGCTACAAGGAGTAGCCCCAATTCTATCCTGTTAGGGGAAGTGTAAATTGAGAACACTTTTGGAAGACAACACTTTTGGACAGTTTTTATTAAAACCCAAAAATGTATATAATGTCTACCCTAAGAATTCACCACTAGGAATATCTGTTAAGAAAGTAGGCAGACATAAGAATATCTGATAAAAAAGTAATTCATTATATATTTGGAGTTTGTTTGTTTTTGAGACTGTGTCTTCCTCTGTCATCTGAGCCAGAGTGTAGGTACAATCATAACTCACTGCAGCCTTGAACTCCTGAGCTCAAGCTATCATCCCACCTCAGTCTCCCAAGTAGCTGGGACTATAGACGAGTAACACTAGGCTCAGCTAAGTTTTTAAAAATTTTTTTTTGTAAAGATGAGGACCTCGCCATGTTTCCCAGGCTAGACTCAAACTCTCAGCCTCAAGCAATTCTCCCACTTCAACCTCCCAAAGTGCTGGGATTATAGGTATCAGCCACCATGTTCAGTCTTAGATGTTTGTTTATAAAAAATCTGAAGGATGGGGCACCCCCAATATTCAACCAGAGAGCCTTGATTAAATAAATTATGGCTACTCATAAAATGGAATCCAATTGAGCTACTAGAAATCTCACATAAAATAAGAAAGGATAATCTATTGCTAAGTGAATAGAGCTAATTATAAAATAGCACAGTACAATTTTTTTGTTAGGAAATAAACCAAAAGTTTAACATTGGTAATACCTGCATGGAGAGATTATTGATGATTTTTGTCATCCTCTGTGCTTTTCTATATTTTCCAAAATTTTTGCAATATATATAAAGTACTTTCAAAATTAGGGGTAGAAAGAATGCATCTCTTTGTTTCTAAGTAGTTAACACGTAAGTAACTATCTAAATAGCACCCTGCCACAGGGGAACAGAGCAGACAGCAGGGACTTCTGAAAATGAGAGAGATACTAATGGCCATTGTTACATCATTGTTAGCAAAGGTCTGAAGATCAACCTTGTTGCAATTTCCATGTTCTGCATCAGTGCATATTTAAACGATGTTGTTGTGAGCTTTCCAAGCTACATAGAAAAGATTCCCATGACCCAGTTGCATTCAACTCAGTGCATAATACAAAAGAATGTCTGGGTAGGAAGGAATCTTCAAAACCATTTTGTTTTGCTCTTCCCTTTCTTAAATGAGGCATCCAAGCTCAGAGAAACCAAGTGAATTGTCTTAGGCCACCGAGCTGGTCATGTGTATGACATTCTGTATGGCATTCTGTACTAAGTACATGGGGGTTCATATGATGAATAGGGAAGGATTACCACAGATTAGGTGGACTTGTCACAAAACATATCAATTTGGAACAAGGTGATGTATGAACAAAAACAGCAACAAGCCACGATAAAACTATTTGCCAGCATTTCTCTTCAGGAGAGTACAGTGTCTGTTTCAAGGAATGTGGTGATAAGCTTACTTGGAGTAGACACTGAGGCCCTGGGGCCATGAAATGGCTGGTACCATGGCTTCAGGAAGAGGGGCAAACTCCTCTGTACAAGAATTGTATTTGTTCCTTAAAGAGGGAGGGAGGGGAAAGAGGAAAGAGATGAGAAATGTCAATTACAAAATGTTGGTGAGTAGATCTTTTTTTTGTGAACTCATGAAATAGCTGAGTTCTGTATACAAGTTGGGGCAACCAATAGGCTCACAAGCTCACCCCATTTTACCAACGACCTTCCCACTTTTAGCAGTGATAGTCCTGTGTCCCAGGAACCCCTCAGTCCTGAGCAAACCAGGGTGGTTAATCCACAAAGGGCAACATGTGCACTTATGGGAGTTAGAGGCCTCTTCCAGCATCTGCATTACAAAGCAAATTTTTACAAATCCAAGAGACTGTCAAGTTTTGCAAAACATTGTCAAATTTTGCCAACAGGTTAAATGAGCAAAATGAGAATGAGAATATCTCTTCTCACATACAAAGAATCTATAATTTTTCAGAAGCCACTGCCTGAGTCATAACAATGCTTTAACATTATTGATAAATGTGAGAGCCCTTATTAGAAGCTTTTCTCTTGCCATTCCTGTGCTCAAAGACTAAGAATTAAATTCTTGCCCTGCTTATTGGGCAACTCACCAAACATCTGTGATGTATGTAGAAATCACAATTTCTGTAAATAAAACCAAACAACCATATGTAAAATGGAGATATAATTATTGCACTCCTTCAAAGTACTGAGGTTTAGATGAGTTCATATGAGTAATGATTACTTAAATATTGTCAGTTTCTCTGGCTTTGGATGGTTAGAGCCCAAGGGGCTGCTGTTTGCATTTATTTTCCATTTTCAAATCTTCTGCAAATATTGAAAGCAAAAGAAAAGTGAAGGGAAAAACTCAACAATCACTCTGCTGGGCCAGAAGCTGCTCCCTAGTCCCCAGAAGCTGCCAACTTTTCTCTCTCCCAGGTTTTCTCTCTTTTTCTTTCCTAGTCCCTCCTGTTCTGAGAAATAGGATTTGGGTTGCCACTCTCTGTGCTCCTTTTACTTCAGAGGAGAATGTGTACTTAAGAGAAAGAGTCAGGCCAGGAGGGAACAGATGTGCCTTCCTCCTGGTCATTCCATTAAAGCCACCTTAAGGTTTGGCTCAACTTTCATAATAGCCTTTCTCACGGTATCTTTGTAGATACAATAGTAAGATGGAGTAAGTGGAAATTGATGTAAAGATGTCAGTTGAACAACAATACTATCCACTAAACTCCTAAGTAGCAATTAGAAAACCCGGTTCTAGTGGATAGAAAAAAATGATTCTCAATCCTGAATGAGAAAAGAATCACCAAGAGAATTTGCCAAAAACAGGGATGCGTAGGGACCCATCACAGGCTTTCTCAGTCTGTAGGACTATATTTCTAACAAGTACCTGTATATTTAAACTACCTCCTCGGGTGATTCCAATGTACTGCCTGGGTTGAGAGCCCTGAGTATAGCATATGTGTGGTGCAGTGGGTCTCATGTGAGTGGTTCTGAGACAAGTGGACTGGAGGGCACACTTTGAGAACCACATCCTGCTAATTTTTGTATTTTTAGTAAAGACGGGGTTTCACCATGTTGGCCAGGGTGGTCTCGAACTCCTGACCTCAGGTAATCCTCCTGCCTTGGCCTAAAAGTCATTACTTCTAACTAGTCACTTATTCCTCTTTGGGCCTGAGCATCGTCATCCATAGTATGGAATAGAGTGTACTCAAAGAGGTCATCTATAAGGCCCCTCCCAGTTCTAACTTTCTATGATTGACAAGGATGTAAAGCAGGAATTGGCAAACTTTTTCTGTAGAGGAACAGATAGTAAATATTTTAGTCCTTGCAGGCCATGTGGTCTTTGATTAGTTGTTACAACTACTCAACTCTGCTGTTATAATGTGAAAGTAGCCATAGACAACATGTAAATTGAGTGTGACTGTGTTCTAATAAAACTTTATTGGCACAAACAGGCAATGGGCCAGATTTGGCCCTGGGCTATAGTCTACCAGAACTCTGATGTAAAGGATAAAAGGAGAAGGGAGGCTCCCTCCACTCTGTGCTAGTCAAAACAACTGCAGTAGTGTGTCTTCTCCAAGATACTACACTTTTAGAATACACTGAGGCACACAGAGGTTAAGTAATATGCCTGATTTAACTTACATGTTTCAAATATGGCCATTCTCTTCTTACAGTAAGACTTTGACATTCTTCTCACCAAGAGCTGGGGTCTATATCTCCTCCTTTTGACTCTGGGCAAACTTATGTCTATGGCACAGGTGGTACTACATGACTTCTGAGCCTAGGTCATAAAAGGTGATACAGCTTATATCTGGTTCTCTTAGGACTCTCACCTTTGTAACCTAGACATCATGCTATGAGAAAGCCTCTCACCCTACGTATTAGTCTGTTTTCATGCTGCTGATAAAGACATGCCTGAGACTGGTTAATTTATAAAGAAAAAGAGGTTTAATGGATTCACAGCTCCACATAGCTGGGTAGGCCTCACAATCATGGTGGAAGGCAAAAGGCACGTTTTATATGGAGGCAGGCAAGAGACAATGAGAGCCAAGTGATAGGGGTTTCCTCTTATAAAACCATCATATCTTATGCGACTTATTCACTACCATGAGAACAGTGTGGGGGAAACCACACCATGATTCAATTATCTCCCACTGGGTCCCTCCCACAACATGTGGGAATTATGGGAACTACAATTCAAGATGAGATCTTGGTGGGGACACAGCCAAACCATATCACCCTGTGAGGAAGTTCACATGGAAAGGAACTGGTAATCAACCCCAAATTGCCAGTTCTGTGAATAAGCCAGTTTGTAAGTGAATCCTCCAGCCACCAGGTAAGCCACCCCAACTGAGTGGAGCAGAGATGAAACATCCCTGCTGAGCCTTGCCCAGATTGAAGATTCATGAACCTAATAAATCATTGGTTTTACCTTAAGCCATAAGTTTTGGGGTGGTCTGTTATGGAGTAATAGATAATTTTCTTTGTATGAGAATTGGATGTTGCCACTTTGAAAAAATGTAAAATATGTGGCATTGGCTTTGGTACAGTAGGCAGAAACCTAAAAGATCTTGAAGAGAATTTTAGTAAAAGCCTAAAAAGCTTCAAGGAGCTACTCCATCAGAAAGAAAAGTGAATAAAATGTTGTTCAAAGCTACAGGAAAAGATCTCCATGTTATATATTACGTAGTGGCAGAAAATTTGGTAATTCAGTCACCTGGGTAGCATGGTCAAAATAAAATGTACCTAGTAGATTTGATGATTTAACTAAGGGGATTTTCAAGAAGAATATTGGGAGAGTTATCTTGCTTCTTCTAGCTGCCTATGATAAAATGTGAGAGGAGAGAGATGAGCTAAAGGACAAGCAATTACATACAAAAGAGCCAGAATTTTCAGGGTTTGGAAGTAAAACTGTGTCTCATCCCTAGCCTCTCCAGGATTTTCAAATCTATAAATGGCTTCAAGGCAAAGAGGATTGAATACAGGGTATGGCTTTAAATCCCTTGTTAAGACCTAAGAAATATTTAAGGTCATACCTCAGAGATGTATTCAGATAAAAGAACTTCTGAGGGTATGAGTGTCATCTCTCACAGATCTTCTCCATTAAACAATAAGGCTTCCAAGAATCATAAGGGTGATGTTCCTCAGGGCACTCACAGAGGTCCAATGCAAAGAAATGCCTTCCTCAAATAGGTCTGTGGATGACTTTTGTCTAGTGGGTACGTGTCAATATGATTCACAGAAAATCCAAAGAGTTTTTAAGAGAATTGTTCTGAGCTAGGCAGGATGGCACATGCCTATAATCCTAGCACTTTGGGAGGCTGAGGAGGGCGGATCGCCTGAGGTCAGGAGTTCAAGACCAGCCTGGCCAACATGGCAAAACCCCATCTCTACTACAAACACAAAAATTAGCCGGTGTGTTGGCAGGCACCTGTAATCCCAGCTACACGGGAGACTGAGGCAGGAGAATTGCTTGAACCCAGGAGGTGGAGGTTGAAGTGAGCCCAAGATTGTGCCACTGCACTCCAGCCTGGGTGACAAGAGCAAAACTCCATCTCAAAAAAAAAAAAAAAAAAAAAAAAAGAGAAAGAATTGTTTTGGTAGAAGCACTGCCAATTCAGACTAAAAGGGATAGAAACTGCATACAATTAAAAAAGTGCTTTGGACTAAGATGTAGACTGAGAAAATTATTCAGCTGCAAATATGGGCTACAGTTTATGGAATATAAAGGATAATTTAGAGTATGGAGCCGAAAGTCAGGGGGGAGACAAGAGCTGTGTAGAACCATTCCCAGGCAGTAGAATGAGGCTTAATCAAAGAACTAGCAACAAGCATCTGCCTGTATTTCAAAACTGTTGTAGTGCCATAACAGTTGTGTGTTTCTTATTTTCTCCCTCTTTGAATGGAAATATCTATGGGGATTATTGTATGAAGTCCCCAATTATACGCTGGGTATGAGAGGAGCAGATATCTTGACTCTTTAGTCATAGGTCTTCAGAATGATACTCAAGTGGTTGTACCCAATGTTATAATAGGATGAGACTTGGGGGTCTTGGAAGAAGGGTATGAGCATATTTTGGATAAAAATTGGTATGAATTATAGTTGCCAGAGGACAAATTGTGGAAGATTGTATTTTTCAAACATAGCCATAACAGTAACTTCAATCTCACATGCTCTTCTTACAAAGTAGTATCGAACCTTGTCTTAGTCCATTTTGTGCTGCTATAATCAAATACTTGAGACTGGGTAATTTATAATGAACAGAAACTTATAAGGAACCCACTTCTACAATAATGAACCCACTCCCAAGATAACAGCATTAATCCATTCATGAGGGCAGAGCCTTCATGGCCTAATTGCTACTATTAAAGTTCCCACCTTTTAATACTGTCACAATGGCAATTAAATTTCAACATGAGTTTGGCGGGGGGGGATTATTCAAACCATAGCAACACCCCTCTATCAAAATGTGATGCTCTGTGATTTCTGAGGCCAGACCATAAAAGGTGATACAACTTCTGCCTAGCTGTCTTGAGTGTACATCCTTGGAACCCAGCCACCGTGCCATAAGGAAACTCAAGCCATGTTGTCCATGTTGAAATTGACAGCCATGTGATTGAGTCATCTTGGAGGTGGTTCTTTCAACATTTGATGAGCCATCCCAGCTAACCCCAAGTGCAGAAAAATAAGCTATCCCCACTGAACCCTACCCAAATTGCAGATCTGTGATAGAAATAAATGACTTGTTTCTTAAGCCATTAAGTGTCAGGGTGGCTTGTAACATAGCAATAGATAACTGGAACACTTAGCAAATCATAGAGCTCACATTTAAACACAGGCATTCTGACTCCAGAGTTCATATTTATAGTTGATACAGAATGCTTCACTGTCCAGATCCCTATTCGAGACTGAAATTCCTGATCATCACCTCAAATGCTGCAAGTGTCGCCATTCAACGGCTCTCAGTTCTCAGGCTTCTACACCAATTGCTCTTGGGTGAAGAGAGAACTTATAACCTTACCCACGGTTATAACCCTTTCCAGGGGCAGTCTGCACCCAACATTTGGTTGATGTAGGGATATAAAAACTCAGCCTCTCTGCTGCAACTTGGGCAACCCTCAAGGACTACCCCAGCTTTAGAGCTTTCCATGGGGTCAGCTAAGGCTTTGTTGCCTCCATACCACAGCCCAACTTCTCTCTTTTCCCAGTCTGCTTATTTCACTTCCTCCCCGGGTGCTGATCCTGAGAAACCTCCCCCAGAATTTCAGCACATGAATCTTCATTGCAGTGTCTTCTGCTTGGGGAACCCAATCTGCAATGCTAGTCTTAACTACACTTAAAATAGTAAGAGTGGAGTGAGGTGTTTACAAAGGTGGGTGAACTAGAGGCATTCAAGCAAACGCATTTGATGGGAAAAGAGTAGAGGGGAGCTCATCTATAAAAACAACTTTTATTGAATGCCTACTGCATGTTGTGATTATAAAGATAAGAGACTATATTTATCTAGAAAAGTTTGCCATCTAATAAAAGATATGGTCAATAAAACATAAAATTACAATACATGGTAGTAAATACTATGACAGGGAAAGACTCTAACAGGGCCATGGAAACCCAGAGGGCCACATCTCTGACCTTGCAAATACAGGAGAACATAAGCTTCATGTAAATATCAGTAAACACTGCAGAAAGCGTAAACATATGGAAAGTGGAAAGTGATGTGGCTAGATAATTTGACAAGGATTGGACCATGAAAGGCTTTCAGTACCCTGGTTAATGGTATGTATTTTGCTTTATAAGAAAATAGAGTTCCACTGAAAGTCTTCAGGAAATGGATCATCAGAGTTAAGTGCACATTCTAAAAAGATCACTGCAGCCACATCTTGGAAGATTATTTTAAAAGTGGCAAGATTAGAGACAGGAAGAGCATTCAGGGTTGCTGTTGTGATCATTCAGATGAGAAATTATGATCTTTGTCATTATTATTATTCACTAGTGCCGATAAAGAGAAATGGGGATTCTGTACCTCTCCCCCTACTCCCTGCCCAAAATTAAACCATCTAAGCTGGGCATTCTATTCTAAATGTGGCTTCCTATACTGATTACATGGAGCAATTAGCTGATTAATCCTCTCCTCCATGGAGAGGCTGTGAAAGCAGAAGAAACAGCAGCAGTTCACAAGTTTCATGAGGGCAAATTAGTTCCTCTGTCCCCCAGCATACCAGAAAAAGCAGCAGTTCCTCAAAATGAAGATCTACATTAATCAGACACTTCTGTGACACACCACTCCTCAGCCAAATGTTGAAAAGCTTTGAGTACTCTCAAGGTACCCCTAAGGAGTGCCTTCCCTGCCTAAAAGAGTGTCATAACCACTTAGGGGACTTTCTTTAAGGATGAGAACATTTCAACTGGCAGCCAATTATCAAGGACATCTAGTACAGCTTGAAGCAGAACATATTTGTTTTTTGTGTTTGTCTTAAAAAGACATTCATCAGCCATCATGTCTTTTGGTTGCAGAAAAGCAGAGACCTGTAAAAAATGCAACAGGGAAAGAACCCTCGAGGACTCACTTTTGTGATTGGCTTGGGATGGAATAATCCCAACATCAGGGCTTCTAAGAGCCCCCAGATAATTGTTGGAATTCTTTAAGATTCAATTCCCTTGAGATCAGAAGGTGGGGAATAGAAGCAGGGAAAGAAGTTTGCATTTTGTTTTATTAACTACAATCCATACACACATAAAAAGTGCTGCAGGAGTAGGTGCATTTTCTTTTGCCCTTCACCTTCCATACTATGAGGGCACAGCAAGAAGGCCTCACTAGATGCCAGCACCTTGATTTTGGAACTGCAAGAAATAAATTTCTGTTCTTTATAAATTACCCAGACTCAGCACAAAATGGACTAAAGCAAGTACTTACCTTCAAAATTTCTGTCTTGGTTGACTTCTAAGGAAACCCGACTAAGAAGTGCCCTCCAACAAAGGTTGTAATAATTTGTACTTCCACCAACAATGTGTGTTTTCTCTTTCCACATCAGTTTTATCCCTACCCCAACTTATCATCATTATTTATTCATTCATTTACTCATTTGTTCATCCATTCACTAGATACCTGCTAAGCATATTCTGTTTCAGACACCTTTCTGGCTGTTGCATACAATACAGGGAACTGGAAATCAGATATACTATCTCCTTTTCCTGTACTCCTGCCATTGCTAAATGTTTTTTAAAGAAGGAAAGTCCAATATTATTCCACAGCTGGAGAAAAGACATTTGAAATACATATTCTCAACTAAAGCAACACATGAGTAAGGGATTCCAACAATCTGTAATCAGCAGTAACAAGATTGATTATCAAATCCTTCCCAGGTTTGCTAAAGGGTGGGGTTGAAGAGAACAGGAGATGTCAGACCCCTGAAGCAGGTCAAGGGGACCTGGGACAGAAGACAATCTTCAAAGATTTTACATGTTGATCTAGACTAGGGTCTGATCCAGGACAAAAAGAAACTGCATGCTGAGCAATTTTGTCACAAGGTTGCAAATGTTCTGCTTTCATGATTTATGGACATGTTTTTGTTTTTCAAACTGCCTGTTTTCATAGTAAAGAGCTTTATTCCCGGAGCGCTCGTTAATGGAGGTATTATTGTTCTCAAAAGAGCAAGAGAGAAAGTCACCGCTACCCTGGGTAAATTCCAGTCTGTCTTCTCTGCCTCTAAACCACGGCTGCCAAGTGTTGGGAGAAGTCTGTCTATTCTGCAATCATGGAGTCCAACCACAGCTGAGCCCTTGCTGCTCTGAATACAGCATGTGTTTGTCCTGGTCAACTCTCCCTTTCTTCTCAGCAGCTACTTCAGGCTTTCTCCTCTCTCTTTAAACCTCCTGCTCTGCTACTTTCTCTTTTGCTCTAAGCAGATGAGCTTGCTTTCTATCTTAAAGGAAAAACTGGGCAATTCAAAGATGGTGAGGCAGGAGAATCGCTTGAACCTGGTAGGCGCGGGTTGCAGTGAGCCGAGATCGCATCACTGCACCCCAGCCTGGGCAACAGAGGGAGACTCTGTCTCAAAAAAACAAAACAAAACAAAAAAAGGATGGGCTCCTCCATTCACAAACCTCTCCACATCTGCCGCCAACCATGGCTCTCAATTACCTGCCCCTCCATCTCGCCTATTTTCTCTGGTCCCCTCCAGCTCATTAAGGTAGCATTTGCCTCCTGTCCCTCCCATTCCCTTCTGTTTCTCAGAGCTTCACTAAAGCTCTTTGGCGTCATCAAATAAACATGCCCAAATCTCTTTCAACTTTAAATGAAAAGGCTTTCCCTGTAAGTCCCCCTATCTGACTCCTCTTTCATATTTTATTGATTGATTGATTGATTGATTGATTGAGACAGAATCCTGCTCTGTCACCAGGTTAGAGTGCAGTGCCTCAATCTCAGCTCACTGCAGCCTCTACCTCCTGGGCTCAAGCCATCCTCCCGCCTCAGCCTCCGGAGTAACTGTGACCACAGGCATAATTTTTGTAGAGACGGGGTTTCAACTTGTTACCGAGGCTGGTCTTGAACTCAAGCAATTTGCCCGCCTGGGCCTCCCAAAGTGCTGGGGTTACAGCTGTGAACCACCACACCCGGCCTCATTTCTTTGATAATTTAATGCCTTGAAAGAGTTGTCCACCCTTACTTTCTTCATATCTTCTCCTCCCGATTGTTCCTAACTCCCTGCATCTTTTTCCACCCAACACAACATAGATATGTTTTTCTTTTCCTCATTTTCAAAACAATAAACTCTTTTCAAATCTCAACTCAAAATCTTTACAGCAGTGGTTTGCCATCATAAAACAAATATCACCTGGGAACATATTAGAGACTAAATTCTTGGGGCCCACCCAAGAGCTGCTAAATTAGAAACTCTGGGATGTGACCCAGTAACCTATGTTTTAGCAAGTCCTCTAGGTGACTCTGATTTATGCTTTGAGTTTGAGTTTAATATTGCCAGCCTCTCCTGTTTCTTTTTAAAACACTTTCTCCACTTGGTTTCTGTAAACTAGTATTCTAACTTTTCTTTTTTAAAAATTTTTATTGTAAATCAATAATTTATAATTGTATAAATTTGTGGGGTACAAAATGATGTTATGATTTACGAATACAGTGTGGAATAGTTGAATCAAGCTAGTTAACATATCGATTGCCTCAGATACTTAACATTTTTTGTGGTGAGGACATTTGAAATTTACTCTTAGCAATTGCAAGGTATACAATACCCTATTATGAACTATATTCACCACACTGGGTAATAGCACACAAAAATGTATTCCTCTTGTCAAACTGAGATTTTGTACCCTCTGACCATTATCTCTTCATTTACCCTTCCCCTTAATCTCTGTAACCACCATTCTACTCTCTGCTTCTATGAGTTTGATTGTATAAATTCCACATGTAAGTGAGAATAGGCAGTATTTGTCTTTCTGTGCCTGGCTTATTTCACTTAGCATGATGTTCTCCAGTTCCATCCATATTGTCACAAATGGCAGAATTTCCTTCTTTTTAAAGGCTATTAATATTCTGTGGTATATATACCACATTTTTATCCATTCATCTGTTGTAGACACGTTGATTTCATAGTGCTGCAATGAACATGGGAGTGCAGAATCTCTTCTCTTCAACAAACTGATTTCAAATATTTTAAGTAGAATTTCTGGGTCATATGGTAATTCTATGTTTAGTTTTCTGAGCAACCTCCTTACAGTTTTCCATAATGGGTGGCACTAATTTACATTCTCATTAACAGTATACCAGGGTTCCCTTTTCTTCGCTGCCTTGTCAACCCTTGTTATCGTTTGTCTTTTTGATAACAAGTGTGACCAACATTCCTATGACCACTTATCTAATCCATGGACCCATCATCTCTTATCTGAATCTTTCATATGAAGTCTACCCAGTCTTCTTGCTCCTAGTCTTGTCCTTTCCCCCAGTGTTCTTCACATTGTTTCTGGAAAGGTCTTGCATTTCCAGACAGTGCTGAGGACTGATTTGATGTTCGTGTTCAAAAATCTAAAGTGAGGCCATTCAGCTTGGTTATGCATTTTCTCCAACCACATTCAGCTGTACAGGTGTAGACATGGAGTTGATGGAGATTCAGAACTGTGGTTTTTCCTTACAAATGTGATGGGAAAAGACATGGATAAGGTACATACACACAGGGGATGGGGTAAAGTGATGGGTCACGGAATGGGTCACAGAATGATGGGTTGGGTAAAAGGGAAATTGAGGGCATAATGGGATAAAGAATAAGGAAACATAGAAGAATCAAAGGATTTGAGATCCCAATAGTGGCAAGGAATGGTTAGAGATGGAGTACGAGAAGAGGTGAGCTGGAAAAATAGAAAATGGCATACGGGGAGTGGAATACTTAGAATGGAGACCTTGGAGGTAATGCAAGTTACCCAAAGTCTAGGGTATATTAGCGTTGATATATGAGGTATGGTGGAAGAACAGATGACTGAATGCAAGGAGGCAAAAAAGCTGAGAAGCCAGGTTGTCAAAGAGACTGTCTACATAGATGCCAAAGTACTTAAGAATGCTAACAAACTCAGTGGTGGAAAGAAGGCAGTGATCCAGACAAGAAATCTTTAATGAATGAAGGGGGCTGACAATAACGACAATGGATAATGGCAACAAGGTGGGAGAGAAGGAGGTATATTCTGATAACTTGTGCTCCAGAGGAGCTGGAGATGGATGAGTTTGGGAAAGAGGGAGAGCAATCATCTGAAAATAGTCATAGGGAATAAGGAGGACTTCTATCCATCATCTCCAGACCCTGGTGTGCATGAAATACAAGAGAAAAAGAAACAGTCTCCACAGAGAGGACTAGGCAAAATCACTGTCCTCCAGAGGCACATGGGTTTCAGTTAAAGAAAAAAGGGGAAGCAGAAGAAGATGAGGAAATGGGGAATTTTGCTGACGGCCTGCTGTGAGTTCCAGAGGGCACAATAGAAAGATCTGGGGGAGGGGTATAGAAGATAAAGTCAGTTTGAGAGATGGACAGAGCAGTCTAGAGAGTCCTCATGATGGGATGTCAAGAAGGATCAAAAGCTTGTAGGGTGACCATGTGGTCTTTAAGAAGGAAGTGAGTAACCAGTTCTGACTGTAACCTCCTTTTTGAGGCTAGTCTTGGAAGCAGTTTTCAGTGAGGAGGTGGGACATGTTGGAAGGCAATATAGTGTTGATGAAAAGCATAAGCTTTGTTAGTCTTATGTAAAACCCCAAAGCAATTCCTATTAAGCTCCCAGTGAATGGAACCTTTCCAGGAATTGTTTGTATTTTTAAGAGAGGCTGTTTTCCTTAAGTAGACAGGGAGGAAGGTATTTTGAGCCTCTGCATCTCACTTCTTCTGACCTGCACTTATAAATGCTGTTTCATTCAAAAAAAAAAAAAAAAAAGAATTGAGTCCCTCCAGCTCTGCTTGAAGCTCTAGGACATAGATTAGTACTGAGTAAACTCTTCCCTGAAGAAATTGAGATAACTTAACCCTCTGCCTCTATATCTATTCCTTAAGGAAGATTTCCTTGCCTCCTTCCTTTTCAGTCCATACTTGGATCAAGTACCTTTGTTACACTCTTTAAAACAACAAACAGAAAAAAGGAACATATATTTCTTGTACGATTCATAGCTCAGCTTGTAAGTATACATTAATTAGTATAATTATTTAATGAATAATGGTCTCCCTGCAGTAGATGGTAAACTCCATAAAAGGAGAGATGGGGTGTGGTTTTACTCATCAACATGTTCTATTTCATGGCATGTTGGCTATTATGCTCAATAAATATTTTATGAATGAAGGAATCAATAAATATATGGATAAGTGTCTACATATTTACATAAATGCATAGAAAGAAGAAGGCATGACTCAAGTGATATGGGAGTTCACAGAGGTGAATCCTCACTTCTAGCTGGTGCAGGGGTTGGGGGCACAGAAGAGATGGCAGGAGGATTAATGAAGGACAGATGGTAAATGTGCTCAACTTTTCAGCCCAAAGCATTGAGATTGAGGTAGGGATGAGGATTCTTTAGCAGGAGCTGAGGGTACACATGGAATGAAGCATGTCTAGAGTGTAAAAAGTAGTCCAGTTTGACCAGAAGGATGGGTGAAATTATGTAATGCAAAGTATGTATGTATATTCGTTTGCAAAGGTCAGCCAGGTTGAATTGTAAAGGGCGTGGGTTGTTATATTGATTTCATAATATCTCCAACAAAAAAAGTTGATGTGATTAACACATCACCCTCCAGGATAAAGAAAGTTTGAAGCAGATTTCTGCAGTCTAAAAGTCTAAATACTTTTTAAGGGAACTCATTAAAGACTGCTCAGAATTAATTCCTTTTGGAGGAGATTTTGCAATTTAAGCAGCACAACAAGTGATGTCTTTTTCCGATAGTGCAGGCCATTGAACAGTCTGATTTTGCACAGGTCCATTACTCAGTGATCCAGTCAATCTGATATACATGTGCATTTATTTCCCATGTCCCTGGACTTTATCGGTAAAGGCTCAGCTTGAGAGTAGAAATGAACAAGGTGTTGTGAGGCTGAAATGGGAAAGAAAGAGCTTAGGTGCAAAGTCCTATAGTATTGCCTTTTCTTGCTCTTTCTTTTTTCCTTTTCTCTCTCTCCCCCCGCTGCTTTTTATATGTTTGTTTTATTTTGCTCATATACACTTACTTAACTAGAACTATGAGATTTAGTATTATAATTCCAGACATACGATATTTCAAGTTAGTCTCTGTTTCAATTACTAAAATCAGACTTCCTGGACAAGGAGAAAGCCTCCACTTTACTCCCAACAAATGGTTGGGACATAATGAACATCTGGAATGTATACTCGGCGTCTTTAGATGATTACTGATAGAACCCACCCCATTGCGTTCTTCCAGGGCTATAAAAACGTGTTAACATAGTTACATCACACATTTCAGCTGGTTTGTATAAGGCATGATTTTACCCCATGACATTTATTTAAGAAAGTAAATCATAGTTTCATTCAAAGAGATGCTGTAGTTCAGGGCACCTACGTGAACCCAGCCTGGTATTTCCTGCCCATTTTCTGGACTTAACCAACTTGTTTGACAATGAACTGTATTAATATTTTCCAGGCAACATAGTTTAGTAGTTCCAAGAGAATGAAGTTTTCTCCAGTCTGGGGTGACCTGGCTTCCATGCGACCAGTTGGATTGCCCCCACTAAAGAGTTGCATCTTGCAGTCATGTATTTCAGTAATGGTTTTCCCTTCACAAAGAAATTCCCTCTTGTATTGTAGGATAAACACAACACTGGGTTTGGCATGCTTGGGACATGAGTGCCACTGAAATTTTTCAAAAGGGCTCAATGGAGATCCTGTGAAACTGGTATTTATAAACAGCAAAAATGCAAATTTGCCACCACTGGTGTTTAATGGTAACAACTGTTATTGTCCAGTTATTCCTGATTTCACTTAGCATAGGTTATCAGTTCTTCCCTCCCACTGGAAAGATTCCCTTCAATCTCCAGCAGCTTTGGGTTTTATGTTTTGTGTTTGGGTCCTAAGAGTTGTTCAAATTTGGATCACAGGAGTTCCTTGCCCCACTGAGCCTGTCCTTGGGGGCAGCACTTGCTGAATAGTCACTGGTTTGGAAACATTTGCTTTATCTGCAAAATCCACAAAAGTGAGGGGGTTGGAAAAGGCCAGATGTTGGGAAAACATCTTGGGAAAAATAGAGGCCCTCTTGGGAAAAATAGATGCCCTCATTGAGAAGCCCTAACTTCTCTCTAAACTTTGAAAATGCTACAGTTGCCTCTGGATGTCTTCGCTTTCCAAAGCAGTGGAGTGAATTTAATAACTTTGGCACCTCGCAGAGAAGCTCACCAGTCCAGGATGTGGGATTGCTACCTCGATGGGAACCCAAGCTGGGAAAGAGCCTGCCAGTGGGTTGGCAGTGCTCTGACGCCTGCAAGATCCAAATCTGAAGTCACCATTTTCCTTGTGAAGAGTCAGGGATGTGAAGCCAGAGAGCAGTTGATTAAAGGGAACTAGTTCAGCTAGTATTCATTAGCCAGGGAAAGTGGGAAAAGAAAAGAGGGAAAAAACCCACAAAGAAGAACTGGGAGCAAAAAGCCAAAATGCTAGTCAGAAAGCATACAACCTGGTTAAACCATACTATCTTGAATTTCAAGAAAGTCAGCATGACTTCAGAAACTGTCTCTAATCTACCATGAGCCCATTTGAGAGTGCCAAACAGGGAAAGTAATAGCCTCTGAAAACCCCCAAACTGCACTGATTCTGGGGCAGGTTGAAAGGAATTTGCTATGTTATTTATCCTAGGACAACATGTAGATGCTTCTTTAACCTTAGGAAGTACAGATAGAGTTTACCCTAGACTCTAGGATTGTAAGAAATAGAGCATTCAAGGCTATTAAGTGGGAATGTTAAGGCTTTTACGTCTCAACAGAACAAAGCCTATCCAAATCAGAGTGTGACACAGTAGATAAAAGTTTGGCATTATGATTTGCTTTACTTCAGTTTCCTACATATAAGGCTCCAGAAAGACATGCCCCAGAAAACCTATCCTTTGCTCTTACTGTAACTGGAAGAGTATAAGTGGCTTCCTGACAGAGTTGGACTTTGCCTGAGATTCTGGCTTGGACTCTTCCAACTCTTGCTTATGGAGACTAATTGTCTATTTATGCTTCTCTGGCTGCTTGTTTTGTTTTGTTATAGGTAACATAGTATAGTGAAAACTCTGCATGAAATTGTAGTGCTGGGTTGGAAGAGCACATAGTGTTGTGTATTAGAACAACCTGATTTTGAATCTGGAATCTGTAATTTACTAGCCATAGGACATCAACCAAATCATTTAACTTCTAGCCCAATTTTCTCTTCATTTATCCACCAAACATTTTTGGGTGTCTGGTATGTTCCAAGAACTGCCCCCAGACACTTTGAACTAAAAATGGAAATAGAGTGATAATTAAATGAGATTATTAAAACTAATATGAAATAAAGTATTCAACATAATACAAACTCAGTAATGGTAGCATTTATTAATATCATTATTAATATATAAATATTTATTGAGCACCCATTAAAAACCAAGCACTAAGCTGGGAGCTAGGGACATACTGGTATACAATAACAGGTTAGTTATGAAGAAGCCATGCTGAACATTAGCAAGAGATGAGGTTGCTGAGGAAGAGAGTGTTTTGAATGGCAGGAGGGGGGCTTAGATGTGATCAAAGGACTCTGAGGAGGCATTGCATGTTGCTGAACATGGTATGTGTGGAAGATGATTTCAGCAACCAGACAATGGCTAGATTGCCATGAGGGAAGACTAGTTAGAAGCTCATGCAATAATCAAGATTTCATCAATCCATTATGGAACAATGCCAGGCAAATGGAAAGGAAGAAGATGGACCTGAAAGACATTATAAAATAAAGTGGAAGAATGAGGGTGAGGTTTGATGAGCAAGTGAATACAGGTGTCAAATAAGCAAGCCAAGACCAAGATAATACTTATAGAGGTTCAAAAGCTTTGAAGAGTAAAGCACAAAACTGAGTAACTAAATACACACCCACATATCTGGGCAGGGAATCTCTGAAAGAAAGGCAGAAGCCCCAGTCAGGGGCTTATAGATAAAACTCCCATCTTCCTGAGACAGAGCACCTGGGGGAAGGGGCAGCTGTGGGCACAGCTTCAGCAGACTTAAACATTTCTGCCTGCCAGCTCTGAAGAGAACAGCGGATCTCCCAGCACAGCACTTGAGCCCTGCTAAGGGACAGACTGCCTCCTCAAGTTGGTCCCTGACTTCTGTGTCTCCTGACAGGGAGACACCTCACAGCAGGGGTCGACAGACATCTCATACGGGAGAGCTCTGGCTGGCATTTGGCGGGTGCCCCTCTGGGACAAAGCTTCCAGAGAAAGGAGTAGACAGAAATCTTTGCTGTTATGCAGCCTCTGCTTGCGATACCCAGGCAAACAGGATCTGGAGTGAACCCCCTGCAAACTCCAGCAGACCTGCAGAAGAGGGGCCTGACTGTTAGAAGGAAAACTTACAAATAGAAAGCAATAGCATCAACATCAACAAAAATCTCCATCCGAAGATCACCAACAGCAAAGACCAAAGGTAGATAAATCCACGAAGATGAGGAAAAACCAGCACAAAAAGGCTGAAAATTCCAAAAACCAGAATGCCTCTTCTCCTCCAAAGGATCACAACTCCTCACCAGCAAGGGAACAAAACTGGACATAGAATGAGTTTGATGAATTGACAGAGTAGGCTTCAGAAGGTGGGTAATAACAAACACCTCCAAGCTAAAGGAGCATGTTCTAACCCAATGCAAGGAAGCTAAGAACCTTGATAAAAGGTTACAGGAATTGCTAACTACAATAACCACTTAAGAGACTAACATAAATGACCTGATGGAGCTGAAAAAAAGAGCTTGAGAACTTTGTGAAGCATACACAAGTATCAATAGTCAAATCGATCAAGTGGAAGAATGGATATCAGAGATTGAAGATCAACTTAATGAAATAAAGCAGGAAGACAAGATTAGAGAAAAAAGAATAAAAAGGAATGAACAAAGCCTCCAAGAAATATGGGACTGTGTGAAAAAGACCAAACCTACATTTGAATGGTGTATCTGAAAGTGACAGGGAGAATGGAAGCAAGTTGGAAAACACACTTGAGGATATTATCCAGGAGAACTTCCCCAACCTAGCAAGACAGGCAAACACTCAAATTCAGGAAATACAGAGAACACCACAAAGATACTTCTCGAGAAGAGCAACCCCAAGATACATAATTGTCAGATTCACCAAGGTTGAAATGCAGGAAAAAATGTTAAGGGCAGACAGAGAGAAAGGTTGGGTTACCCACAAAGGGGAGCCCATCAGACTAAGACCAGATCTCTTTGCAGAAAACCTACAAGCCAGAAGAAAGTGGGGGCCAATATTCAACATTCTGAAAAAAAAAGAATTTTCAACCCAGAATTTCATATCCAGCCAAACTAAGCTTCATAAGTGAAGGAGAAATAAAATCCTTTACAGACAAGCAAATGCTAAGGGATTTTGTCGCCAGCAGGCCTGCCTTATAAGAACTCCTGAAGGAAGCACTAAATGTGTAAAGGAAAAACTGGTACCTTAAAGATCATCAACACTATGAAGAAACTGCACCAGCTAATGGGCAAAATAAGCAGCTAACATCATAATGATAGGTTCAAATTCACACATAACAATATTAACCTTATATGTAAATGGGCTAAATGCCCCAATTAAAAGGCACAGACTGGCAAATTGGATAAAGAGTCAAGACCCACCAGTGTGCTGTATTCAGGAGACCAATCTCACATGCAAACACACACAGGCTCAAAATAAAGGGATGGAGGAAGATTTACCAAGCAAATGGAAAGCAAAAAAAAAGCAGAGGTTGCAATCCTAGTCTCTGATAAAACAGACTTTAAACCAACAAAGATCAAAAAAGACAAAGGGTATTACATAATGGTAAAGGGATCAATGCAACAAGAAGAACTAACTATCCTAAATACACCACACAATAATAGTAGGAGAGTTTAACTCCCCACTGTGAATATTAGACAAATCAGTGAGACAGAAAATTAGCAAGGATATTCAGGACTTGAACTCAGCTCTGGACCAAGTGGACCTAATAGACATCTACAGAACTCTCCACCCCAAATCAACAGAATATACATTCTTCTCAGCACCACATCACACTTATTCTAAAACTGACCACATAATTGGAAGTAAAACACTCCTCAGCAAATGCAAAAGAATAGAAATCATAACAAACAGTCTCTCGGACCACAGTGCAATCAAATTAGAACTCAGGATCAAGAAACTCACTCAAAACTTCACAACTACATAAAAACTGAACAACCTACTCCTTAATGAATACTGGGTAAATAACAAAATGAAGGCAGAAATAAATAAGTTCTTTGAAACCAATGAGAGCAAAGACACAATGTACCAGAATCTCTGGGACACAGCTAAAGCAAGGTTTCGAGGGAAATTTATAGCACTAAATGCCCACAGGAAAGAGGAGAAAAGATCAAAAATTGACACCCTAATATCAAAATTAAAAGAACTAGAGAAGCAAGAGCAAACAAATTCAAAAGCTAGCAGAAGACACGAAATAACTAAGATCAGAGCAGAACTGAAAGACATAGAGACACGAAAAACCCATCAAAAAAATCAATGAATCCAGGAGCTGGTTTTTTGAAAGATTAACAAAATAGATAGACTGTTAGCCAGACTAATAAGGAAGAAAAGAGAGAAGAATCAAATAGACACAATAAACAATAATAAAGGGGATATCACCACTGATCCTACAGAAATACAAACTACCATCAGATAATGCTATAAACATCTCTATGCAAACAAACTAGAAAATCTAGAAGAAATGGATAAATTGCTGGACACATACACCCTGCCAAGACTAAACCAGGAAGAAGTCGAATCCCTGAATAAACCAATAACAAGTACTGAAATTGAGGCAGTAATTAATAGCCTACCAACTAAAAAAATCTCAGGACCAGATGGATTCACAGCCAAATTCTTCCAGAGGTACAAAGAGGAGCTGGTACCATTCCTTCTGAAACTATACCAAACAAGAGAAAAAGAGGGACTCCTCCCTAACTCATTTTATGAAGCCAGCATCATTCTGATACCAAAACCTGGCACAGACACAACAAAAAAAGAAAATTTCAGGCCAATATCCCTGATGAACGTCAATGCAAAAATCCTCAATAAAATACTAGCAAACCGAATCCAGCAGCACATCAAAAAGCTTATCCATGATGACCAAGTCAGCTTCATCCCTGGGATGCAAGGCTGGTTCAGCATATGCAAACCAATAAACATAATCCATCACATAAACAGAACCGATGACAAAAACCACATGATTATCTCAAGAGATGCAGAAAAGTCCTTCAATAAAATTCAACAGCCCTTCATGCTAAAAACTCTCAATAAACTAGGTATCAGTGGAACATATCTCAAAATAGTAAGTGCTAATTATGACAAACCCACAGCCAATATCATACTGAATGGGCAAAAGCTGGAAGCATTCCCTCTGAAAACCAGCACAAGACAAATATGCCCTCTCTCAGCACTCCTATCCAACACATTATTGGACATTCTGGCCAGGGCAATCAAGCAAGAGAAAGAAACAAAGCATATTCAAATGGGAAGAGAGGAAGTCAAATTGTTTGTAGATGACATGATTGTGTATTAAGAAAACCCCATCATCTCAGCCCCAAATCTCCTTAAGCTGATAAGCAACTTCAGCAAAGTCTCAGGATACAAAGTCAATGTGCAAAATTCACAAGCATTCCTATACACCAATAACAGACAAACAGAGAGCCAAATCATGAGTGAACTCCCATTAGCAATTGCTACAAAGAGAATAAAATACCTAGAAATACAACTAACAAGGGATGTGAAGGACCTCTTCAAGGAGAACTACAAACCACTGCTCAAGGAAATCAGAGAGGACACAAACAAATGAAAAAATATTCTATGCTCATGGATAGGAAGAATCAATATTGTGAAAATGGTCATACTGCCCATAGTAATTTATAGATTCAATGCTATTCCCATCAAGGTACCATTGACTTTCTTCACAGAATTAGAAAAAAAAAAACTACTTTAAATTTCATATGGAACCAAAAAAATGCCCGTGTAGCCAAGACAATCCTAAGCAAAAGGAACAAAGTGGAGGCATCATGCTACCTGACTTTAAACTACACTACAAGGCTACAGTAACCAAAACAGCATGGTACTGGTACCAAAACCGATAAATAGTCCAATGGAACAGAACAGAGGCCTCAGAAATAGTGCCACACATCTACAACCATCTGATCTTTGACAAACCTGCAATGGAGGTTTTTGTCCTGACAAAAACAAGCAATGGAGAAAGGGTTCCCTATTTAATAAATGGTGCTGGGAAAACTGGCTAGCCATATGCAGGAAACTGAAACTGGACCCCTTCCTTATACCTTATACAAAAATTAACTCAAGATGAATTAACAACTTAAATGGAAGACTTAAAACCATAAAAATCTTAGAAGAAAACCTAGGCAATACTATTCAGGACATAGGCATAGGCAAACACTCCATAACTAAAACACCAAAAGCAATTGCAACAAAAGCCAAGATTGACAAATGGGATCTAATTAAACTAAAGAGTTTCTGCACAGCAAAAGAAACTATCATCAGAGTGAACAGGCAACCTACAGAATGGGAGAAGATTTTTGCAACGTATCCATCTGACAAAGGGCTAATATCCAGAATCTACAAAGAACTTAAACAAATTTACAAGAAAAAAACAAACAACCCCATCAAAAAGTGGGCAAAGGATATGAACAGACACTTTTCAAAAGAAGACATTTATGTGGCCAAAAAATATATGAAAAAAGCTCTTCATCACTGGTCATTAGAGAAATGCAAATCAAAACCACAATGAGATACCATCTCATGCCAGTTAGAATGGCGATCATTAAAAAGCCAGGAAACAACAGATGCTGAAGAGGATTTGGAGAAATAGAGGAAATGCTTTTACACTGTTGATGGGAGTGTAAATTAGTTCAACCATTGTGGAAGACAGTGTGGCAATTCTTCAAGGATCTAGAACCAGAAATACAATTTGACCCAGCAATCCCATTACTGGGTATATACCCAAAGGATTATAAATCATGCTACTATAAAGACACATGCACACGTATGTTTATTGTGGCAGTATTCACAATAGCAAAGACTTGGAACCAACCCAAATACCCATCAATGATAGACTGGATAAAGAAAATATGGCACATACATACCATAGAATACTATGCAGCCATAAAAAAGAATGAGTTCATGTTCTTTGCAGGGACATCATTCTCCGCAAACTAACACAGGAACAGAAAACCAAATGTCGCATGTTCTCACTTATATGTGGGAGTTGAACAATGAGAACACATGGGCACAGGGATGGGAACATCACACACCAGGGCCTTTCTGGCGTGGGAGGCTAGGGGAGGGATAGCATTAGGAGAAATACTTAATATAGATGACAGGTTGATGGGTGCAGCAAACCACCATGGCACATGTATACCTATGTAACAAACCTGCACCGTCCACACATGTATTCCAGAACTTAAAGTATAATTTAAAAAATACACATCCACATAAACACACATGTATATGCTACATTTTCAGTCAACACTAAGAACAGATGGTACAAAGAGCACCTATCAATCATGTTTCCAATCATTGTTTTGGGAGACTTTTCCTGACTGTAAAATACCTGCTTAAGGTAAAAAAAAAAAATGCAAAAAAGTATTAGAGGTGCTAAAAATCACTTGCCTCATGCTACACAAAGGTTCATAGTCCCACATAGGGTCAGGCACAGAGTCAGTCTCTAGAGGCATAAACATGTTGTAAAAGCTCTCTCTCATTGTTGCTAAAGGGCAGGAAATCATCCCAACTCAAATATCACCTTAGGCTTGAAACTTCTCTCCATTGGTCTAAACAGCTAACTTTCTTATGAGGGAATGAGTGTACTTCTTATTATCTAGAGAAACTAAGCACAGGTGCCTATTTTTGTATTTGTTTGCATGTGTTTGAGTGCTGTGTGCGTTCTAGAATAAGACAAAAAAAAACCCACTGTTTATTTTCTTGTTGCCAATGAGTGTCATCTTCATACAATATTAATGACACAGCCAAGTCAAGTGGTCACAACTTCTCTTTGGAAATGATCAAGAAACAGTAAGTGCAGGAGCCACAGGTGAAAGAAAAATGAGTAAGAAAACTTAGAATTGGAAAATATAATTTATTAACTTGGGTTTTCTTTTTTGCCACTTGGAAAATAGTATTATTACTACTCAGTTTTAGTGAGGGAGGACCAGTGAGCGCACCTTTTGAGAGGCACTGATACGATGGTTAATTTTATGTGTCCACTTAGCTAGGCCACAGTACCCAAATACTTTGTCAAGCATCATTGTACATGTCTCTGTGACTTTTTAAGGTGAGATTAACATGTAAGTCAGTAGACTTTGAGCAAAGGAGATTACCTCCATAATGCGAGTGGTCTCATCTAATCAGTTGAAGGCCTTAATAAAAAGAGACTGACCTCTTCCTCAGAAGAAGAAATTCTGCTAGCAGACTGCCTTTGCTCCCCTCCCTGGTTCTCCAGCCTGCTGGTCTACCCTGCAGACTTTGACTTTCCAAGCTGCCACAATCATGTGAGCCAATTCCCTAAAATAAACCTCTCTATATATACTTGTATACATCCTGTTGATTTTGGTTCTCTGGAGAACCATGACTAATACAACTGGGCTTAACATTTTATCTGGAGCTCCGAAAGAAGCTGAGGTCTTCACCAAGGTATTATGAAAGGAGCAAAGGGTGTCCTAAGAATATCTGAGTGTCTGCAAGGTGTTTAACTCGTGTTAAAGGGTTTGTGCTGGGCAGAGGACAAGGTACTTTTTTTTTTTTTTTTTTTTTTTGAGATGGAGTTTTTCTCTCGTTGCCCAGGCTGGAGCACAATGGCACGATCTTGGCTCACCACAACCTCTGCCTCCTGGGTTCAAGCGATTCTCCTGCCTCAGCCTCCCGAGTAGCTGGGATTACAGGCACCCGCCACCACACCCCGCTAATTCTTTTTGTATTTTTAGTAGAGATGGGGTTTCACCATGTTGGTCAGGCTGGTCTTGAACTCCCGACCTCAGGTGATCCGCCCGCTTCTGCCTCCCAAAGCACTGGGATTACAGGCTTGAGCCACAGCACCCAGACAGGACAAGATACTATTTTGAAGGGTATGTGCTTCCCAGGTAGAGCATTACAAAGGGCTCTTCTGGATGCAGCATCCCCGCTGCAATTGAGTGTCCTAACTTCTGTTTATAAAGGGGACCCCAACAGGAAGCACCCTGAGAAGTTTCCCCAGTTAGCCACCTTGAGGTAAAAGATTGAGTCTGGGGCTCCATGCCCTGCTTTCACGGAGCATAATAAAACTTCCTTAATCAGCCCACATGAAGTATGTGATGCTCTGATGAACCTGCATTCCTAGAGAGTTCACTGCTCCCCAGAAACAAGATCTTGCCTCAACTCTTACAGTGAAAAATCTTTATCAAGTGTAATCATTAAAATCTACCTCCCAAAGTATAAACACTGCAATTAAGCTTTACAAATGGAATATCTGGAAAGGTGAATAGATGATCAATAGGTACCTCAGTTCTTACCCAGGCCTGCCTCTTGTGGGCCTAGGCTCTGATGTAACCCACGTCTGCTATTACATATTTACCTTGAGGCACTGTGCCATTCCCAGAGTTAATCACAGACTTAGTTACACACAAATCTTTGTGTACAAGGGAACATGAGGAAATTAAGACTGTTTTCAAGTCATCCAACTGTGTGAAGGAGGCTACTGACGGGGAGTGGGAGGTAAAAGGGTTCCACAGGTAGGACTCTGAGCTCACAGCCACAGCCTCATCTCCCACATCCCCCCATCACTGTGAACTTTCTCATGCCTACGTAAGTTTGCTCATGCTGTTCCCTCTGCCTGGAATAGCCTTTATCATTGTTTTTCCATCTTGGTGGTGAATTCATGCTTCAAGGCCTAACTCAGATGCTTTTCTGTCTGCCAACCCCTCTTCAACATTTCCAGTCTCTATGAAAGACTGAAGTGAAAAATGAGTGAGCTTAATGGAGATCAAAATTATCTAGAAATGTAATTAATGCATTTATATGGTGGCATCTTTTTATGTAGAGGGTCTTTGTTCCCTGTCTTTATGTTGTGGCTATGTATTTGTTTTTCTAACACAATGACATGTTATTGTAGTGATTTCCAAACATCAGGGTTTCAAACACCACCTACAATTGTGTGTCATAACGGTCGGCCACCTGTCAAATTATTTACTTACTTTAAATATATATGTTTTTCTTGACTTGATGTTCTTAAGACTTATATACATACATTTTAAAACTAAACTTTAAAATATCTTTTTTAAATATAGCATCATTTGCCTTAAATAGAAGTTTTGCTTAAAAGCAAATTCCATAAAAACAAAATAGGAACTTCTGTCTGGAAAGATTTTGGACTTGAGATTCACTTTTTGGTTGTTAAAACGAGAGGTTTTTGCAACACAAAGGATAAATGTTTGAGGGGATGGATACCCAATTCTCCATGATGTGTTTATTTCACATTTCATGCCTGTATCAAAATATCTCACGTGTCCCATAAATATATATACCTACTACATACCCACAAAAATTAAAAATTAAATTAAAAAATAAAATAAAGAGAGACTAATGAGTGCTAGGGAAGCACTGAAGACAGACTAGCGCCAAACTGAGACTTTCTCCTTTGGAGATTCAGGATCAGAAAGGGAATTGTAAATGGAATCATCTCTATACTTAAGTGATTCTTTAACGCCACGTCTTTGACCAGGGGTGTTATAACCCACATTTTGAAAACTAACATGATAGAAATACTGCAGAACAGACAAGGAGACTGGGTTTGAATTCTATTTTGTGAGCACCTAAATTTGTCTTGCTTCTCGAGAAGTCATTTTTCTATCCTCCAACAGCCCCTCTTCCTGGTCTTATTTTTCTTATAAAATGAGGAGGTTGGTTATTTTACTCTTAAAGAGTTTGTGCAATTTTTATATTTTACCTTTATCATCATTTGTTTTCCAGACTTGCATTCATTCAACAAAATGTTTTGAGCTCATGCACCCGGAGTTAAGTGCTGGGAATATGGCCATGAGGAATCCATCCATGCCCTGATGAAGTTTATGATCTTTCTTTCCCCCTTATCAATCTTCCCCTTTTTAAACTACAGTGAGTTGAACATCTATCTTACTTATTTCAAAAGACTTAATAAAACTAAAGATAAGTGTAGCTTAAAATGTATTTAAATCCAGAGCTTTCAAAAAAAAAACCCACTCCTGCCAGAACGCATCCACGGTCAAGAGTGCAGTGGCAGTTTCTCAGAAGTCCACTAGAGGGCGCGCACATTTTTTTATTCCCCAAGAAAGCATTTATGTGGGTCCTGCCCCTGAAGTTTGGCGTTGGTGTCTCTTTTCCCCACATTTTATGCAACGTGGGGCAAGCGTGACGAGTCCTCAAGTTCTCTCACTCCACCAACCCATCCTTACCCCATGCCGTGACTTCTCCTCTGCCATAACGAAGAATTACTTTGCTCACACAACCACAACAGTTTCGTTTCTGTTTCCAGTATTTGCCCTTTTGACATTTTAGAAGAAATAAGATCCAAGTTTGATGTTGAAAAGAAAGCATTGATTTCTTTAGTGAGAGGATTTCTCCTCCCTATTTCTGTTTTCCCTAGTCGTGGGCGAAACACTTCTTTAAGGAGTTAGAGCAGCTCCTTTGAGCAAATCTTCCTGGGGAATCACAGGAATCTTTCTGAGCAGATGTTTTGGAGCTGACATTAGGCCCCTTGCTCGGCAGCATGTTGAGTTTTTGAGGCCCTGTCTTTCCTCTGAGTTTTATATTCTGAATTGACAAGTTCTTGACCTCCAACATTAGTTTGAGCAACCCATGACCAACCCTCCTCACAAACCATGATCCAAAAGAAACATCCAATAGTTTCCCCCAAGTTCTTTGCCTGGTGGTTGCCCTAGAACCTTAAGCCTCACCCTTTATTTGATTCCAAAATTCCCTTACCTCCAAATGTCCATTCTGAGCTTTCCTTGGGAGTAAGCAAAGACATTCATGAAATAAATTGTAAATATGCCCTATTGTACATGGATATGAAATTACCTTTTGGATGAACGCCTCTCCAGTTAACACAGGAAAGACTGGGAACATGGCTTGAGAAGAAAAAAAAAGTTGGGGGGAAGACAGGGAGGGCCTCCTTGCCCACCCCACCCCTGCTTTCTGTGTACCTTAGCCAGCTCACCCTTTAAGGAAATGAACAATTTTTTCTGTGTGTGTGCGAAAGGTGTCAGAAGTTTTCTGAGGCTGTAGCTTTATGCAAATATGCTACTCAAGAAGAAGGCTTTAGGGGAGAGTTATTTATATCCCACAGGCATTACACATGCAAAAGGTGAAACTGTGAATCTCTGAATTTCCAGGAGTGGATGTTCTTATGATAAGCACATCCTTGCGGTTAGCTATTTTGGTGGCCATATCTCACTGTCAGATTTTTGCAGGCAGGAGACTACATAATCATTCCATACTTTTATAATGACCCTAGATGTTTCTCTCCAATGGGACTTCATAACCTGAACTCCTCTTGGGCTTTAGATTTACTACTACCTTGGATTTGTAGTAATAGGTGCATTCATTTCTTTTACTCCTAAACAGGTACATCACTTAGCCATTAAAAAGTAATCTGGTGGCATGTTTATTGCTCTTTCATTTTCATATTGACTCCTGGAATTAGCCAAGAAAATGACCTTTTCTCTAGGAATTATTGCCCTGATCCATTGCTGGCTCACCCTGTCCAAAAATATAGACCATTCTCCAAATTGAAATATACATTAATCACCTCAGGAAATTGCTTCCCCCATTGGAAACTGATAGCTCTCATTGGAATGTTTCCAAAGCACAGCTGATGACAATTACGACTCACTGAAATTTCAGTTTTCTTTGATTGTGACATAAAAACTAGGACATAAATTAAAACCTAATTATCCTTTAAGGGTAATTGGGGTTACAAAACCGAGAGACTGTGAGTCAGTGTGTCAATATCGCTGGAGTACAGCATCTGTCCCCAAAACAGCCTTTCATATGAAATGCTTGTGGATAAGGTTATATCTGTGCACCGAGCATGCCAAGAGAGAACATCAAAATGGGTGATAGACTTGGAGACATATAGTTAGCTTCTAGGACATCTTGGAACAATTAAAGTATGCTAAAACTGCAGTGGGAAGGGGTTAAACAAAGTCCTGGCCTTCACCTGTAATGGTGTCCAATGTTGGAACAAGAACTTAGCACCAAGACTCCAGCCAGTATCTGACTCTCCAAACTTGGTTAAAGAGGTTTTTTCTCATCTGGAAGACAGGTGAGATCAGCTCTATTGTTTTATACAATCTACATCCTCAAAGTCTGTAAGAGAATAGACATTTTTCAGAAAGGGTGTGATCCACAAAAACTGCAGAAAAGAAAAAGATTTGTCACAAATCAAGTGTACAAAGAGAGCTTATTAAAGGAAGCCACGGATTATTATTAAATGCAGGGATTACTCACACATCTGCACATGTGGATAATCCCTGCATTAAGAATAATCCAGGGCCACCTACTAGGCCACCTCTTGATGATACCTCTTAGTGTGCTCTTTGGGTCAAATCCCACCCACTGAAATTTCCCAACATGGTACCCCAAAGCCTCTCATGACACAATCTGCCTCCCTCATTTTGGATTTTCCAAAAGATTTTACTCCCCTGTCTTCCCAGAGAATGTGTCACTCCCTCTCATTGTGCACTGTTCATGTTTTTAAAAGAGCACATGCCCATCATATGACTGTGAAGTTTTCCTCTTTGTCTCTGACATTCAGCTGAAAGCCCCTGAAGGGACTTGACCATATCTTATTCCTCTTTGTTTTCCTAGGGATGTTGTAGTTGGGCACATAGTAGAGCTCACAAAATGTTGCTGAACATAGTGCACCATTGACACAACATAATTCCAGATTTCTAACTTTGATTTCTGAAAGGTAAACATTGCTACAATGTATTAACCACACAGAAGACTCAAACAAACCCAACCCCCTTCCAAACAAAGCAGGTTTGTTTGTTTTTTGTTAGGGCACCCACTTCTACAAACAAATTTCTGGCCCCAGGATAACACAAAGAGCCAGAGTAGGATTTCAAGCAGAACTGTGTTTTCAGTTGATGTGTCAGTCCCCTGAGAGTCATGTGGAAAAAAAAAAAAAGAAAAAATTCAAGGTCCAGGTTATTTCCACCACTCCTGGGAAACCAGGCCTGGAGAGCTCTCTAGGGAAAGAGGTATGTCTGCTCTGGGCTTTTGCAACCTTATTTTATAATTCACTTTCTTATCTACTGCTTCACAAAACCAAAGGGAAATAGGTACAAACTGTATCGACAAAAGATCAGAACTGAATTCTCAATGGCAAAGGCAAGTGTACATTATAAATAGCAAAACAGCTGGCTTGGACCATGTTGCCGGCCAGTCACCCAGTTGAGGGATTTGAATGACATCATAACCCTCGAGAGGGTATTGCTAGCCAGCTGGTGTTATTTAGAATACACAAAAATCAGAGAAAGAAAACACACTCTGGCACACAGACTCCCTCTGTCATACACACACACACACACACACACACACACACACACACACACAGGTTTGAGTTATATGGAAAATTCAAACAACAGGAAAATTGTTTGCCCCCCAGGTACCCTTCTCCCAGAGTGGTGGGGTGGGGAGGGGACAGTGACAGGCAGCCTAGTAGAAGAATAAAGAAAAATGTTCTATTTCAGTTGGGTTTTACAGCTCGGCATAGTCTTTGCCTCATCGCAGGAGAAAAAGTATGAGACAGTGCCCTAAAGGGACCAATCCAATGCTGCCTGCCCCTCCATAGGTTCTAGGAAATGAGATCACACCTCTCACTTGGCAACTGGGACAAGGGGTCACCCGAGTGCTGTCTTCCAATCTACTTTACCCCAGTCACTTCAGGGTTAAAATTGTAGAGTTTGCTGGAGAGGGTCTTATCGTCCTTTCTTTCTTTTTTTGTTTTAAATAATGCATTTGCTCTAGAATCTAAAATTGCTCTCCCATCCCCCATATTCCTTTAATACTGGTAAGGTGTATTAGCAGACGTTTGTGTCTTCATGCCCAGCAGAAAGTTAATCAGAAAACAGATCCTTATTTTCTATGGCAGCATAAGTATTTTAATGTCTGCGAACCCTGTCACTAACACACATTCTTTTAAGGGAAAAAAATGCTTCTGTGCTCTAGTTTTAAAATGCAAAGGTATGATGTTATTTGTCACCATGCCCAAAAAAGTCCTTACTCAATAACTTTGCCAGAAGAGGGAGAGAGAGAGAAGGCAAATGTTCCCCCAGCTGTTTCCTGTCTACAGTGTCTGTGTTTTGTAGATAAATGTGAGGATTTTCTCTAAATCCCTCTTCTGTTTGCTAAATCTCACTGTCACTGCTAAATTCAGAGCAGATAGAGCCTGCGCAATGGAATAAAGTCCTCAAAATTGAAATGTGACATTGCTCTCAACATCTCCCATCTCTCTGGATTTCTTTTTGCTTCATTATTCCTGCTAACCAATTCATTTTCAGACTTTGTACTTCAGAAGCAATGGGAAAAATCAGCAGTCTTCCAACCCAATTATTTAAGTGCTGCTTTTGTGATTTCTTGAAGGTAAATATTTCTTACTCTTTGAAGTCATTGGGGAATTCTATTTAAATTGTGTACTGTTTGCTTCTGCCTAGAACTGTTCTTCACTTTAAAATTTTCATTGTTTCGGAACCGAGAGTTATTTATAAATTGCTGAATATGCAATTCTGTGGAATCTGAAAAATAGCTCGGGGAGATGGATGCATTTGCACAGATATCTGTATGAGTAGAAACTATTGCAAGGTACTTATGCTAAATCCTCCACTTCTGCAGGGCTTCCGTGGTGTCATTACAGAAGATTCCTTTAAATCCTCTCTATGGCTAAGGGCTATAGAGCATGGATATGAACTTGGGGATTTTTTTTTTCTTTTGCAGGTGCAGATGTTTTATTTTTAAGACCATGTTCTTTTGCATGTGTGTATGTGTCTCTGTGTGTATGTGTCTCTGTGTGTGTAACTCATCAGGACTTTATTTACAAGGCATGCTATATATGAAGGGTTGTATTTTAGATGATATTAAAGCTTTTAAATATGATCTTTGGAGCTAAGGTCCCGGAACTCTGCACTTATGCCCAGAGAGAGTGTTAAAGTTAGAGTAAAGTGTAATTTGTTCTTCCAAAAAAGAACTCCTTGACAACTCTTGCTGACCTTGCATATTTGTATAATTTAAACAAATACATACTGTATATGGAAAGCAGAAACTTTCTAAGAGCTGCTTGCCCAACTTTTCTGTTTAGAAGAGGACTTTCATGGGCAAAGTTTGGACTTGGGGTTCTGTGTTATAAAACTCTGATTTTATATTCAGTGTCGTGAAGTCCCTTTAGGTAAATCTGGCTGCTGCTGTCAGTGCACCGACTTCTCGTTTCCGATTGCTGGCCGTAGTTCTAGTTTCCATTCTCAGCAAAATTATATCCTTCAAGACTTGTGTTTTTTTTTCAATTTGCAAGCGCTTTTAAGCTGCTGTCACTGGCTCCACCGATTCAATTGCCTGAGGGCTCAATTCATAAGACGTCTCTGCCACTTAGTGCAGCATTCAGTTGCTGCTTTCAAACACTTCACCACTACGACTTTCCCTAGTCAAGTAAGTGGCTCCAGGAGTTAAAGATACACCCTTGTCAGGCACCTGATTCTGCTGTTCCTGAGATGCCAACACATGCAGGCCACCTTGCTTTCAAAGAAATGACGTCACTGTGCATACATACTATGTGATCTAGCAGCTGGAGTTTTTGTCTCCTTACTTAGGGGATCATAAAAGAGGCTGTGGAGCGTTATCTCTGCATTAATTACAAGTTAAGAAAATTGTTTCCAAATGCACTTTTCATGCTGTGTATGCTGAACACTTCAGAAGTGGAGCTCTTAATAAGTTGTTACTTTTTTCTGTACTTGAAGCAGGAAGTGGTTTGAGGGAGCTGCGTGGTCTTTCACATGTAATTCAGTGGGTAAAGGTGTCCTGCCCAGAGGCAGAGCTCACCAGCTGATTGTACTCTGACTCTCAAGGTATTTCCAAGTGAGTGAGTCGGGGGAAGGGAGTAAGGGAGTGGACTGGAGCTTGGGTCACTATCTGGGCTGCTACAATAGGCATACAATGGAAATAGGTGGCTTGACTGGGGGGAAAAGATTGACTTAAATCCCAGCTGTGCAATTTGTTCATTGTTTCAATGGACAAAAGGCAGTTTACCCAGGCTCATAATAGCATACCTGCCTGGGTGTCCAAATGTAACTAGATGCTTTCACAAACCCCACCCACAAAGCAGCACATGTTTTTAAGACTTCAGTTTTCTATTCACATCGGCCTCATAATACCCACCCTGACCTGCTGTAAAAGACCTGGAACAAACAAAAATGATTACACCTACAGTGAGTATTTTCTTATGACTGTTGCCCTCAAATTTTACAGGGCATTTTCATTGTGGCCCAGACATCTGGAATCAATTAATATTCCATTTATCTAAGATTAAAAAAAAAAGAACTTTTAAAATTTGGGTTTGTGAATGATTTTTGAGAAAGTGTTTTCTGATTTTTTTTTCTTTTTTTCTCATGTCTTTCTGATTCTTCCCTTTTTTTTCTATCATATCTTTCCTTTCTCTCTATTGATTTCTTTTGTGTTTGGCAAAATAAAAGGCCAAGGAAATAATGAACATATGGGACCACTTGTTTCACACTTTAAACTCCTAAGCAAGTTCGGTATTGTTTTCATTTGTGGGAACATAAAATTCTCTGGTTCTCTGTGGGTGTACTGGACTGTTCCCTACACTAAAGGAAAATGCACTAGAGGTTCTGTCTTGTCCTAGAACTGTAAGTACTGAGATTTATCTGACAATATAACTCAGCAAAAAAAAAAAAAAAGAAAAAGAGAAATCTATTTAAAAAAAATCTTAAATTCTTAAGTTCCAGAGACTTATATGTATCGCTGCACTTAAATGTGTTATACTAGAACTATTAAAAATATAGTTTTGACATCTAATGAAGTTTGAAATTCACTAAGGCTATAACTTGAGTAATTTTTTTCCCTGGATTTCACAAAAACTGAAGAACTTGAAGGCATCTACAGTTGCAGGTGCTTAGCCTTCAGCATTGCTATGAACGCAACAAAGAAGGGAGGGGTGGAGAAATAGGATTCGGTAGAATAACATACTTTCTAGAACTGGCCCATTCCCGCAGTGTGGGGGTATGCTCTGCAAGATCAATCACAGGTTTGTTCTTTTGAAAAATGCCACGAGGTCCAGGTGGGTTGGATTTGTTGAGGTTTCCAATGGAAATATTGAACAGGAAAACCCCACTAATTTTACAACCAAAAAAAAAAAAAAATGAGAACTGGATGATAACATGCTTCTTCCAGTCCCAGTGTTTTGGGCTATGTAGGGGGTGGAAGATTTCCATGCGGAGATCTTGTTGAGAAAAATGCAGTAAATGTTCAGTTGAGCTTTTACCTCCTCTTCTATTTTATGTCCATTATTTATGATCATTTGCAAATAGAGGGCGCTTTTCATCTTCAACTGCTTTACAACCATTAACTGAATATTTATATTTTGTTAACGAGAGACAGGGGTTTTGGTTTTTTTTTTTTTTCCTCAGTTGCTGAGGTGAAGGTCTGACTACAAAAAATGGAAATCATCATTAGAATGATGGGGAAAATTTTGCCACTGATATAGAGCCACTAAATTGAGAGTCCATGGAGGGCAAGGAGGGTAGTCAGAAAATAAATGACTGTTTCTCCAAAAGTGATGGGGTTGAATGGACCTGCCACTACTCTGAGGTTCAAAAAAAATGCTCTTCTTATAATTATAGCTTCCAGCATGACTCCACAACCCTTTTAATAGCGCCCCTCACCTAACACCCTGTCAGGGACTCTTCCCATGATGCTGAAAGTAGATGCATCTGAGAGAAGTGAAGCCACTCACCTTGAGAGGCTTCTTGGAAAAAGCCACATCTTTGTGCCACAAGTAACAATATGGAAAAACTTAATGATCATCTTAGCATGGTTTCTACTACTTAGAGTGAGGATGAAGACTTGAGCCACAGGACTGCTGCTTTTGGCAAGGCTGCCGTTTGGCAGTCTATCATTGACTAAGTCATGCCAACCAGGGGTCCCTTGGTATATTTTGCTATAAAATAGATACAGTGACACATAAGTCCCTCCAAGAGATGAAGCCATAATTCCTGTGACTAAAAATAAAATAAAAGATTTTTGCCAGTTTGAGCCCAGTGCCCTATACACAGAAGGGATTCTCAACACGTGTTGATTTGATATTGGACTTGAGGCCAGGGACTTTAGAATACAGGAGTGGTTTCTATTTGAGCCAATTTCATTCTTCGATTCTCATATTTTTTTCTGTTTCTGTTATTTTCTTCTATTTGTGGTTGTGTCAACTGCTGATATGCCCCAGGTAAGGAATCAGTCTCTCTCTCTCTCTCTCTCTCTCTCTCTCTCTCATATTGAGGAAACAAAACAAAAACAAAACCCTGTGATGATATATAGTATTGTCAAAAGCCATTTTTTGGCCATAGTAAATTATTTTTAGTCAAAAATAGGGAATGATGTTTTGGTTAAAAATATTCTGCTCAATAATGAATGCATATACCATCTATGGATGGCCAATATTGAGAGAATTTAAATTAACAAAACTTATTTGGCCCCAAATCTGTACTGAGCACAATTTAACCTTTGATAATTCAAAAGTTCTACCAGGGTCTCAGAGTGATATGGGATCCCACTGTAATAATAGCATCTTTCATTTCCGTAGTAAACGTTTCTAGATATTTTGTCTCAATTCATTGAAATAGGAACCCATAAAGAAAGGGTTCAGGGAGGACTCCTCCAAAGATCCACAGTAGCCAGGGGAATAAACACAGGTTGTTGGATGCCGAGACACGCTCCATCCACAACTCCCTCTGGGTTCTCATGTACTCTATTGGCTTCTGTGCTGGGTAGTCCTGATTAATGACAGTCGTGGAATCGTGGGAGTCAATGCACTTCTGTCCCACCCCACTCCCCTTGCAAGGATCAAGGAGGAAACCTGACCCTCCCTCTGTTTCTTGGGCAGGTGAAGATGCACACCATGTCCTCCTCGCATCTCTTCTACCTGGCGCTGTGCCTGCTCACCTTCACCAGCTCTGCCACGGCTGGACCGGAGACGCTCTGCGGGGCTGAGCTGGTGGATGCTCTTCAGTTCGTGTGTGGAGACAGGGGCTTTTATTTCAGTAAGTAGCCCTCCCTCTCAATGTGCTGCTCAAGTCTAAAGTGTACAGCTCTGTGGATTTACAACCGCAGGGAGTGTGTGAATAACTGAATGAGTGCCCGTATCTGGCAGCCATCCTAGGCCTCTGAGATTCCTCACCTTAAAGTAAGCATAGTGTTTTGGCGGGACTTTGGCAGGTTTTGCAGATCTAGGATGGAATTTTCCTCCTTAACAATTCGTCTTTAACTACTTCCTGCTAAGCCTTCTTTCAACTATTATGATCCACCTCACTATTCCATTCCTTTCAATGAAAGGACAGGACAAAATAACCCTGAGGTATTGATGTTTTTGTTTTCAAAACCTATGGGCGCACATATAAACATATGGAACACATGCAGGGCTGCTTTAAGTGCTATGTGATTTGGAGTAAAATAGTAAGGACTCTCCAGTCATGTGGATCTGGGAAAAAAAATATTAAAGGGCATATCCTAGATGTCTCCATTCAATATGAAATCACCATGAACAGACAGAAGGTTAACTCCCCTTAAAGGCAGGCCTGTTTGCAAATACACAGACTGTCTCTAAATGCAAACTGAAATGCCATACTGATTTGCCCTCTATGCCACTTGACCTTGATTTTTTTGTTGTTGCTCTCTTTTGGCATAGTTCTTCTCCGGGACCCATCAATGATATCACCATCTGGAAAAGGGTCTCTGACAAGTACAGAATCACTTATCTCTTAAATAGCTCTTAGGTGATTAGAAAGTCAACAGCCAGTAAAAAGTAGACAGCCAAGTCAAGGCGTATAAATAATACACACAAGCAAAAGTCAATGATTCCTGTGGGAACTGATCACTTAAAGAATCTAGCTCCCATGCATCTATCTCACTGTATATTATAGGACAGAGAAAGATTTAAAGCCAGATGCTTGTTCCTTATAATTCTTTGGAGTTTTAGAGAGTTCCAGGAAACTGAGCATGAGTCATTCTTAAAGGTTCATATCACTCCAGTGTAGACAGCTTACCTCAGTTACCCACTATGCTTTGAATAGCTCCTGTGATGACTCACACACTTGAAGTCTCTCTCATCCTTCCCAAATGTCAGCCTCTCTCTAGGCAGGTGGGGTATGTGTGTGTATGACTGGCAGGGTAGAGGGTGGCCTGTGTATACCAGTCTGGAGATCAGTAAGGGAGATGGGAAGAAAGAGGCTTGTGAGGGTATTGGCGATCAGTACTTACAGTGGATTTGGCAACAAATAGTTTTTAAATCACTAGTGACAAAGAATCAGAAGTGCCTTCTACTATTTGAATAGGCAAATTCCCACTATTTGCTTCCAGCCAGTCCTTTAATTGAACGAACTCATTTATTTTTCTGGCAATAAAGCAATTCTATCCAGTTCTCTGTTGCAGAGCAGATGAATGAGTGCATTGGGTGAGTGATTTTCCAATAGCAGACTTGTTTTACCTTTAAAATATCCTGTGGAAGATAACTGTGGGACATCACATGATCCAACAGTGGGTCATAATTATTCTATAATTTGCAGCTACTGATCCTCATTTTTTAAAGAAATGAAAAAGTGGTTCTCACTTATTATGCCCAAGGGGACTTTTTTTTTCCTTGATAATCCATTTGTGCAATTTCCTTTGATCCAGTTCACTAGGTAATTGCCAAGCCTAGAAGTGTCCTCTGTTACGTGCCAGGTTGAATTGTGATGTTCAACACGACATTGCTCCAGAATTTCCATGCACAGTGCATGAAAACTGGATCTTTCTATGCCTATGATGTTTGCATTAAATGATGAAAAATTAGAATGGAAAAAATGATTGTTCCTAAGTAACTGTATGATACTTATAAGTGTTTGCACAGACACTTAAGGATATTGGACAACTAAAATGGAAACCAATTTCCAGGTTCTCTTATTCTGTTACTGCAACAATCAAATTTCAGCAAATTTTTAAAAATTGTATCTCAATAACTTGAAAAGGAAATGTTATATATAGCAAATCTTGATTCTTACTATATGACTTTAGCTAGAAAGTGGCTTTGTAAATCATATGTTCTTGTCAGTATTGTCATTGAAAATATGTGTGTCATGAGTTTTGCCTTATAGAATTCCATGACTTATGTTAATCCGACATACCCTCATGCACAGAAGTGTCCAACATACCTTCATGCCCAAAAGTATTCTTGCTAACTTTCTAGTCAACTGGACAATCTTATTTGCCCAAAAGAAATTAGTCCATTTAGATTATTTTCATGTAATTCAAAACATTGATGGAGCATCTGTTATGTGTAAGCATTGAATGAGATATGAATGAGATGCCTAGAAATGAATGAGAGATTGACCTTGTTTTCAAGGGGCTTACAGTTGAGTGGTAAAAGAAAAATGCAACTAAGTATTATTGTCATAAGAGAAAAATAACCATGGAGAATAAATTATATCCTTTATGTTTTTCTTGAATATTTTGGTCTACCCTGCCAAGAATAATACCCTGTCAATGGGCTTCTTGATGCCAAAGGACATATTTATTTACATTTGAATCCAAGTGTCTAGCTCATAGCCTGGATGCTATAGTAGCTGCCCATATTTGATTGTTGAACTGACAGGATTGAATTGAATTGAATTGAGTCTAGTTGAATCCAATCGAATAGAATGGAATTACTTGTTTGGGATCTTGGTCTTAAGAACCATCAAGAATTAAGGTTGTCAAGTACTGTGGACAATACTTCTCACCTCATGGTTATCTAGTTATTTAATAAAACTGCTTTTATTTTTTTTTGAACTGAAAAAATATATACTAACAATGACTTAGAGGCTGCTGCATTTTGGTCATCCCCAGGCTACATTGATGTCTGTTTTGTGTCTGAGCCAATTATTCCTACAGGCATCAATTGTTGTCAACAAATTTCATTCAGTTTCCTTTTCATCCGCTGAGATTTACTGTGTGTGGAGAAGTCAGCTCTAAGCACATAGTCTTTGAAATACTTTTTAGAGGGAAGCATTCTTCCCCACCTCTATACACTGTCAGTTGACTCCTATTATTCTCTTTACACTTATTTTCAAAGTTTTATTGTGGCTGTGACTTTTATTTTAAACTGCTTCAAATCCATTTTGGAAGTACAATTTTTTTAGTAGTAGAAGGCAGTTTCTGATTTTAGTTTGAAATTCAAACATCTAAAAGAAAATTGCCTCCATATCTATCATTTTTGTCAATCTGCAATATTTAACAAGGAGAGTTTTTTTTTAACTCTATTAGAACTGTTCTGAATAAAATATTTTGTAATGCTTACTGTGTGTAGATTGACCCAATGATGTGAATTGAGCTCATATTCCCCTTCAAGCCCAAGTTCCACTACAGCAAGTGAAAGCAACCTTCTAGATTATCTGTTTGTGAACATTATCCCATCATAAATGGAACAGTTCATGTATAATTAATGCAGCTTCCCTAGACATTTTATGAAATGAAAGACCCAATGAAGAGCTAATTACTCATTCTTTCCTATGCATCATAGGGAAGATAGGAGAGCCTATCAGCCAGCCTTGTGTTCTTGCAGTCCTGTGAGAAAAATGGTGGCATAATGGAGATGAAAGCACATTGGGAAGGAGCTAGCGATTTTCTTACTAGATTGATGGAGCCCTTATAAAGGGTGGCTCATTACAACCTCATTTTGCATGAAAAACACCAAGAGAAAAAGAGCTTCAAATGAAATAGGAGAAGTGAAGCTTACCATAGATATAATTTTTGACAGCCATGGTGATTAACCATTTTAACATGCTGCTATGGGCCTGTGGAATTTCTCTCCTTGGAGATTCTTAAAAAATTGACAGACAACCAACCATCTTGGATGGTTTCAATTAAGAGCAACTGAAAGAAAGAGAGTTTCTGGGGTCTTTTTAAGTTTTAAGAGTCTATAAACAGTCCCTTAAATAAACTGTATATGCTTTACCTTGGCGGTCTGGGGAAATGGAGAAGTAAATCAATTAGAAAAGCCAAGTTGGATATTCTTTCAGCTCTTCAGGATTTATAGCTTTTGTAAAACATACTTCCAATGTATAGTTATTAAGAACAGGTCTGAATAAACGAATGGCATTCTTCATGGGTTAAAACAGACTGTTTTGTAAGAGCTTTAAGTGAAACTTTACAATGAACTTTCATTGTTATTGATTGCAACAACCTTCTTAGATCTAGGTTATTATTATTAAGTCAAGCTTCTTTCCTTTGATATATACTGCCCAGAAAACTACTCCCAGACCTGTCGTTCATTAGTTGTAGGAGTTTGGCAGGCATTTAAACTTCCTGGGTCTAAACGTCCTTGTCCATAGAACAAGGGAATTTTATTAAAATAAATGACCTCTTCTAGCTTTAACAGACTCATAGTCTAGGTTGTATTTAACAAAGCTCTGGTGCTATTCAAGAAAGAACAACCTTGGATTTAAGTAGTGACCAAATAACATTTAGTCTCTTTTATCTTATTTACATAGTTTCTGTTGGTCCCCAGAGATAGGAGATTCCACCCAGTTAAAGTAAGAGGAGCCAGATTCTTCGTTTTGTTTTGCTTTAAGCTGGATTTCAACCCCTCGGGGATGGAATAGAAGCTTAGATATGACCAAATACATGCAGGTCTTTTGGACTAAGGAGCCAAAGAAGCACACGCTTCATGAAAACAGACTGTCATTTTTCTTTGTTAGGATAGACCCACTGACAGTTCTCATCTTTACATTCTCTCACTCTCCTGACTGTGAGGTCAAGTGAGTATGTACATTTTTAGATGCCCTTTATTAAATTAGAGGGGACAAATAAGAATCTACAGGTTTCTAAACCTTCACCAAAAGCCTCTTCCCAGCCTATTACCTTTTCAATTAAAGAAGAGAGTGTATAATTGGTGAATTTGACATCACACTCACCCACCATTAGCATTGTTTTGAGTGGGGCTGGATTTGAGTTGCATCATTTTCATTCCTTTTATTGGTACCCCTTAGACTGCCTGCTATGCATCTGTGTGACAGCTGGTCAAAGTTAGGGGTACAGTCACTAGCTGTGGGAAAGCTTTTCTCTTTGAAACTAATTGGTACATGTGGGGTTTGACCTTATGACCCTGGCCTCATTAGTACCACTAAGCTAATAGGCTACAGATATTATTAAAGAGAAGCAATGTGTTTTTATATTGACCCCAAATGCTTGTTCCTGTCTTTAAATAGTAAAGGACCAGTTTCTGCAACCATAGGACCACTAAGAAAATGATGCAAAATTAGAAAATAATTTGCATTTTTTTCTGACATGCTAATGCCCTTCAAGACCATCTCCCTCCTGATGGAGAGTTATAAACAGGAGAGCGAAGGGTTCAAGACCAAGGGCATGGCCTCTATTGCCAAACACTTCAGGTTTGAACCCCAGCTCTGCAACTTACTTGGTGAGTGATCTTGAGCAAGTTATTTAACCTGTTTGTTCCTCAATTTTCTCATCTGTAAAATGGGGCCTGCCTTATAGAGTTGGTGTTAGGATTAAATTAGTTATTATATTGGAATATGTTAACTTAGAATATTGCCTGGCACACAGTAAGCACCACATATGTGAGCTATTACACTTAATTATTCTCTTCTGAGATCAATTGCAGAATCTATTGCCAATGCTGAGGTATATGAACGGCCCAATTAATTACACACTCATTTTCTCTCCTTGGCGGCAGCTGATTAAAAACCTATTATGAGTAGTAAGAATTATGTAGTAGTATTAGTAATAATCACATGAAGAATGTTATGTTTATCTAGTATATTTACTTTTTCAAAATCCAGTTGTATCAGCTCTCTCACTTTGTCTTGACTCCACTTTTGGTGGGCAAAGATTATTGCTTCATGGGACAAATGAGAAATGTGAGACATGAACATTTTGTAACTTACCCCACTGAATGGTTCCAGAAACAAAGCTAGGTTCTCTTGCCTCCAAGAAGTGTGTAGCATAGGGAGATGCTTCCAAAATCCCAGTAGTCTTCTGGGAGATAAGGAGCAAGAATCCCAGGGTGACTAAATTGATTTTGAACACTTTCTTGAAAAGAGGCATGAGAGAGATATCTATGTAATGACCCTATATTTTAGCTTCTGGAAAAATTGAGGAAATTCTAAGAAAACTTCCTCAGGATGCACAAGAAAAGTCTTCTTTTAGAAGAGGCTAATTAGAGGCTGCTGCTGTACAAGACCCTTCACAGACTGAATTCAGACAGAACACTGCAACTCACCTGTATACACCAGGATATGCAGTAGGATCTGGGGAGCTTCTCTTCTGCCCAACTTCAAATCTTCTTCCTCTTCCTGCAAACCTCAAGTGCTTCATTACTTGCAACTATTTGTTTAATTGGTCTTTCTCAAAGACCTACTAAAAAAATGCTGTTTAATTGGACCAAACTTTTTCTTGGGGTGCTATTAGAGTCGTAGTAATGGGAGGTGGTCACAGACACCATAATCCAGGCAGGAAGAAACTTCCCCAAAATAAAGGAGATGTGGGAGCAGCCAGTGGTTGGGATGCAAGACCGCCACCTTTGCTGGTATTACTCAACGAGCTGTTTGAAGACCATTGGTATTGAAATGTATCCTATCTCCAGTGGCTGGTAGGGGAGACATTTTGGATCCAGGAGAGAATTTTGGCATTCTGCTAATTCAATGGGCCTCCAATACTTTGACCAGACATCTTGTGTCGTGCCATCATTGCCCAAGATCTCCATTAGAGCTGACTTCATCTCTTCAGCAGCCTTCCTTCTGGTTTTACAGCCCACACCACAGATTCAGACACAGTGAAAATAGCCACAAGGTCTCTCCCAAGGAGATGTCTCATTGTTCTCGATAACAGCCTGCAAGGGCTTTGCTCTTTTGTGCAGCCAGACATCTTTGACAACCCATGGTGGCAAAAAATCGTTTTCGCATTGAGCTGCCGCCCTGGCAGAGTTCCATCGTACACCTCTCCATGAGACATCCCAAAGAATTACTTTAGGTTGCCTGGAAAGTTCAAACCCCCAGGCCTTATTAGCTGTTAGACTAAGGAGATGACAACACAACATTTTGTTTGTCTTTATCTATACATGAGATCATGTTTAAAACATAGCAAAGAGGTGTTATTTGACAAGCAATTCCCTAACTGCAGTAAGTTGTATGCCTATTTAATGCATTGTTTAGTCTCACATTGGCTAAAGCCACTTAAAGAAGCACTTGGCAAGCTCTAGCTTTTCATTCTTGGCATAGCTGCCCCTCTTACTTTTTCACTGAACCTTAAATACCAAGAAAAACCCTTCACTTACTTTACATCTGGCATATTGCTTTCTGCAACTGGCCAGAACCTTTGCATGTGGCCCTCTGCATTTGTCCTAAGGTAATTAATGGCTTTGCAATATTTGATCATCAGCAGCACAGACACAAAGAGAAATTGTGCAACCAGCAGAGACCAAACAGCCTCTTTTAAATTAAAATCTTTTGCATTAAATGCTCAGGCATTCTGCAGGAATAAAGATTTCCATGCCAAAAAAAAGAGGGGTCAAAAAGAGGGGAGGAAATACCCAAGAACCTGATTATTGATTAAGTATACATCTCTGTAATCTCTCCCTCTTAAAACTACCCGATTGTTCAAAGAAAATAAAATTGAAGATTGCTACAAACTTAGAAGTCCTTGAAAAATAAACTTGTCAATATTATGCAATCTAGTCATGTATCAAAACTGCACTTTTACCCCATACATTCATGTACATGAAAATGATAATAATAAGAATTAGCCAAATGCTGACTGAAATCCAGAGAGAAGTGACATGTGCAAAGTCACACAGCTAATTAGTGACAAAGGGAGAAGATACTGTGATTCTCTTTTCTCATCCCACTGCAGTATTCCTCCATTTAGCAACAATTAGCCATGTCTGTGTCAAAGTTACCTGGTAAATTAAAATGACCAAGAGAAGCCACCAATCAAATTCATCCAAATGAGCATAGATCTTGTTGGTTCCTTCCTTTCAATAAATTCACCTGAGACTTAGGTTAACACTTTTGCTCCCTCGCTGTGGAAATTTGTACAAACTAAAGTGATTCCCTGCCTGTCTCCTATATGGTGTGCAAAGCCTTCACATGTACTTTGGGCATTCCGTCCACTTAAGGTCATAATTTGACTATTATTGTATATTATACTATTCTGACTCTATGGTCACTCTCTCCAATGTCAACTTTGGTAGAAATGCTTTGGAATGACTTAGCAAAGCTGCGCTCCTGGAAAATCTGAAACAGTCTGACGAGTTGTTGGATCAGCTTTTTTTTTCTGGAGATTTCTCTGACTGTCCCAAACCAAAAGAAATTTACACCTGATTTTTTTGCAGACTCCCAAGCAAATACTCTATGAATCTCTTCTGGTTTTCTTCTTTCATCTCTGGTCTTTATGAGGTACTAAAAGGCTCTTTGAGGGACCCTTTTAAACTTTGAAAATTTGTCAGACATAGAAGCAATCCGGAGAGTATTGCTGGGAAGATGGTACTACCTCTGTGCCATTTACCCTGATGAAATGGGTCTTTCATCAGAGGCAAGTGATTTAGAAAGTCTGCACTGAGCCAACCCACATGCAGCCAACTCCTGATTACCTGTAAAACTGGGGAAAGGAGCACCAAGACTTAGAATTCTGGATTAAATGGATTTAAGGACACTATAGATTTTTCTTCTCCCTCCTTGCTGAACCTATCCCCAACCTCTTTATGAGACCAAGTGATGTGGGTTTTTTCATTTTGGTTTTTGTTTTTTTGAGACAGGGTCTCAGTCCATTGCTCAGGCTAGAGTGCAGTGGTGTGAACAAAGCTCACTGCAGCCTCAACCTCCCAGGCTCAAGTGATCCTCCTACCACCTCAGCCTCCCCAGTAGCTGGGACCATAGGCGCATGCCACCACAGCTGGCTAACTTTTGTATTTTTTTGTAGAGATGGGGTTTTACCATGTTGCCCATGCTGGTCTCAAATTCCTGGGCTCAAGTGATCTGCCCGCCTCAGTCTCCCAAAGTGCTGGATTTACAGTCATGAGCCACTATGCCCAGACTGTTTTAAAATCTTACCTTATTCTCATACTCCTCAGTCAACTTTCCCCAAGCGCCATTGGCAACAGAGTTTTTCAGCCTCAACACTATTGACATTTTGGGTCAGACTATTTTTTGCTGGGAGAGGGAGCTGCCCTGTGCATTATACGATAACTAGTAACATACTTGGCCTCTATCCACTAGGTGCCAGCAGTCCCTTCCTCCCAGTCACGACCATCAAGAATGTTTGCAGACATTGCCAAATGTACCCCTGGGGGCAAAATCACCCCCGAGTCGAGATTCCTAGACTAGACAAGTCTCCAGAAGAGAGGCAATTAGAGAGATTGGAAAACCATGAGTGAAAGTAACACATCAATTCTCAGTCACTGTTTAATCCAGAGCCTATGGTCCATTGCCTGGAGCAAGCCATGAGAAGAGTCATTGTGGTTTTGAAAGCTTTTCTCTGAAAAATAAAAGTTCTTCCTATAGGCTATTTAAAACCTTTTGCAGGCCTTTTCTTTCTTGCCTTATAGCCATGGAATTCATGTATTTTAGTAAGAGAAGGAAGGGCAGGCAGAAATGGTTCAGAGTAGAACCCTGTGCTTAGAAGTTTGATTGAGACCACCTGGAGCAAATTAAAAAGAAGTTGGTTATCTTTATTTATTTATTTATTTATTTATTTATTTATTTATTTATTTATTTATTTGAAACAGAGTCTTGCTCTGTTGCCCAGGCTGGAGTACAGTGGTGCAATCTCGGCTCACTGCAACCTCTGTCTCCTAGGTTCAAGCAATTCTCCCGCCTCAGCCTCCCGAGTAGCTGGGATGACAGGCATGCACCACCTTGCCCGGCTAATGTTTGTATTTTTAGTAGAGACGGGGTTTCACCATGTTGGCCTGGTTGGTCTCGAACTCCTGACCTCAGGTGATCCGCCTGCCTTGGACTCACAAAGTGCTGGGATTACAGGCGTGAGCCACCGCACCCAGCCAGTTGTCTTTGACCTTAACATATGTGGCTGTTCCCTTGTCAGGCACATAATAAATAAACTCAATTCCTCACAAGTGAAAAAGCCTGGTTCAAAGGTAATGACCAAATTTTTCTCCTTTTTTCTTGTGCCTTTCCTATCTGAGTCCTATCACAGTCATTCAATTGCTCAGAAACAGTCAGAAGTTCCCCATTTGGGCCTGACCCAGCTCCCCTACTGAACAGTTCTATGACCTTGGAGAAGTCACTTAACGTCCTTGAGCCTTACATAGCTTATCGTAAAATGGGAATAAAAATACACTTCTGAGTTGTTCTGAGGCTCAGCTGTAGAAGTGCTTTGGAAACGAAGGGCCATCCAAATAGTCACAACTGATGAACTGAATTGGATGCTTTTTGCCTTGTATCCCAAATCATGGCTCACAAATTAGATCAATGCCATGATTTCTGTAAAACCTTAGGCAACAATTATAATCTGGAAAAGTTAATTTGGCAGTGTATCTTCTCAACCTCATTAATTAAAAAAGAAAAGCATGTTGCTGCCTCCTGTTCACATATCACTTTACATTGAGACCACCCAAGAGTTAATTAATGTATCTTCAGAATGCTCACTCAGTATCACTATTTCCTCTCATTGGAAGAAGCAGCAAAGAGATGGGGCCTATCATTTTACCACACTGAGCTTGCTTAAAGACTTTGTTCCCCACGAGGTGATTGGGTAGTCACTGAGAGATATCACATATAGGCAAAAGATTTCTATTCTCTCAAGTCAGCTATTGGTGATTTCTGCTTAGCCTCAAAAAGCAGCATTCAGCAGAGGAAATGTACTCACTAATCAGAAAAAGTATCTTCGCACTCTCAAGTTGTACATCCAAACTGTTTTCTTATCACAGCCTGACTTAGGGGAATTAAATTTTTTTGTTTGAGAATGGCTTTGATGAAATCAAAATTGTGAGTTTTATCACCATATGGACCAGTGACCCTGTGGTTCTTCTATCCCAGGGGCCTCACATCCCATGGCTCCCAGAGACACAACATTTGATGCAGTTGTAACACTTTTGAACCACACAATCAAATACTGGCTACTGCTACTGCTGCTACTGTAAATTTTCATTCTCTCTATTTTATCTTGAGCTTTTTCAGAAGAACACAGACTAAGTTTTAAGGGTTTTCCCCCCTCCTGTTTTTCACAGCATCTAGTATGGAGCACTTAATAAAATTTCTTGATTTGATATTGAAAATGTCATTCCAAAAGCTATTTCCTTCTTCCAGTCCCCAGAATATATACCATGACTTACAATTTGCTACTGACATCATTTTGGATCTGAGATTGAAGATATAGGAGAAAAAAGTCAACAAGTCTACTTGAGATGTCACCTCTTAGGACCCCTTCACCACTGCTCCACTGAAAATGCCTAGCTCAAGATTAAGCTAACTCTAGTCAACAGGTAATTTTCAAAGGCTACTGGACCCTCACCAATAAGGTCTACTTATGAAAGTGAGAACAGAACCTCCACTCAGTTCCTCTCTACTTCTATGTGAGTTATTTAAAAGGAGTAGTGTTGGGCAAGGGAAGGTATGCAACAACTGGTACATCCCTGGCTAAGGTATGAATCACAGCTGGAGCACCAGCCCTTAGAGAACACTACAAGTGGTTTCTATTTGCCAATGCAGAATTGAAAAATTAGAGAGCTAGAAAGAACCATATAGAGCAATCTGATCCAGTGCTCTCACTTCCCAGATGAAAGGACCAAGGTCCAGAAAAAACATGATGTGCATGAGGTCACAAAAGTTGGTCGGAAAAGCTGGAGCTACTGGTCGGAAAGCCAAGGCTACATTTCAGTCACCTCATGCTTGGTCCAGAGCTCTTTGCACAGCTGGACCCTTTAAACTTAACCTCAATAAACTCATATGAGGGTAGTGCTCATAACCACAGTCCATACACTCAAAGTGAACTGCTATGTCATATTCTTCTGGTGTAACACCTCAGAATAGTTTCTAGAAAATTAAGCTCTTAGCCATTCATGAAATCTTCATTTACTAATTTCTACCATCCATCGGATAACATCATGAAGTCTCTTTATCCCAAATCTGATCGACCTGACTGTAGGACTGTGTACCTTAATAAACCCTAGTAGTTTGAGGGATTGGAGGCTTACAAAAGAAATAAAGGAAAAAGCTGATTTTAATTTGAAGTCAAGCCAGCATGTTGCATTGCTCTCTAACTCAGAAGTGACCCCAAACAAAAGGAATTATCGATGTGTTGTCTGTCTTCACACATTCCTAACTTGCTAGTCTTCCACGAAGATCTTCCATGAAGAAGCTTAAATTTTCCTACGTAGTTTGAGTTTTATGTTTCTTTCCATTAAAGTTTCCAGCCGTTCATAGACATATTTAGTTTGGCAGAAGGTAGTGGTGACTCACGGAATGAAGAAATTTGAAGGCAAAGCTACTGAAAATGGATCTAATTTCTTTTTGGGGTAATTTGGGAGCGAGCAATTGATAATTTGTCTAATTTTCCTGGTTTCATCAGCTGCCACACTGCCAAATATATGTTCCATATGGATGCTTTGTTATTCCTGAAACATATAACAAATTTCAGCTGCGACTTTATCTAATATGGTCAAAGGGTAAGACTATTGTTGGCTCATTTTCTCATTGTTTTTGGCTGGACACCCTCAATCAATGGCTATTGAGTGAAAAAACAGGATCATATTGAAACCATTTTCAGCATGTTGCTTCCTATGGATCCAACCATTTCACTGTGAGTTTGTCAAGCACAGCAAATGTTCTCTATTAAAGGGATGACTGTGTTCTCAACATGGATGCGACTGCCAGTTAATTGCATTCACCTTATAATTCCAGTCTCTCAATTTGGTGTAGAGATGGTTTTGGCTCTCCAAAGATTCCTTCTTTTCTGCTGATTCTTACCTCCTAGTATGGAACAGATATTTGAGGATGAATTTTGAGAAGATCAATGACACACATACAATAAGCATCATTTCAGGCTTCCCTTAAGTTAGACAGTCTGTGGGCCCTGAGTCATATGAATCATAAGACTTGTGAAAGGTATTAGTGCCACAAATCTGGCTGGCATTTCTGTAGATTATCGGTGCTTTGCATGCAATTATGAAAATCTCTCTTACCAGATAAGTCAGATGGGGGTTCAGTAACATTGCACAAAAGCATCATGATGTGTAAGCTAAAGACAAAGAAAGGCTTACTTCTGGCTGGTTCTGAAGTAGACACTGGCCACTTAGTGTTTTAAAGTCATTCAGTGGATGATTGGTTTCAATGAATATAAATGATTTTGATCTCCCTCCCCAACACACATATCAAAAACAACAGTAATAATAAAGAACAGAAAAGTCTATCTCTTAGAAAAACCAGATTTGAAAACTGGCTAGGGAAAGTGTTTTGTGGCAAGAAACAATCTCTTGTATCTCTTGTTTACAACGGGCTAATTGGTTTGATTAACAAATTGTCTAAGGGGAATGTATCAATGTTGCTTAGGAAAAACAAAGCTTAGTGTGTGAAAATACACATAGACATAGAGTCTTGCTACTCAAAGAAACCTGAGGGCTTTTTAGAAATGCAGAGTCAGGGGCCCTGACCCCAAACCAATTAAATCAAAATCTGCATTTTAACCCGATACCCACAGGATTTGGATGCGTGTTAAGGTTTGAGAAGCCCCATCTAGAGAATGGCAGGAAGTAAGAGGTACTTGCTAATTCGTGGCTCACATTTGATAAGACAGAGTACAAAAAGATCAACTGTCACTGCAGATTTCAAAAATGATGTTAAGGTCAAACCTGCTTGTGGCCATTAACAATATATATGCTGATTCACTGGTATTTGGTCCAGATTCCCTCAAGTTGGTGGAACCTTTCCTCAGAGGAATGATAGAACTGCTCCAAGGATAACCCCATGGCCTGACCTTCTGTGAACTGGAAATTGGAACTTCTAATTGCTGTAGCTGCAATTTCCAAGCCCATCACTGGGGCCAGGAACTGAGCCCCAGTCCTTAAGATCTTGCCAGTTTCTTTTTCAATAGTTACATTTTTCAAGAACAGCCAAGCAAGAGTGCTTCAAAAAAAGAAAAAAATCTAATTGCATTAAGTGGACGAATGTGTGTTTTACTCATATCAAATTTCATCTTTTGTTATGCTCAGCCAGATTCTAATATTATTTCTTATGGGTCTGAGTTAATTAGTTCTATGAGGGTTCCCACTGGGATTTTAGAGAAATGGTTTTAAGGTAAGAAAAGTCTATTTTGGTCACCTATCAGAAGGTGAAGGGTAAACTTTAAAACTGCTTTTCAAAGAGATACAGCTGGCTTCGGGTCTTTACGAGGGTCATTCTGAAACTCAAGTTCCCCAGCCTGAGCCCATTAATGAAGGTCATTAATGAAGGCCTTGATATCTGAAGGGTGTGCTTCTTCAAAGGGACATTGTCCCACAGCAGGGCAGGTAAAGTGAGAGAGGACCAGTTTTTAACTTGTATTTCTTGAAATGACAATAAAAAGAAAGGGGGGCCTTTGGATTGGAGACTTAGAAAATCTTGGATTTACTCAGAACTCTACCACTAAATAACTTGGTAGATTTGATTATTAATCCCCTGGGTCTCAAAACCTGTTGCCATTGAAACAATGATACGTAAATGAACCAAGACATTCCACCTTTGAAATGTGATAATTGTGATCTCTCTTCCCAGTTTGGCAGGGAAAAAAAGTCACTAATATAGTTTTCACATTGTTTTCACACATCTTTTACTTGAACTTTAAGAACATGCCACTTCTTGTCTATATTCTTGACAAGGATAAGATAGTATTGGACTTAGACCAAAACTATATATTTGATTTGTTTAGATTTAATGCATATTATTTTAATACAGTGATATCCCTGACTCATTGGCACTCTACCCATTGAATTAATGTTGACAAGATAATCTCTAATACCTTTTCCAGAATGTTTACTGCTGTTCATGAAAATCTCTAAAATCCCTTAAGAAATCTGACGGATATGGAGATTATTGTTTGTTTCTTTGTTAGTATTCTCTCATTCCTTTTGCTGGGTGCTTTAGTAAAATGTATGGAAGTAAAATTATAGCTCTGCCCAATTTAATTGTAGAATCATCAGCTGGGCACCTGCTCTGTGTTTAGCAATACCCAAGGGAGAATGATGCCATCCCTTCAAAGAGGTTTCTTTGTGGGGGGACCCATGAAATTCCAATCATACAACTGCAGGCTTGAGTCAGATGGGAATAGTTCTCCCCTATGGTATCCCAGTCCACACCATCTATTGAGTGTCTTCTGGTTAGCCAAAACTAATGATGAAAGAAATGAGTAAAGCACAGCTCTATGCACATGGAATTGATATTCTAGAGCAATGTCACAAAACGTTTCCACTCCCACCCCACCTGCATCTAGTCCACAGACATGTTTTGTTTGGTCCACCCAATATGTATTTGTTTTAATTTTGGAAATATAAAAATCAAGAGATTATAAGCAAAAACAAAAGATTAACAACTTCTCTTATGAAAAAAATGGTGCAATCCAGCATGGCTGAGCCTGCATTCTTGAGTGGCAGTTTTTGGTCACCCTTTTATGTGAAGTGTGTGCCCTTGCAGGCTTAATTTATTCATTATATACCTATCTGGCTCAGCATACATTGACCTATGCCACTCCTGCTCCAAATATGCAAGATCTCGTTGGATATTAACTATACGCTTGTCTATTTTATTACGTTCAAGACATATCTATTGCCTTTGTTCTATCACATAGTTACCAGACTAACTGCTGCTGGTTTATATAAATAAGACACAAACCTCATCTTTATAGAACTGTATAGCCCTCCCCAAACAGAGCAAGGGTACAGCTGAGCTAGAATTTAAAAGACAATCAAGTCATTCTGGTGAAGGAAGAAGGCAGATTTTAAAAACTGAACATTCAAAAATTTAGACATCATCAAAGGGATATTTCCTCAAGAGCAAGTGGAGTTTTTAGCCGGTGACCTTGTAAAGCAGGAAAGGCCAGGTTCCCAGCCAATGCAATGGATGGGTTGCACAATCACCCTAAGTGTTGAGCACAGTGGAGACCATCAACCCAACTCTTCAGACAAAACAAGCTGTAGCCTTACAGTTTGTTTTGCACCGAGATCCATAACAGCTGTTACCTATTTACTGGAAGATCCTTCCAGTCCCATCACTATTTAGATCCTCCTCATCGCCCACCAAAACTATTGCAACAGCCTCCTCCATGATCGTGCTATGTGCAAGACTGCTTGAGGCCAGCCGTCCCACCCATGAGATTAATCTTTCCAAAGCAATTCTTATCACTTTATCCCTTTTCTAAACAACATCCAGGGACCATTCATGGCTATGTAAATTGAGTGAGTCCAAACTCCCCAATTTGACAGTAAGGCATTTTACGTAAGGTCTCTATCTGACTTTCTTAATGTATCCCTACAGCAGAGCTCACAAACTGGCAATCTGTAAGTTGTATCCAGTCCTCATAAGTGTTTTTGTGTAGTGAATACAGTGTTTTTACTAAAATTTGAATTATCTGTCAGTATTTACTAAATGACTCTCCACTTCATATTGGCACATGCTTTCTGCTTTACCAAAAACCCCCCACCACTCTCTATTGCCTTGCTCTGGTCTACTTCACTTGCCTGCATGACTTGCTGTAGTCATTGAGACATTGACTTGATTGACTCACCAAGTTTACAAATGACCCCCTACATATTCCAACATCCGACCTATGTGACTTATTACCACCTATTTTATTTTCCTGGACTTTCCTCTCTTCTTCTCTCAAATGTCACCTCCTCTGTAAAATCTTCTACCAGATGTCAACCCTCTTTCCTCTGAGAGAGAGAAGCAATAATATTACTCTTACAGCACTTTGTTTTTGGTTTTTTTTTTTTTTTTTGGTCAGTGTTCCTACCATCTGCTTAACTATAAGCTCTGCAAAGGTGAGGGCTATGTTTTATTAATCTCTGTAAGTTCCCACTTACTCCCTCATACACTGCACTATCCATGTCTGCATGGAATTAATTGTTATTCGTTTTTATGTGGCCTTACAGGCCTAGATTAGTTATGTGTGCCTTTAGGAAGGCAGTAACTCATTTGAAATGTAGACATGGCTGAGTCGGAAGGCCTCCATGGACTTTTCGGTATTTTCAAGTACAGAGTGAGAAGTGCTGTATCTAAAGGAAACTACTAAGGGAATTTAGGTAAACAGAACATGATCCTTTTTGTTGGAAGCTGGCTGTGATCTCCAGATTAAAACACTATTGCATGCCTCATGAGGAGCATCAGCAAATCCTTTAGTATGCACAACTTGTGTTAGAATTGCAGGAGTCAGTCTATTCCTGGGGGCTGGGCTGAGATAATGAATTGAGTCAATGCCAGGTAGAGCACAAATACGCTAGAAAAAATGAAACAGAAAGAACTCCGTATGCTGCATTCAAAAGTGTCAATTTCTAAAGTTTCTGAATAACTAGAAAGGGGCTCGCATTCCTGTTTGCCCTGCAGAAGGATTGTCAACAAGTTACAAGATTATAGAATCAAATCTCAGGCACCAGAAATGGATCCAACTTAGTGAATTTTGACTGGAATGACCAGTTGCAAAATATTGACCAAGAAGAAGAAAGTCATTATTTTTCAATGTCATTAAATTCAGCAATGTTTTATGGATAACTGTGTACCTAGAATTGTGCTAGAAACCAAGGGGAAGCTGAAACGAAAAAGCCAGAGCAGAAAACTAACGTTCATGAACACCCATCATGCTCCCAAAAAGTAACATACAAATCTGCCTTAAGGTTACCTTCAATCTGGTTAAGAAAACAATTCTTACCCATATGTCAGAATAATCATCATAAACCTATAGAATTAAAGTAAGTAATAATGTATAAAAATAACATTTTTTTCTCTTATTCTTCCTGGATATGGCAGATCTCAAAATATGTTTACTGAATTTCCAAAAGAATACAAAAAATTTTCATCCTTCTCTCTATATATACAGTCTTGTGAAATCGTCCACTAAAGTTTAAAAGTAGGTGGAATTTACACCTTCATGTACTCTCTGTCTGCCTGGGTCCTTGGCTAGGTAGAGGCATGGTTGTGTTCTATAGACTGAGAGAGGCCAGAAATACTGGGCAAACAAGCCGCTTTGACTTTGAGTTGATGAAAAGCTTAGGAAAAAATCCCTCCTTTTGTAGAGCTGCCAGGCCAGTCTTTCCAACTCAAGTTCAATGATGCGTCAAAATTCTACCTGGAGTCATGAGGTTCCCCTCCCATCTTATCCTCTGTATCCCCCGGTCCAGATAGGATTTGATGCAGATAACATGGGCACTGTTGGTTGCTTTTCTTTTAGCATGAGGATTCCTCAAAACAGAGTTTTGTTAATAAATTAAGCAGAATTTGAGTGAATTTAAGCAGAGTTTGAGAATTTAAGTGAATGTCTGGGTATATTTGAATAATATTTATTTTGCTATCAGCATGACAACATTGGATATCAAAAAGAGTTCTGAATATGAGGTGAGGAGACCTGGACACCCTGAAAAGCCTTGAATTCGCTGGTTGGCTGGGTTCTGTCAGGCAATTCTCTCCCTTGTCAAATGGGTACAGTCAGCCCTGCCTGCCTACCCAAAGCAGTTTTTTTAGTACCAGGAGAGATAATACCTGTGGAATTGCCACAAAATTCTTAGAAAATCAGGACCCGCTACCAGTTTCCAGAGGTAATTTGAGTGAAGTGTTGTTAGAATTGAGGGAGGGCTAGGCTAGAGTACATCCTGAAGTTGAAAGTGGGTTAGCCAAGATGCATTCATGCCCCTTCCTTTGGAACGTGGGGACTGTCATTCCTTTTTGGGTCATGTATGATTTCTGTGGACTGGAATTACAAGGGCAAATGTAGGAATTGCTGTAATATTGGTCAGTACTTTTCACATTCCGCCATCCCATGAGTAGGGATAAGAGGTTAATTAAATACATCTCTCGGGCAGCAGAAATGATCAAGGCTGTCCCTGGAACACAGTTGCTTCAAAAAGTAGGCTTTTGTTTCAGGGAAGATCTCCCACAGAGAAGCATGGAACGCCAAAGAGAACTATAAATAGGACTATCATTTATGTCAATTATAAATAGATTTGTTCCCTTTTGATTAGAAGATTAATGCTAGCTGAAACTCTGTAGTTGAGCAGAAATGAGGGAAAAACTTCTGACAAAATATTATTACATGCTAACAGTTAGATTTGATACCTTTTCCTCCCTGAAGTATTTTCTCTGATTTTCCCTAAATGAAGACTTTCTTCTCGTTTGAATTTATGTCCAGTTTAGTCTTTGAAGTGCGTTTGTTCATACTTCTTAGCTCCTCAGGATCTCTAGATTAGACAATACACACACACACACACACACACACACACACACACACACACACACACCTTTTTTAAATGGAAAAAATTGAATAAGTTGAATGTCCGTGTTAGGAATTTAAAAGGGGGCAAAACTTTCTCCTCAGATGCTCCTAAGATGGCCACTACGCCCTCCTCCAAAATTCTGCTTTCTGTGAGGGAGATGTTTTACCAAATTACCATGTACATATGGTTCCTTAGCAACCCATATTAACACTGAGCATAATGACCAAAGAGATAAAGGAAAAGATCAGTAGAGGAAGGGCCATAAGCCATCGCTGCTGAGCACCTGCCTGATATGGAGCCATATTTTTTCATTCTCCAGGAAGCGATATCCAATGGGATCCCAACTCTTTACATATGGTTAACCAACTTCTTGTCCTTGATTGTGTTCATGACTTGTCTCTTCCCAGGGCCAGAGAGAGAAATGGCAACTTCCCATCCAAGCTGACTGCCAGGTTCAACCTGGGAGGAGAGATTGCAGGGTGCCTCAGTCCTCTACTGGACATACTAGAATGCTGGTCTCTTCCCTGCTAGGATGACAGGATGGGGAATTTTGCCTGAGTCTGCCCAACTTGCCTCATGGAGGCTTTTGATTTCAGCTACTGCAAACTAAGCATTAAGGAAAGGGGTGCAGGTAGAGACTGGAAGAGAGGGTAGATGCAATGAGTGGAGACCTCTGTGTGGAACTCCTCCCCCACTTGAAATGCCCTATTCTGGTTTCGCTGTGAGATATTTCAAAATGAACTTAACTTGTCAACTGAAAATGTACTGCCTGACCTGAGATTTCTGGAAAAACATGAATCAGAGGTTTGGAAAGTCTGGGTTCTAACTCATAAAGAAATATATTGAATATTTATAAAGATATAACATTCTTAGAACTGTTTCTGTGTGTGACCTCTCTCTTCCAAGTGGCATTGCTCAACAGCCCAGCTCTCATCAGAAGGCTGACATTATGCTGTTGTGCAACTTGCAGCCATAGCAATGTCACTTTGTTAACTGCACTTGCTGTGCATTCAACTATTGAGAAGCCAAACAGCTTTAAGTTTGAGTCAGAAGTTCTAGGCAGGATCATTCTTGTGAAACCTGAACCCTTAGTTCTTCTAAAAAGTCAAAATACATTTGGATCTTGCAAATCGAGAATGTCAGAGCCAATATTTTCCTCTTTAATCAAAACCCAGGAATGGCACGGTGGGTGGCTGGGGCCATGTCCTCCCTTCTTCCCTTTCCCTTCCCCCACACTTCCAGCCAAGATTCTCCAGGCTTGAGAGAGCTGATGTGGAAAAGCAGCTCTGGCCCTTGTGTGTTCAGCCCTGAACCTCTCTGCCAAGCACCACATTAATGGTGGACACTAACGCATTGTGATATAGAGGCATGAGCCTGAAATCACCAATTTGTCCCCAGACTGATAGGTAAACAGCAAATAGGAAAGCCTTCTTCTTCCCTCTCATCCCTGCATTCCCAAATATTTGGGGCTCTATCCAACAGCCTGGATCTGCAGCAAACATTTGCCTCTGACTCAATTGACCCCTTCATGGCGAATCTTACATCCACATTGGATAACTCTACTGGCTCAATCTATGAACAATTTTCAAAATTGAGGAAATAAGGCCCTTTTCCATTCTTAAATAGGCTGGCCTAAATATTCTTGGGAGCTTCATGGAGAGTGTCATGCCCTGGCTTATTCGCAAAGGTGGCAATGGCCTTCAGACTCAGCTAAGACAAACATTGGCACATGCAGGTGGCCATCAGATGTTAATGTTTATCTTGTTCCTCTGTATTGCTGTTATCTTTCAGGGAAATCTAGGAATAGCAGAAAGATGAATCTTTCCTTCCCCATGGGGCATGTACTTCCTTCTAGGGAGTAGGAAGAGAAAACCCTCTCATTCCCTAGACCTCATGAGTTACTCTGGAGGGTTGGTAGTAGCCATGGTTAATGGCAAGCTTCAGAAGGGAAGAGCTTCCAAAACCTTGCCATGATGCCTGTGAAGTGCTGTGAGAGTACTCATGTTTCTCTGGAAGTCACATCATGTGTTTAAGGTAGGCCTTGTACAGGGAGGATTTTGATAGATGGAAAAATTCTGGACACAGAAACTAACTCAATAGAAGAGCACATAGACAGCAAAGTAAGGAGTATGTTTGCAGGTGCATGAGACATCCAGCCAGTTGTTTGGGTGTTAGGCTAGTGCAGAGCAGTGCAAGATAAGCCCAGAAAGATAGGTTGGCACATCTATATTGAAGAATTATAATAGCTAGCACTTTCCAAGCTCTTATATGCATGACACTGTTTTAAGCACTTACATGTATTAACTCACTGAATCACCAAACAACTCTGTGAAATAGGTACTATCATTATCTTCACTTTACAAGTGAGGACACTGAGACACAGAGAAGTACAGAATGTGATTAAAGGCACATAGATTCTAAGTGCAACGAATCCAGGGTTTTAACTCAGGCAGCCTACTCAAGCACGCATGGTACCTGACAACCTTGACAGCATGCTCTATAGAGCATACATTTATTCTTTGCTTCTTCTTCCATCCCCACATCCCTAGCCATGGAAATGCTGAGTAACTTTTAAGGCCAAACTCATCTCTTTCCTAGCAATGCCTCTTCCAACTTCATCATAAGAGAAACTTATCTTTCCCTGTTAGAGGCCTCTCTTTTTTTGTACATACAGTAATTTTCCCAACCTTACTTATATTAGAGTTAAGAATGTGTTCATCTGTGAACTTCTTCAGACAAGAATTGGCATCATATTCCTCTGTATGTCCTCAGAATCTGGGACAGTGATTTGCATGTAGAAAGTGCTCAATTAACATTGCCTGAGTATAATTGAATACCGGAGGCCACTAACTGAGGCCTGAAGAAAAGTTTCCTAATCCTACCATACCTCTTTAAGATCATCTTTCCAAATTCAAAACAAAGCAAAACAAACAAACAAATGCCAAGCTCTATAGGGAACTCTCCCACTCCTGAAAACCTACATCCTATAAAAAACACTTTGGAAAAGCACAATGTAGACCCTCCTAGGCCACACACCTAACACATTATTCCAGCTTTAGCCTTGCTTGACTGTAAAAGAATGCTAATGGCAGCAGTGCTTCTAAAGGCAAAAGCACAGCCACACATGAATGATGTATCTCACTAAGAACTGTGGGGTTCCAGGATTTCTGAGAAGACTCCTTTCATTCTGATAAAGTTCTCAGCTTCTCGACCCCCAAATCCTAACTCCCTGAGGAAGATTCAAAAACACCCAATTTAATTAAAGCCTTTTTTTTTCTCATATTGAAGTCACAAGTTTTCACAGGGTGCAACGTGTTGCTAACCCAGCAATTTCCAGACAAGGCTGCTCAGCAAAGCAGGTGCTGTTTTCTTTTTAGGGCCCATGTCCTTAAATTGCTTTGCTGCTCAGATGTCTCAAAGGTCCAAGTTTCTCTGGCAGATTCCAGCCCAAGCGCTCCTCTTTGACCCAGCTCTTTCTGGCTCAGAAGACTTCTTTTTCCCATAGGTGCAGTTAGCCAATAAGAAGAGAATGTCTTATCTTTTTAAAAAGTACACTTCCAATGTCTTCATTAGTTATCTTCAAACTCAGAGGGTCAATAATCACAGCAAGAGGAGCACCATGCCTTCTGGAAGGATGTCAAATAAGCATGCTGAATGGCCTACAGTTTTGTAATTGGCAAGACCCCCCTAACACAGATTGAGTGTTACAGATCTGCAAAGTTCAGTGCTAAAATATGATTGATTAGTGTGCAAATATTTACTGAGCATCTATTTTATGACAGGCTCTATAACAGATGCTAGGGATATGACATTTGTATGAGTCCATTCTCACACTGCTATAAAGAACTGTCCAAGACTGGGTAATTTATAAAGAAAAGAGGTTTAATTGACTCACAGTTCCACATGGCAGCAGAGGCCTCAGGAAACTTATCATGGCAGAAGAAGTAGACATATCTTTTTTTTTTTTTTTTTTTTTTTTTTTTTGAGACGGAGTCTCGCTCTGTCGCCCAGGCTGGAGTGCAGTGGCGCGATCTCGGCTCACTGCAAGCTCCGCCTCCCGGGTTCACGCCATTCTCCTGCCTCAGCCTCCCGAGTAGCTGGGACTACAGGCGCCCGCTACCACGCCCGGCTAATTTTTTGTATTTTTAGTAGAGACGGGGTTTCACCGTGTTAGCCAGGATGGTCTTGATCTTCTAACCTCGTGATCCGCCCGCCTCGGCCTCCCAAAGTGCTGGGATTACAGGCGTGAGCCACCGCGCCCGGCCGAAGTAGACATATCTTACATGGTGGCAGGTGAGAGAGTGTGAAGAGGGAAGAGCCCCTTCTAAAACCATTAGATCGCATGAGAACTCACTCACCATCATGAGAACAGCATGGGGGAAACCACCCCCATGCTCCAATCACCTCCCACCAGGTCCCTCCCTCCACACATGGGAATTACAGTTCAAGATGAGATTTGGGTGGGGACACAGCCAAACCCTGTCAACACTGAACCAAACTGACAGGGTTCCTGCCTCAGATGCTTAGAGGTTAGCCAGAAAGGTGAACATGGCCAGTGCCAAACAATAGCAAGGAAGGGAGAGATCCCTGTGCACTGGAATCATCTGAGCGGTGAGCTATACAGTATATTCCTCAAGTTTTCTTTCCTTCCCAATGGTTGGAATATCTTTCTCATCGATCTCCCATCTTCTTTTCACTTTCTCTTCTTTTCATCATCTACAGCATGCATTGTTACACACCCACTGTTACAAAAACTGGTATTAGATTTGTTGTGGCAAGAAAGCCTCACTGTCCACAGGCCTACATCTTAGCACCTTGATCTTGAGCTTCTAGAAGTTCTGGCTTCCTGGAAGTTCATTACTTACTCTGCGTAAACAAATGAAATAGAGAGCAATAAAATGCGCTCAGTAATTCTCACATTATTTGTTTGAGATATACTGAAATTATCTACAGAAAGGAGAGCAATACTCTCTTATCCTTGAAGATCAAATGCATCAAAGAGTTACAGGTTTTGATAAAAACTTCATTGATGAACTTAATTCCTATCCAGGAGTCAATTGGTCTACGTAGAAGAGTCCTAAGAATAGAAAAGCTACACTAGGTGTGCAGAACCATTCTTGAAATTCTGTATATGAAACTGTGACTCACTTGATATAACTTTAGAGTGTATGTTTTGACACCTGCTTATTTTCTTACCAGTAGCCTTTCTGGTTTTCCAAAATCTTTCTCCTTGTTATCCACTGACACCATCAGACTAACCTACTATAACAGGTTAACAGACTAAGCAACTATAACTAATCTACTATAAAGATCTTTTAAAGCTTCTTCAAGGCTGAACCTCTGTGACTCTGCATTCCTAGATCCCAAATCCTATCTTCAATTAACAGAGGTTTAGGAGAAATGACCCAAGATCCTTCCTCTGAAAACCCGCCCAAAGTATTATTGAAATCTTATTCAAATTGGAAAGAATGATTTAAAACTAGAGACAGAGATGGAAGTATATTATTGTATTGACAAACAGCATGTAGATATTGAGAAAATGAAATTAAATGTAGCAAGAGAACTTATTTAAGTCTCCCAAATGAGTTTGAAAGAAAGGCAAATGTGCCCTGTATCTGTATTTGCCAACACAGAAAGAGTAATAATAATCATCTCCAGATTAGATGATGAAGGCCTTAGCCTTCAGATGGAAGGCGAAGAAGAGATTGAAAAATCTGGAAATGCAGCATTTTATCAAGTCGAATTTAGTCCCAGAGCAATTGGGCATCCATTTGTCTCCAAGTGGAGCAGTGTACGATGGCTGTTTCCATTCGTGGCAGAGAGCTGCTGGGGCCATCGGAGCAAGAGATGCTTCACAAAGAAAGTGGAAAGCAGCGCCAAAAGGCAAATACAATTCCTGTCACATCCAAAATAGTTCATTTAGCTCTTTATGCTACTCTCTTACTCTTTGTCATGGAGCAATTTCTAGGAGAGTCGCATAAAAGTAGGGAGATTTTTAGCTTTGAGCAGCAAATAAGTGAACTGGGCAAGGAGAGCATGAAATTTAGTGAGGAAAAAGAAAAAGAATGACAGGGGAATAATATAAAAACCCTGGGAAGAAAGCACTTCCCCTGTAGAAAATCTACTATATGAAAAGTCACTCCTCTAAAACAGATATACTCAGGATGGATTTTCTCCATTCGGAAGAGTCCATCACTTTAATAAAACACTTTTGAAGTCTTCATCTCGTAACCTCACGTTTAACATGTCTGAGCACTTCTTGAGAACTCGCCCTCTCTCTATGCTACTGGATGAGACGAAAGGAGAATCCGTGAGCCCGGTGTTCTTTGGAGGCCTCTCTACCTACGCACATTTGTGCTTCACTTCTGCCAAGTGAATATAATATGACAAGGCTTAGAAAGCCCAGGTGATCCAGAGGGCAAGAGTTTGTGTCAAGAATAGAGGTAGAAGAACCATCGAATTATAGGGCTGTAAAAGACCTTGAATTCATAAAATCCCTCCACAGAGAAGGGGTTAGGATTCAACCCTAGAGGAATGTCAGCACAGGCCTCTCTCAGGATGTCCCTTCTCTGACATCCTGAGAGAGGCCTGTGCTGACATTCCTCTAGTTGGGGGGCGGGATGGGGAACAAATAACTTTACTGCCTTCCTGTTCTGCAAACAGAAAACCGTAGCAATGGGGTATCATACCAATTTTTCATTATTATTATACTTTAAGTTCTGGGAAACGTGCAGAATGTGCAGGTTTCTTACATAGCTATACATGTGCCATTGTGGTTTACTGCACCCATCAAGCCGTCACCTACATTAGGTATTTCTCTTAATGCTATCCCTTCCCTTGCCCCCACCCCCCGACTGGCCCCACTGTGTGATGTTCCCCTCCCTGTGTCCATGTGTTCTCATTGTTCAACTCACACTTATGAGTGAGAAAATGTGGTGTTTGGTTTTCCGTTCCTGTGTTAGTTTGCTGAGAATGGTTTTCAGCTTCATCCATGTCCCTTCAAGGAACACGAATTCATCCCTTTTCATGGCTGCATAGTATTCTATGGTGTATATGTGCCACATTTTCTTCTTCCAGTCTATCACTGATGGGCATTTGGGTTGGTTCCAAGTCTTTCCTATTGTGAATAGTGCTGCAATAAACATATATGTGCATGTGTCTTTATAGTAGAATAATTTATAATCCTTTGGGTATATACCCAGTAATGGGATTGCTGGGTCAAATGGTATTTCTGGTTCTAGATCCTTGAGAAATCGCCACACCGTCTTCCACAATGGTTGAACTAATTTACACTCTCACCAACAGTGAAAAAGCATTTCTATTTCTCCACATCCTCTCCAGCATCTGTTGTTTCCTGACTTTTTAATGATCACCATTCTAACTGGCATGAGATGGTATCTCATTGTGGTTTTGATTTGCATTTCTCTAATGACCAGTGATGATGAGCTTTTTTTTCATGTCCGATGGCTGCATATACGTCTTCTTTTGAGAAGTGTCTGTTCATACCCTTTGCCCACTTTCTGATGAGATTTTTTTTTTTTTTTTTTTTTTTTTTTATTATACTCTAAGTTTTAGGGTACATGTGCACATTGTGCAAGTTAGTTACATATGTATACATGTGCCATGCTGGTACGCTGCACCCACTAATGTGTCATCTAGCATTAGGTATATCTCCCAATGCTATCCCTCCCCCCTCCCCCCACCCCACCACAGTCCCCAGAGTGTGATATTCCCCTTCCTGTGTCCATGTGATCTCATTGTTCAATTCCCACCTATGAGTCAGAATATGCGGTGTTTGGTTTTTTGTTCTTGCGATAGTTTACTGAGAATGATGGTTTCCAATTTCATCCATGTCCCTACAAAGGACATGAACTCATCATTTTTTATGGCTGCATAGTATTCCATGGTGTATGTGTGCCACATTTTCTTAATCCAGTCTATCATTGTTGGACATTTGGGTTGGTTCCAAGTCTTTGCTATTGTGAATAGTGCCGCAATAAACATACGTGTGCATGTGTCTTTATAGCAGCATGATTTATAGTCCTTTGGGTATATACCCAGTAATGGGATGGCTGGGTCAAATGGTATTTCTAGTTCTAGATCCCTGAGGAATCGCCACACTGACTTCCACAATGGTTGACTAGTTTACAGTCCCATGAGATTTTTTTTTTTTGTAAATTTGTTTAAGTTCCTTATAGATTTTGGATATTACCCTTTGTCAGATGGATAGATTGAAAAAATTTTCTCCCATTCTGTAGGTTGCCTGTTCACTCTGATGATAGTTTCTTTTGCTGTGCAGAAGCTCTTTAGTTCAATTACATCCCATTTGTCAGTTTTGGCTTTTCTTGCCATTGCTATTGGTGTTTTAGTCAGGAAGTGTTTGTCCATGCCTATGTCCTGAATGGTATTGCCTAGGTTTTCTTCTAGAGTTTTTATGGTTTTAGGTCTTACATTAAAGTCTTTAATCCATCTTGAGTTAATTTTTGTATAAGATGTAAGGAAGCGGTCCAGTTTCAATTTTCTGCATATGGAAATGGGCTAAATGCCCTAATTAAAGGCACAGACTGGCAAATAGGATAGAGTCAAGACCCATTGGTGCTCTGTATTCAGGACACTCATCTCACATGCAAAGACGCACATAGGCTCGAAATAAAGGGTTGAAGGAATATTTACCAAGCAAATAAAAAGCAAAAACAAGAAGAGGTTGCAATCCTAGTCTCTGATAAAACAGACTTTAAACCAACAAAGATAAAAAAAGACAAAGAATGACATAATGGTAAAGGGATCAATGCAACAAGAAGAGCTAACTATCCTAAATATATATGCACCCAATGCAGGAGCACCCAGATTCATAAAGCAAGTTTTTAGAGACCTACAAAGAGACTTAGAGTCCCACACAATAATGCTGGGAGACTTTAACTCCCCACTGTCAATATTAGGCAGATCAACGAGACAGAAAATTAGCAAGGATATTCAGGACTTGAACTCAGCTCTGGATCAAGCGGACCTGATAGACATCTACAGAACTCTCCACCGCAAATCAACAGAATATACACTCTTCTCAGCACCATATCGCACTTATTCTAAAATTGACCACATAATTGGAAGTAAAACACTCCTTAGCAAATGAAAAAGAATGGAAATCATAACAAACAGTCTCTCCAACCACAGTGCAATCAAATTAGAACTCAGGATCAAGAAACTCACTCAAAACTGCACAAGTACATGGAAACTGAACAACCTGCTCCTGAATGAATACTGGGTAAATAACAAAATTAAGGCAGAAATAAATAAGTTCTTAGAAACCAGTAAGAAAAAAAAGACAAAATGTACCAGAATCTCTGGGACACAGCTAAAGCAGTTTTTAGAGGGAAATTTACAGCATTAAATGCCCACAGGAGAAAGTGGGAAAGATCTAAAATCGACACCTGAACATCACAATTAAAAGAACTAGAGAAGCAAGAGCAAACAAATTCGAAAACTAGCAGAAGACAAGAAATAACTAAGATCAGAGCAGAACTGAAAGAGATAGAGACATGAGAAACCCTTCAAAAAATTCAGGAATCTAGGAGCTCATTTTTTGAAAGAGCAGCAAAATAGATAGACCGCTAGCAAGACTAATAAAGAAGAAAAGAGAGAAGAATCAAATAGATGCAATAAAAAATGATAAAGGGGGTATCACCACCGATCCCACAGAAATACAAACTACCATCAGAGAATACTATAAACACCTCTATGCAAAGAAACAAGAAAATCTAGAAGAAATGGATAAATTGCTGGACACATACACCCTGCCAAGACTAAACCAGGAAGAAGTTGAATCCCTGAATAGACCAATAACAAGTTCTGAAATTGAGGCAGTAATTAATAGCCTACCAACCAAAAAAAAACCCAGGACCAGATGGATGCATAGCCGAATTCTACCAGAGGTACAAAGAGGAGCTGGTACCATTCCGTCTGAAACTATTCCAAACAAGAGAAAAAGAGGGACTCCTCCCTAACTCATTTAATGAGGTCAGCATCATCCTGACACCATAACTTGGCAGAGACACAACAAAAAAAGAAAATTTAAGGCCAATATCCCTGATGAACATCAATATGAAAATTCTCAGTAAAATACTGGCAAACTGAATCCAGCAGCACATCAAAAAGCTTATCCACGACGATCATCCCTGGGATGCAAGGCTGGTTCAACATAGGCAAACCAATAAACATAATCCATCACATAAACAGAACCAATGACAAAAACCACATGATTATCTCAAGAGATGCAGAAAAGGCCTTCAATAAAATTCAACAGCCCTTCATGCTAAAAACTCTCAATAAACTAGGTATTGATGGAACATATCTCAAAATAATAAGAGCTGTTCATGACAAACCCACAGCCAATATCATACTGAGTGGGCAAAAGCTGGAAGCACTCCCTTTGAAAACCAGCACAGGACAAGAATGCCCCCTCTCCCCACTCCTATTCAACACAGCATTGGAAGTTCTGGCCAGGGCAATCAGGAAAGAGAAAGAAATAGTTTTCAAATAGGAAGAAAGGAAGTCAAATTGTCTCTGTTTGCAGATGACATGATTGTATATTTAGAAAACCCCATCATCTCAGCCCCAAATCTCCTTAAGCTGATAAGCAACTTCAGCAAAGTCTCAGGATGCAAAATCAATGTGGAAAAATCACAAGCATTCTTATACACCAATAACAGACAAACAGAGAGCCAAATCATGAGTGAACTCCATTCACAATTGCTACAAAGAGAATAAAATACCTAGGAATCCAACTTACAAGGGATGTGAAGGACCTCTTCAAGGAGAACTACAAACCACTGCTCAAGGTAATCAGAGAGGACACAAACAAATGGAAAAACATTCCATGCTCATGGATAGGAAGAATCAATATCATGAAAATTGCCATACTGCCCAAAGTAATTTATAGATTCAATGCTATTCCCATCAAGGTACCATTGACTTTCTTCACAGAATTAGAAAAAACCACTTTAAATTTCATATGGAACCAAAAAAGAGCCTGGATAGCCAAGACAATCCTAAGCAAAAGGAACAAAGCTGGAGGCATCACGCTACCTGACTTCAAACTATACTACAAGTCTACGGTAACCAAAACAGCATGGTACTGGTACCTAAACAGATATATCGACCAATGGAACAGAACAGAGGCCTCAGAAATAACGCTACACATCTACAACCACCTGAACTTTGACAAACCGGACAAAAACAAGCAATGGGGAAAGGATTCCCTATTTAATAAATGATGTTGGGGTATCATACCAATTTATGAGATGGTCATTTGGCTCTTGAGTGGAGGCCACCTCTCAGTGACTCAGCAAAATTTGTCCTCTGCACGGTCCTTGTATCTTGTACCACCTGAGGCAATCAAGTATATTCTGCTTTATATCATAGTTATTTATGAGTTAACGCATCTCCTTACTGGGTCCCAAATTCCTTGAAGGTTGCAACTTTGCCTTGCCTATTCATTTTCACATACTACGCGGCACTTAGGGCAGTGCTTTCAATGTAGCAGGTAACCAATTGTTTTGCTTGCTTTTAAAGTAGTTGTTTTTAAATTGACTTGAGCTTAGTTCTGCAAGAAGACTAGATGAGATATGATTTTGTCATCATAAATTTAAAATGTCCTTAATATTTTCTTAATATTTAATCTATAAAGAGTATTCCTGGCACATAGTAGACAGTAAATAACTTTGTTGAATGAACTTACGCGTAAATACATCAATGACTGACTGCTCATGGAGGGTGCCCCCTTTTTGCCCATGAAGTTGAGGTGGTATTGGGAGAATGCTTTCATTTCCTGATCCTAACTCTCCTGTTGCAGTCTAGTATTGTCAATACAAAGGTGTCATCATTACCGTTAATCCCAAACTGATGTAATCTGAACTTTTGCTCTGTGTAATTACAGATATGGGGTACATTTCCTAGAAAAGAACTGCCCTGGACAAAACTGTTAGGTAGAAAAAAAAAAAAGGAAATTGGGTGTCTTTTTTCCATATTGTCAAGAGCAGAGAGGACCTCACTCTGCCCCCTCCCTCTTGACTCCTCACACCCAATAGCAGCACCAATGCCTGCCACAGAATTATGAGCACTTCAGCCGGGCGTGGTGGCTCATGCCTGTAATCTCAGCACTTTGAGAGGCTGAGGCAGGCGGATCACTTGAGGTCAGGAGTTCGAGACCAGCCTGGCCAACATGGTGAAACCCCATCTTTACTAAAATACAACAATTAGCCAGACATGGTGGCAGGCACCTGTAATCTCAGCTATTTAGGAGGTTGAGGCAGGAGAATCACTTGAACCCCGGGAGGCAGAGGTTGCAGTTAGCCAAGATTGTGTATCATTACATTCCAGCCTAGGTGACAGAGTGAGACGCTGTCTCAAAAAATAAATAAATAAATAAATAAAAATAAAAAGTTACAGGCACCTCAAGGTTGCCTGTTTTTTGCCTACTGTTGCTTCAGTTATGTACTCTCAGTGATCTGTTACCTTCCTTTCCAGAAACTCTGTGTAAATATATCTTAATTCAATGAACAAAGCCATAATGGAGACATTGGAGGCATTAGTAGCCAGCCAGTGATCTGTTGTTTTGTTCATTCAAGAGGAGGTTATCATGAAAATACTCTGTGAGAAACAGAGTTCCAGGATTACACTGGCTTAAACAATATGGAAGTTTGTTTCTCTTATGTAGTAGTCCCAAGATACATAGTTCAGGGCTGCTGAACCATCTGCTGTGCAAAGTAGCTCTATGCCACAAAATCTTCAAGACCCAGCAATTTCTAGATTTCTATTTCACCATCCCAGCATGGTGGCCCTCATCTGCAGGGGCCAAGATGGCTGCTGGAGGTTCAACATTATACCCATGCTCTAGCCAATAGGAAGATAGAAAAAGCAAAGGATGCATTTTGGTTGTCTTTTAATGAAGGATCCCAGAAGCTTTCATGTGACACTTTCACTTATATTTCATTTCCTAGAACTTGAACACATAGCCACACAGAGTTCTAAGTTAGGCTGGAAAATACAGTTAGCTGAAAATTAGGGTTTCTATTACTGCAGAAAGAGGGAAAATAGCTATTGGGAAATTACTAGGAATCTCTGCCAAAGACGCTATCCCTGAGCTCCTTACGTTCTACCACTTGAGTGCCCCAAATCAAGACACTACAAAATGAAAGGTTGATCTAGTGTCAGCCAGATCTAGATGCCAGTCCTATTAGCATCACTTAATGAGCTTTGTGATCTCTGAGCCATTTTCCATGCTATCAAAAACAGCAATAACACCTCCCTATTAGGTTCCTGTAGGATGATATAAGATAACCAGTGGTGCCTAGCACAGTGCCTGGCATATATGGTAGATACTTAGTCAACATTTATTTTTACCATTCTTTCTGCATATAAGACTGGCTCAGCTCCACAGTTTATATCAACTTGGGCACAAAAACATTAACAAAGTTCCTGGCGGCCATATTTCTTGAGCAATTTTATACTCTATCCATTAGCCAGATGTGTTAGAGCAAATGAGCGGCTGCTCAAAAGAATGTCTTTATCCTCACTTGCCTTTTTTTCCTGTTATTGTTGGATGGTGCCAAACAAGACAGAAGCAATTAATAAACTTGTCAGTATCATAAGAGATGACAATTAGAATCAGCAGAGCTTAAAAAGGAGCCTGAAATCATAGGGGTTGAGGTAGTGGGGTTTTTAAAATGCAAAGAGCATGCCTTTTCACTTCACTCTGTTTATCAGGCCAAGCAAACTAAAGTGAAAAGTCACTGTGGAAAAAGGTGAAGAAAAAGGTACCTATTTTGCATCACCCACTATGTCATATCAAGTAAATGAATTAAAATCCCATGTCAAGTACTGGGCTTTATTCCCCATGGTTTCACACCAAGTTTCTCTTAGAAGATACTCTAAGATGCACTAAGCTTTCCCATTCACTTCTGTCTAGGCAGGAAGATTCTACTCAAGTTAAGAAGCAGTGTTGCCAGATGCAGTGGCTCACTCCTGAAATTCCAGCAATTTGAGAGGCCAAGGCAGGAAAATTGCTTGAGCTGAGGAGTTCGAGACCAGCCTGAGCAGCATAGTGAGACCCTGTCTCTACAAATAATCAAAAATTAACCAGACATGGTAATGCATGCCTGCAGTCCCAGCTACTCAGAAGGCTGAGGTGGGAGGATCTCTTGAGCCTGAGAGGTTGACGCTGTAGTGAGCCACAATTGCACCACTGCACTCCAGCCTGGGCAACAGTGCAAAACCCTGTCTCAAAAAAAAAAAAGAAGAAGAAGAAGAAGAAGAAGAAGAAGAAGAAGAAGAAGGAGAAGAAGCAGTGTAATAGAATGACTTAGTGCTCAGAAAGTCTTGAGTTTGGATCCTGGTTTGGGCATTTAATAAGTGAGTGGCCTGAGACAAATAAATAAACTTTTCTATGGCTCAATATTTTCAACTGTAAAGTGAAGATGATAACAGTGTCCATCTCATAGGATTGTTGTAAAAGGTAAATGATACAGCATATGTATAAACCAGATGCACTCAGGTTTTCCAGTCTCCTTGGGTCACGCTTTTCTCCAATATCTACATAAAATAACCTGCAACCCCTTTTCACATTCCATGGGAAGCCCATCCTCTGCCCACGAGCTCTGAAGATTTGGGGTATCATGCTTCTCTCAAGTTATTTCACTCTATAGCCTGCTTCCCAAATATGGCCCACTCCCACTTGTCATTCCTGAAACCATTATTCTATGTTCCCTGCCCCCTTTGCTTCAGCTCATCTAAAGGGCAGGAAAACGCTGGAAGCAGGAGAGTCATGAGTGCCTGAAATTTTGCAGGAGCAGCAGGCAGTAAGAGTGGGAGGACCTGAGATCTATGATAGTGAAAGACATGATGCAATATATTGCCTGCCTGGTTAAAGGAGTAGAAAGGAGTCAAAGATGACTGTAACATTTTGAGTCTGAGTAAGCAAGAAGATAATGGTGCAGATACCAGCAAGTCCAGAGGAGGATTTGACTTTGTTGACTTGACTTTGGTTGACATTGACTTTGGTCAATGGCAAAGATTGACTTTGGTTTCAGAGACACTGATGTATAATAGAGCTTTTAGAAAATAATTCCCATGAGTCACTAGGGTGCCTGTCCAAAGTGCAGTGAAGGGACTGCATAGAAGAAGAGGCTTGGAGATTTCCTTGTACAGGGGATAGCTGAAGCATATTCCCCAACACAATATTAAATTTGTAAATTACCTTTAAAAATAGAAAGAAAATTGCCATTTTAGAGTCTCAAAAGGACTGAGCACCATCTAATTACATCACAAATGATCTCCCAAAAAACTCATTCCTTTAGACCAGGAGATGAGTTTCTATTCATTATTATTTTTGTAGCTAAAATTTCAAATCACAGAATCATAATATATTGCAGTTTGTTTAAGCCTTAAAATGTTCCTGGCCCAAATGCCTCACTTAAATACGGGGAAACTGACATGCTGAAGAGTCTGAGTGACCTATCCTTGTTCACTCAAGTTGAATAATGCTGCCAGAAATTCTACTGTTAGAATTTCTGCTCTCCCTTGCTCATTTTTTCACCTGCAGTCCAGCTACCAAAGATAGGATTTTAGACATTCTATCTACATTTAAAATGTTCCTTCTAACTGCAGCGGAAACACAGGTAGCAAGGAGACAGTGTAGAATAAGGAGCCAGAGGCCTGGATTTTAGTCCCGTGGAAAAAGAACCAGCCGCACTACCTGGAGAGAATCATTTGGTCTTCCAAGTTCTCAGTTTCCTGATTTGAGTAGCAAGGAGATGGGTCTGGATTCGCTCTGAAATGTCTTGCAGCTCTGACATTCCATGATTCTTGGAGAAATCGGCTATCTCCAACTGAATCCACATCTTCCAATCCCACACAAGATGGAGAAGCAGGCCCATCCCAGTATTTGGGGAGGCCCATCAGGACCAAAGCTGTCCTCTCTCTGTGGGGGCTGGAGAAGGGAAGCAGCTGAGGCAACACAACCAGTTTCCTTCCCATTCAGAAGAGAACAATTGAGCTCCTCCCAGGGGAAGCCATGCGGATTTGGACAGTGTGGGGTCTGTCTTATGACAGGAATGGAGGATTTCTGTAGAATGGGGATGCTTAGCGGCCGTAAGAATCAAAGATGGAAGGAAAGCCAAGAGGTCCTTAGGTCCGGTCCCTTGCCTCTAGCTAAGCCTTCCAAGGCAGATGGTTGTCATCCTACATTTAAAGATCTCCAGAGTAGCAATTGCTCAGCTTCCCACAGCGCCTGGGGTCAGCAAGTTTCCCCTTATAATCAAGAAATTCTTCCCGATGTTTAAGTGGAAATGCTTCCAATGTGGCCCGAGTCTGTTTACCCTTGTCTAGTCCTCAGAAGAGATGAGGAATAATCTTCTGTGTAATAATCACTCTTCTTATGCCTGGTGCTGGTGATTAAGTCACTTCTTAGCCTTTTCTTTTTTGGGCTAGATCTTAACTTCATTTTCCACCCAGTTAATCTTTTTTTTTTTTTTTCCTTCTCCTAGCTGGATCTTTTCCAGGTTCTCCAAATGAGCCTTAAAATAGGAGAATGAAATCTGAGTTCCCACTCTAATTAAAACCTCAGCAATGCCAAGTTTTGTGGAAAGATTACTCTCTAGGCTTTCGTTTCATAATTCTCTACATACACCCGCCTCATATTACAATTTGTTGTAGTACTTTCCTGCTCACTCAGGGCCCACAGCTATTTTGTTATAGTACTTGTCTCTGCCAGATGGAGCCCATTTTTGTCTATTTTAAACATCTTTCTGTTTTTAATGACTTCTCGTTTCTAAATTGTTAAAGGTCTCCTTAAATTCAAATCCTACCTTCTAATGTTTCTTTACCTGACTTAGTGCCATCTGAAAAACATTCTAGTCCATTACTCATCATTGAGGAAGGAAACTCAATTTTGTATCAATCCGAGAAGGGCCTGAATAGCACTCATTTCTCCCAATACTCACAAGCATGCTTTGAGCATGAAAAAAAATGCAGGCCACCCCTTCTCCATTCATTTATTCATGAAACATCTTTTGAACAGGGTAGACACTGGACACACAGTGATGAACAGTTTCTGTATCCATTCACTAATGTGTTCCTACATGTGTACAAAATGTACTCCTTAAGCACTTACTCTGTGTAAAACCGTTGCAAGTGTTGTGGCTACAGCAGTGAATAGGGAATAAAAGGCTACTGGCTTCATAGATCCCACATTCCAATGGGTATGGGGGAGGACAGAGAAAAATTACAAGTCAAGCAACAAATAAACAAGACCATGTCAAATTTGATAAACGTTTTGAAAGAAATAATAGGATGATGAACCTGAGGATGGTACTGCCTTTGATGGATTGGATGGGGGAGGTCCCTCTCAGAGGGAGACCCTGAAGACCTTTCAGTTTAGCAGAGTTATGTTATTCTGAACCAATCCCATAAAGCAAACCCACTTCCCTCATGTTTTCTTCTGACAGACCCAGCACTAACTTTTTCTGGGGTGTTCACGGTTTATAATGCCTTGTTACTCAGTAATTGTTTACATTCCCAAAGGACTCTCTCATGTTCTTTAATTGAAAGAAGAGATAAAAGAAGGAATTTAAGTATACAGGCGCCTTTGTTCCTCAGGAAGTTAATGGACATTCCTGGAAAATGAGAGTCCGGTGGTCTATTGTGTGGAGAAAGTGGACTTCAGTACCATGAAACAGATTTCTTCACTGTGGAACTTGAATAGGCTGTTCCTCGACCATCTTGAATAGGCTGGTGAACTTTAAGACTCTGCAAAATAAGATAACGTTTACAGCCGTTTCCTAAGCTTTTTGCACGGAACTTCTTGAACAACTCTTTGGTGAATGCTGAGCTGAAAAGATCTCTTGGATCCTTAGGTGTCCTTTGACATAGGATTTGGCATTTGGGATGTGATTCCAAATCACCAGCAGCCAATGTGCAGGCCAGTCGTCGATGTCTCTGAAGAGTGTGATAGAAAGAAGACCGCAGAGGAAGGCAGGGAGTCCTTCCTGACTTTGCCTCAGCTTCTCTTGTGACCCTGGTCACGTGTGAACTATGCTTCTTTAGTTTTCTCAGATCATGGAATCTTCTGAGAATCTTCTGAGTGTCTAAATGTCCTCTTTCCAGGAAAATCCACAAACATACATAATTATACATCATGCAGAGGGTTGATATGCCTCCTACCAAAATGCATCTCTGAACTGGAGGATTTCTAAGGATCTGTCTGTCCAGTGTGAAAGTTCAAATAGGTTTCTGCTCTGGTCATATTGACATCTTGGTGTTTTGGTTTGTATGCTTGCTTTTAATTGACACATAATAATTGTAAATAATTATGGGGTACACATGATGTTCTGATACATGCATACATTGTGTAAAAGTCTAACAGGGTATTTAGCATATCGATCACCTCATGCCTTTATCATTTCTTTGTGGTGAGAACATTCAATATCCTCTTTTTTAGCTATTTTGAAATATACAATACGATATTGTTAACCAGAGTCACCCTATTGTGCAATAGAACACCAGAAATTATTCCTCTTGTCTAACTGTAACTTTGTACCCATTGAACAGTTTCTATCTCCCCACCTAACTAATGCTCCGCAGCCTCTAGTGACCACTATTCTACTCTCTACTTCTATTAGATTAACTTATTTAGATTCCATATACAAGTGAGATCATATAGTATTTGTCTTTTGACATTAGTTTGGACAAGACCCCAAAAGCAAAAGCAACAAAAGCAAAAATAGACAAATGGGATTACATCAAACTAAAAAGCTTCTGCACAGCAAAGGAACAATTAACAGAGTGAAAAATCAATCTTGGTCCATGTTTTTGATTAGCTTGTGTGCTCCTTGGGACAAAACCAAGCATCCTACCACCTCTCAAGCTTCCTTCAGCCTTCACCACACAAGTGGTGCTAATATGTGTTTCTGCACCTGTGCCAGGTTCCTCTGCAGAGTCCCGAGGTGGCCGTTGCATGAGAGACTGCTAGGGAGGCCAGGGAGACCCCTCCACACAGAGGTACCAGCCAGCCCTGGGGATGCCCCGTTGACTTCTCAATGAGTGAATGAGGTCATTTTTCCTCTGTCTTTTCCAGAAATAGATTCGTTGAGAAGGCATATGCTGAAATGACCTAGCAAGGCAGCAGGAAGGAAGTGACTAGAAAGAGAATCATTAAAAACCCAACTTCTTATTTAAAGGAAAATGGAAACAGGGGCCTGGAGGAATGCTCTAATTGGGAAGCCAGCAGTGGCCCCTGCCTTCCCTCCCAGTGCTCCCAATATGGATTTCCTGCCTTTGGGCACTGTTGGATTTAAAGCTATGAAAGCCTCATACACAGTCTCATCAGAAGGGCTCAGAAAAGAAACAGAGCTTCATGTGCCTTCTTCCTGCCACTTATGTATGGAATCAGTTGGATTAATTAACCCTGTTTCCTCAGTGAGATTGATTCTATCACTCGCTCGAGAAATTCTGATGATTAGGTGTAACCTAACTGATAAATAAAAAATTATAATTTTTTTTTTGCAAAATTAAATGTCCTCTGCTTTGTATAATTACTGTGGTTCTATGGGCAATCATCAGTGGTATATTCCCTTCCACCCTCCTTTGCCACAAATTTTGAATGATCCATGAAAAGATATTTTGATGATGTGGTACTGAAGGTGCCCCAAACCCACACTGCCTTTTTGGCTTCTCTCCATTACCCTAGGAGGTTATAGGGCAAAGGCATAGGAAGGATAGGTTTGGGTTCCTGGGAAGTCTGTCTTCTGAGCTGAATTTTACAATTGAGCAAGTTGGCTTGACTGGCCATCTGACAATCTGGAAAGCTTAAAAATAAATTGAACTCAGTATTTAGAAAAGGCAGCTTTCAATATCAGAAGACTAGCTTGTGTTTCTCGCTTTCCATTTGGCGGGGGAATCTGTGAAGGCTCTAATTTCCTTTCCTGAGACCTGGCTTGTTGTCTTCAGGTGCTAGCTGGAATTCAAAAGGACACAGACTGTGCAAATAAAAAACTCAGGGAAGGGAAAAAGGTCAACATGTGTTTTTTGTTTCAGTTCAGTTTGTTACTTTGAAGGGTTATAATATTTTTTCCTTCTGTTTTGCAATAAAACTGGTTCTGCTACTAGACTGACATATAGATACCTTTATTAGGCAATTATCACAAGAGATATGAAGGCTTTCTGTGTAAGAAAGTATAAGAGGTCTTTCCCAGGACTGCAGTTCTTCCCTTCTCTCCAGTGCCACAGGACGTGATCGTATATTATATACACACATATTAGGAGTTGATATTGCACACAGGCACTGGCATCATTTGAGAACTTATGGAAAATGCAAGTGCTTGAGCACCACCCCAGTACCTGTTGAAACAGCAACTCTAAAAGTGGGGCCTGTTGATCGTGTTTTAATAAGCCATCCAGGTGATAAACATGCAGGCTCAAGTTTGAAAACCACTAGTATGTGTTAGTTATCTTGGGCACTACCTGCTTCAGGAACCCCCACAGAATTATGGGCCTGAATTTCATCCTTTCATGAGGTTTGGGGACAAGTATGTGGGTGGAGAAGTCTTGCCATTTGAAATCAAAGGAACTTCCAGATTCATAAGCCACTTAAACTCTCAGTTTTTTCATTTATAAAAGTGAGAATAATTCCATTGGCACCATAAGGTTGTTGAAATGGCTGATGCACAAAAGGTATGTGAAAATGATTTTTGAACTGCCAGGCACTCTCTGGAATTAGCTATATGGATTGATGATGCCAATACACATTATGGACCACAGGCATGCTGGGGGATGTGGGGAGACTGTGTAACCTGCGTATCCTGTGTCCTCTTCTATATTCTGAGCACCAAGCCCAGGCAGATAATGGCCATTCACTGAGTCTTTGCTGAGTAATTTTAACTAATATTGGGTAAGTGTTCACTCATGCATGCATCACAAGCACCTTGTGAGGTGAGTATGTGCCTCTTTTTGGATGCAACCTGAGAGGTTAAGGAGCTTCCTCACATCACATAGTTAGAAATGGTATGCTCAAGGCTCTTCTTTAAAATGGCATGGTATTAATACTTGCATGTAACCTATGCACTTTTCTTGTGCACTTTAAAATCATCTCTGGATCACTTATAACATCTAATATAATGTAAATTCTATGTAAACACCTGTTATACTGTATTTTAAAAATGTGTATTATTTTTAATTGTTATATTGTTATTTTTAATTTTCGTTCAAATATTTTCTATCCATGGTTGTGGACATGAAACCTGCAAATACAGAGAAGACATTTATGCAGCCAAAAAATACATGAAAAAATGCTCATCATCACTGGCCATCAGAGAAATGCAAATCAAAACCACTATGAGATACCATCTCACACCAGTTAGAATGGCAATCATTAAAAAGTCAGGAAACAACAGGTGCTGGAGAGGATGTGGAGAAATAGGAACACTTTTACACTGTTGGTGGGACTGTAAACTAGTTCAACCATTGTGGAAGTCAGTGTGGCGATTCCTCAGGGATCTAGAACTAGAAATACCATTTGACCCAGCCATCCCATTACTTATATACCCAAATGATTATAAATCATGCTGCTATAAAGACACATGCACACGTATGTTTATTGCGGCATTATTCACAATAGCAAAGACTTGGAACCAACCCAAATGTCCAACAATGATAGACTGGATTAAGAAAATGTGGCACATATACACCATGGAATACTATGCAGCCATAAAAAATGATGAGTTCATGTCCTTTGTAGGGACATGGATGAAATTGGAAACCATCATTCTCAGTAAACTATCGCAGGGACAGAAAACCAAACACCGCATGTTCTCATTCATAGGTGGGAATTGAACAATGAGATCACATGGTCACAGGAAGGGGAACATCACACTCTGGGGACTGTTGTGGGGTGGGGGGAGGGGGGAGGGATAGCATTGGGAGATATACCTAATGCTAGATGACGAGTTAGTGGGTGCAGCGCACCAGCATGGCACATGTATACATATGTAACTAACCTGCACAATGTGCACATGTACCCTAAAACTTAAAGTATAATAAAAAAAAAAAAAAAGAGATGACTGTACTTTTGAAATGCCCTCTGAACTCAAATGATGAAACAAGTGAAATCAAAAAATTTGTTTTTCAAGTAAAAAAAGAAATGGTTTAGCCAGCATCTGAACCCAGGCAATCTCCTCCAGAGCCTGTGTTCTAAGCACTTCACCACACAACGTCACAATCAGTTCTTCATAATGATGCTAAGGAGGGTGGGGTGAGATGACATTCTGGGAGTGCTTGCTCTGTGCCACAAGCTGTCTCAAGCTCTCTTTGTGCCTTAACTCACAAAAACCCTGTAGAGGGAAATGATGATCATCCTCTTTTAACAAGAAAGGAAATGGAGACTTGAGACTGGCCCTGGTGTTAGGTTTCTTCTTTCCAAAGTACAAATTTCTTCTATTGCTTCTCTCTTTGTACCGTTTGTGCACCCAACTTGTCAATCCACCAATCAGTGAGCATTTGTGAAGTGTCCAAATGCCCAGTGTAGTGCTTCTAAACACAGAAGGATGAGATGACAGTGTCTGCCCTCGAGATGCTCAAAATCAAATAGGAAAGAATAGGCCAGTCTTCACAAAACAGAAAAAAAAGGCTAATATACAGTTAAGAGCTTGTTTATGATACATAAAGTAATCATTTTCCATATTTAGAAGGTTAATGGGAATGAGGTCATCACACAAGAATTCTCATGGGGGCCTGAAGAAATTTTGTGTTGCTAGACTGAGACTTCAACAATTTCTCTGAGCAATTATCCTTGAACTGTTGAGTTCAGCATCCCTGCATTGCAGTTTCCTTTAAGTTTGTTACAGTTACCCTGATTATAAGGAGATAGTGACCTGTTATCCTGTTTTTTTCTGTGTTGTTAACTTCTTATCCCTGGTACTGAGAATAGCGTCTACAATTCAGTAGGTGCTCAAGTTTACATGTGACCAAATGTTTATAAAAAGGAGAATAATAATGTGGTGAAAGAAGGACAGGAGTGTTCAGCCAAATTTTGGATTGGATGAGAAGGCAGATTGTCAGGGATATCATGACCCAAACAAAGGTGGAGAGACACCAGATTAGGGAGGAGCCAGGTTCTCCAGAGAGGACCTGAGTTCAGAAGGAGCACAGGAGCAGAGCCTTTGTTATTTAGGATGCAAACTCTCCCACTCCCATACACTGAAGTGTGGTGCTGTCTTGGCAGCTGTGTGTTGAACCTCTCTCCCTACCCCAGAGAAGAAACCTCATACGTACTTGGTGATTTTCTTTTTAAGTTTTTTATTTTTATTTATTTGTTTATGTATTTATGTATGTATGTATGTATGTATGTATGTATTTTTATTATACTTTAAGTTTTAGGGTACATGTGCACAACGTGCAGGTTAGTTACATATGTATACAAGTACTTGGTGATTTTCAAAGTTGAGAGACCAGAGTCCCTTGTCATCAATTTCATTTTCCTTGGTTTTACTTCTACTTAGAAAACCTTTGGATGCCAAACTCAAGTCTTGGTTACGCCCCATGTTTCCTTCAAAGGAAACTGCACTAGTAATTGAAAACAGAAATTGGTTCATTTATTCTAACTCACAGGACACAGGTAAGATCCCTGTCTGTGCTCCACCTTGGCTGTCTCTTTTCTAATCCCGGGAGAAAATCTGGATATAATTCTCTGCTTTGTTGATTAAATTCCTCTGGTCCTTATGCAAAATTGTGGGCTTTCATCAAAATAGGATTGTCTGATAATACCCTTTGACTCAGTAATTCCATTCCTTGGAATTTATTCTTATAAATGATCTATGAGTAGTAGAATGTTATGTGTACAAAGACATTTATTGCTGCATTAGTTAAAATGATGATAAAACTAGAAATAGCCTAAATGCCTAGTAATAGGAAAATGGTTACAGCAACAAATGATGGCATATCTACTCAGTAAAATATTCTGCAGTTTTAAAATTATAATTATGAAAACTATATAGCAATATGGGAAACGCTTACAATGTCATGTTAAGTGGGAAAAAATACAGTACTGCATTAAATTTAGGTTATGGCTGTAGCTATGCCAAAATAATGTATGTATCTGGATGAGAAACAGAAACAATTTTGAAAAATGAAGATAAAGTGATTTGCTGGGATATCAAGATTATGGGTAAAAACTTCTCTATTTCAGTGTCTGCTAAAGTTGTTATAACTTTATGCAATTCAAGGGTCTTGGCAGGCTATGAAACAAGGCTGACTGCCCCATCTGAAACTGAAAGGGTCACAATGCACTGGGTAAGATGTGAGCATGCAAGAGCTATGTCCTAAACTGCGGAAGTGCACAGACTTCTCTCTCAAGGGAAAAAGCCATGCATGGCATTCCTTCTGGCATTCTCTAGAATACCTAGGATAAAACTCTGTGCAACTCCATGTACTCAAATCCTGGGGTTAGTGGGTCCATTTAGATGCCTTCACCCATATTCTTCATTGATATTAGCATCATGTGCCCACAAGAATCCCAGTAAAGGTATCAACTTCAGAGTTCTTCATCACCAGGGAATTCTCTCACTTTCAAGGTGTTCCCGAGTAAGGTGACCTGGCTTTGCAGCTTACTAGATGTATGATTTAGGTCAAGGTACTTAACCTTGCTAAGCCTCAGCTTTCTAAAATGTAAAATGGATGTAGTAATAATGCTGCCTCCATGTAGATACTGCACATGTGTAAATAAGACAAGAAAAGTAATATTTACTATAGTAGCTTAGTAGGAAGCACTCAATAAAGGGAAGCTATTGGTAGTGTATTATTGCAAACGCCCTGATTTTTCTAAATGTCAAGGAGAAACTTGTGTTTAATGGAATAGTTTTCAACTTCATTTGATTATATCTTTGGGTCTTGTTATAGTGCCTTCTCTCTCAGTAGCTAATTAGTATCCTCTAAGTTTGAGTCTTTTCAAGCGTTCACGCTTCCATGGAAGTGTTTTCTGCACTGTGTTTAAATCACGTTAGAGAACTTAACTAAGCTTCAAGCCTAGTAGTGTGGTATGTGTAGTTATTCTGACATTCAGAGAAATGCAGAAGTTCAGGCCAGATAGAAGGCTAAGAGAAAGAGACCCCTTGGTGATGCCACAGATGACTAACCCAGATGGGGGAGATGAGAAGGCTGGGGAGCTAAGAGCCACAGCCAGACACAAGAGAGGAATTTGGTTTGAAAAGAGAGTATTAAGACATCAACAGCCTGGAAAGAGAAGTACAGGCTGATTTGTGACCTGTTGAGCACCAAGAAAAAAGATGTGGCAAAAGAAGGCACAGATGTTCTGAAAAATGCAAAGAATTTGTGATGGCTCAGAGTCCAACTGAGGGAAATGACTGCCAAAGGCAGATCTCAGTGGACCGTGGGAGCACTGGCTCGATGAGAAGACATGAGGAGGCTAGGACTTCATAACTGACCTTTACCAGAGTGTCTTCCTGACCCAGAGCAAGGAAGAGAGATGAAGAGGAGAAGATGAACAAGTCGTTTGAGAAGAAAAATAAATTAGCAAGTCTTTAGAAGTAGATTAAAATATTCCTGAACCAGCAGCCTGCTTTTTACTAAAATTCTTTTTTTTAAGTCATCTTCAATGGCTTGAACTTACAGTTCAGTTAAGAGGATGTGTGTAGCTCTGTCTACATTCTCTCATCAGAACTCCTACTACTCAGAGTCAAAAGCTTCACTTCTTTCCTTCTATCCTTATCATATGGAAGCTGCTACAATACCTTGAGGGTCATTTCATTCGTCAGCCTAAAGGTTACTAAATGTAGCTTTTATATAAACAGGCATCCAGTTAACATAGTGGAGATTACAAAGACCATACCCAGCAGGAGGTCAGTGGATTTTGATATTCTCCTTTTTCCCAAAGGGAAGAGGCTTCCCATTGGGGTTACAAAGTAGCAGGTACTTGGCTGGAAGGCTGAGAAGAGAGAATGGAGGCTGCCCTGTTGAAAGACTGTGTATCAGAAAGGAATGTTTAAATCCTGAACTTAGGCCCTCACTTCTGCTTGAGCAGAGCAGAGCTACTTATGCCTAAGTATTGGCATAAGTGATGCCTCCACACAGCTTTCTCAAACCCAGATGTGAGACAAAGAGAGCAGACAGAAGGCAAGTGTCCAGGGAAATAAAATGGCCCACAAGCAGTTATCCTGGCCCAGTGTCCCTGCACCAAAGGAGCTTCCCCAGCTGTGTGTCACATTAGGTCTCACATTGCGTATTCTCAAGGAGGCCAACTAATTCTGTAACCATGGATAGGTCCTGTGATAAATTGGAAAATGACTTCTGGGGCAACAGTCTCTAGTTCTCAGAAAGGAAATTCACAGAAGTGAGCGGTTGGCCAGAAGGCCAAAAGGCCATTGCCTCAGAGTGGATCCCAAAGCAGAGTGATGTGGCCATTCACAGCATGTTTGAGTATGTAAGAAAAAAGAAAAATAAGAAAGGGTATGATTTCTCCTGCCAATATCATAAGCTGAGAATATTTTTCTTTGCTGAATTCAGTAAAATAAATCAGAGATTTTTCTCGATGGATAATTACATTTGTTAAAAAGCATTTAAGGAGGTTTGGGAATCTGGGCATGATGTTGGTCCCAGATGAAATAAAGATGAGAACATGATTTAGCTTGGAGACAAACTGTAACTTAAACCACACCTCTCTTTTTCTTTTTCCTTATTCATAGTTCATTTCTTCAATTCAGAAAAATAGTTTTCATGGGGGAGGGGATTGGGAGGAGTGCAATGGCTAAAAAACAGGCTCAGTGAAGGCCAGAAGATTACTAAGAAACCTCTTCAGTTGACCTTGAGTTTGCTGCAATATCCAAAGATATATGGCATTCTAAAATACAATAATTTAAGGAAGGCATTTACAGTTTCATGGTCATGTTTAAGCAATAATATATTAAGAATAAAAGGGAAAGAAATAATAGCAGCAAAATCCTGCAGAAAGAAAAGAAATAATGGTCTGATGAGTCCAGATTTTATCTGAAATTCCTGAAATAATGTTATCACACCCTAAATGAACCATTCAGCCTCAGTCTGCATACTTGCTTGGTATTTTGAAAAAAAATAATATAATACCACAACATGCTTGAGCACTCTTCGTATAGACTTTTAAATTTTACTGAACTTAGCAGTAATTTATTTTACCAAAAAAAGAGGATGGCATTTGAAAAACTATGTTTAATCTTTATCTTCTGATTTTATATTCTGGGCAGATGTTGGGTACCAATGGCATAGATGATGTCCTGTCTGGAAGCCCATTCATACTATCAGAGATAACATGTAGTTACGGCTAGACATTTCCAAGGAAACTATGCATCTGTCCACCTGAAAATAAGTGAATATCACACAGAGAACTCATGTAGCATTGACAGACACCAAGGAAATTAGTGAAAGAAAACATTGGCCTATGTTAAACACTAGGAAATAAAGCAATCTTGTCAACAATATTAACAGTCCTCCTGGGGCCGAAAGAGTCATTTGTTTACCTTATGAAGATGCGGCTTTGTGAAGAATAAAAGTAAAAGGCCATGCCCAAGGATTATTAGAAAGACTCTTCTCATACTAATTCTCATTTCTGAGTGCCCACAGAAGTGAGGGCCATCTCTCTTTCCTTAGGACTCCGGTTTTCAAAATGTAGTTTGATTCTATCACCTGCTTCAAATGACTCTCTAAAGGGCTCTTTGTGCCCTACCTTGAGCTGGCTTCTGCAATCCATATGGATGGGCTTGTCTCCTTCCCCTAATCAAGCCCAACTCCAAATTAGACATTTTCCTTCATCAGACTCAACACTGATCCCTGCTTTCCTTAAATTCAGCTTATACATCTTGTTTACATCCAAAATTAAATCTAAAAAAGAGAAAACTCTTGGTTTTCTCATCAAACTTCTCTTCACTACTATACTCCCCTATTATTAGCTAGAAACATTAATATGCCATATATATATATACACATTATTGATTACAAAGTGGGTCGTTCATGACCATCTGGATATTTAGGGTCATCTTTTTAGAAGGGGTGCTTGATATTATCTAGCACATTTGGTTGTTTACATGAGAAACTGAATCTCAGAGAATTTGGGTGACTTGTGCATCCACACAGAGGATTTGGGGCTGTAATCCAATGTTGTTTTCAATATACCATATTGCCTTGTTTTTATTCCCTCTCTGCATATGGCACTGTGCTAGGTGCTATAGAAACATTCCCCAGGACCTCTCAATCCAAGAACAACACTGTTGATACACCAGCATGAAAGGGACATCACACACAACCCAACTGGCACTCAAGTCTGCACCATGCAGTTATTTATATCATGTAACACCAAACCATCTCCTCCCACTCGCCCTCCCTCCTTCCCTCTCTCCTGTGTTCAATCTGTCGCTGACTCTGGCTGCTCCCTTCTCTGCGACAGTGCCAAGAGCTGTTTCTGCTGCTGTAGAGGCTGTCTTCCAACAGTTTACTCCCTGATGCAGGCCCGGATGCCTCTCTTTAAGGAGCGTCCACCTCCCAACACTCTCCCTCCAGACACGCCAGACTGCCCTGGCAGCCGCCACCCCTTCACCTGCCATCCTGGCCATGTCACTCCCACCCCTGGGACAAGGTCCAGATGTGCCCTGAGCAAAAAACAGGTCCCTGAGTGAGGAGACTAATGGGGTGCAGGGCCCCTGAGAACAGAGGGCAGGTGCCAAGTTACAAAGAAAAAAAGAAATGAAAGACTTTAGAGAGAAACTAAAAATAAAGAGAATGTGTTTTAATATCCCTTTGGCTGATTCATCTTTCTGTGGCACCAGAAAGAGGGCGTTACCCTCGACTCACGAATGCCTTATGTTTTGTTACAAGGCCTCTCTTCCCACATCTGAAAGAGTAAAATAACAATAAGAGTGTAAGTACAGGAGATAATGCTGGTGGCATAGCTACAATCTCCAAGCTGGAGCCAGTCTCAGCTTACAGTTGTGTCAGTCTTTCTAAAAAAAAGAAAAAAAAATGAGACAGCTAAGGCCCACGTATGCGATTCCTCAACATCCCTTCTTATTCTTTCTCTGGCAGTTTTCATCTTATTCAGGCATGGGTCCAAGATGGAGTAGTGATTAAGCGGCCTGGTGACACTGTATACTGGGTAACTGCTTATTCCCAAAGCATGGCTGGCAGGAGAGGGAGCCCTGGTTTTCAGTCATTCCAGGGAGGAAATGAAATGCTAATACCTAGCCTACCGTAAACTCCACAGTGGCATAAGCCTTGCTCAAAAGTACATCAGTGAATAAAAAGAATGTCAAAGGCTGTCAGTAGCAGAAGAGGAAAGGAAATAGGAAAAGAAGAGAACAGAATGAGATGAGACATGAAGTAGAGAGAGATGAGAGAAATACTATGCTGGGTGAAAGTGATTGGGAAACCATTTCTGACCATGTATTTCACCACACTCATCCCAGGCCTTGCAGCATTGTTTTGAAATAAGAAGCATTGATATTAATACCAAAAAGCCAATGATTTTAACCAGTGGATTATTTGGGACAAATCAAAGGTAACAAGGGGTCAAGATAAGCCCATACGCCTTATTTGACTTGATTGAAAGATTCATTCTCATAGTGTCTATTCTAGATTAAAACTATTCAGACCAGTCTATACAACATAAAGTTTGGACATTCTTTCAAGAGAACAGCCTTTCATTTACTTTAGTGAATAACAATATCTAGAAAGGCCATCTGCTTCGACCAAACTTTGGAAAGGATGCATTTTTAAGATTAATGGAGGAAGAGGATACCTGCCCAACTAGCTATGTTAACCAATTCAACACCATAATAATAATTGTCAACATTTATATAGTTTACCATATACCAGCCATTGTGCAAAACACTTTGCATACATTCTCACTTAATCTTCATGCCAGTCCTGGGAGGTACTCTTATATATCCTTTTTACATATGAGGACCTGAATCTTAGAAGGTTGAGTCCTTTGCCAAATGAAAGCTTAACAGTAAAGAAACAGTAGAATCCAGACTGTCTGGTTCCAAAACTTGTGCTTTTAGCCACTTCACATATTGCTTCTGTCATTGGTATGACAGATGTCACAGGCAGATCATACTCAAATTCTGTAATATGTTCTAAATAATACAAACAATATAACTAGAAAATGGTAGCTAACTTATATAGCAGGCCCCACTGAAATAATTCAAACATAAAAATGACCTCTTGGCATTTGATTATCTTTCACCTTAGACGTTGATAAACCAAACCATTCCCTTAGGACAATATTTTTCTGTCCAGCAAAGCATTTCTCTTGCCAAAGTATAATTTTGTTGGCTACATCTATCTCCTCCAAGCCCTGGAATCAGACCTAAGCTAGTAAATTGTGCTGTCCTGGCAAGACACTCATCCTCCAGGGCATTGTATCAGGCTAAAGTAATACATCATGTTGCTTCCCACTCTGTCTGCCCATTTCTCCAAAGAGTCCTAAAACAGTAATGTTTCTGCTTTGAATCTCTTGCTGTTATCGCCCCTAGGACTTGCACTTTAGCTTCCTGGCCTTGGAAACCAAGGTGAGCTGAATAGCATTCTTTTCACACCTGCTCTTGACTTGGGCTTCCAAAAGAAAGGAGGCTTTCAACAAAGGGGCAGCCCCATAGAACTCTGCTTCATTCCTTTTAGACTCAGAGAAACAAAAACATTGACTTGATTGGGTAACGGAAGACTTTGGTCTTTTGGGTTATGGGGATTTAGTAGCTGAGAAAGAGTTGCTGAGTAGTGAGGGTGGGGGCAGGTCGTAGAGGGCCATAATTCCTAGAAAAAGATGACCTTGTCCAATTGAGAGGTAGTGAGACCAGCAAACACTGGCAATTAAAAATTAACACAGGCCAAAAGTGAAATCGATGCCTAAATTTGATAGGTTTTCAAGAAAAGTTTATGACATGCAGTTCATAGAAAAGAGAACATTTTCTCAGTGTTCACTTTTAAGATGCCAAAGGTCAATCTTACTTGGAAAGATCCTTCCACAGAAAAGCAGAAATGTACAGGGTCTCCTAGCAAAGTATAAGGCAGGCAATAGATATATTAGAAAATCTTTTTTAAAAATCCTAATTTCAAAATGTTTTACAGCAGCTTTGGTACTACAGTAATTCACTTAATTCCCTAATATGTGTTTGAGTATATGTGTGTACATACTCATGTTATTCTAAACATAAAAAGATGTGGCCAGTTGACAGTAGTAAAAGCTTCTTTCCATATCTTTACTAAGCACATGACAATGTATAACTCAATAATTGCTTTAATTCAAGTTGTGATTTCAATAGACAAAAATTTAAAGGCAAAATATTGACTCTCAAAAGGTTTTCAAGTAAATGCAAATCCTATGAATTCTGGAAATATCAACCATTCAATGTATTACATTGGGGTCTTGGTAATAATATAATCACAATTTTCCTTATATTAGAAATTTATGAAAGGACTCAAGTCTTCCTTATAAAGCCATCAGAGATGTAGGAAATATTGGGAGGTGATTCTCCCTTTTCCACAAATGAAAATAGTAATTAAAATGCTAAAATGAAGACTACTTTAAGATTATTCATATCTTATACAATTTTCCTACTAGTATCTCATGCAAAATAATGCAAACCAAATGAATTTATATTAAATAAGGCGGCCCAGGGAGAAAATCTTGCCCTAAAAAACTAACCGTTCCAAGTTATTCTAAATTGGCAATGTGTCTGGAGTTCTGAAATAAATAACTGGTGTGAAAAACCTAAGTTTCCAGATTCTTCAGATCTTAACTGTAATATTTGGTTGTGTAATCAATCCTTAGTTAATCTAAGTGAAATGCAGGTTCATTTTTATTAGCTAATAATTTCATTTGTGTTTTTTATCAGACATATAATTGAACATTTTCTAGAAATAGCCCTTAAAATCCAGGTTAATTGTCTTACCTCTTTTTTCCTCCTTTCAAAAAAAAAAAAAAAGGGATCAACTTTGGAACCTCTTCCTGTTAGCAAATTTCTAAAGAATAGTTTTATTCCTTAGAACTCAAAGAATAACAAATGTATATCTTAAGAACTAGTTGCTTCCCAACTTGAAAACGTTTGCGTTTTTTTATTATTTAAATACTGACTCTTCAAATCAATGTCTTCCCTTTCCAATGATAGAGTTGAAATAGTTAAAATAAAACTTTCTCAAGAAGCAAGATGGGAAGTTTCAAAGGAAATTAAAGCTGAATGCATTGTTCCAACTGCATTCCCAGAAATCTATAAGAAACACAAACTTATGCAGCATCAGTAGAGGAGGTAGTACCATTTTTGCCAGTGATGAACAACCAGAGTCCTTTGTTCTAGAAGTGATGACCCCGGTTAAATCTCAGCATTACACATTTCCCTTCAGAGATGGAGGGGAGCGAGTTGCTTGCATCCATTACAAAATGTGAGACTCAGCTAATTGGTGTGGTTTTGATGATGCCACAGTTCTGCCCAAAACCCTTGTAACTAGCAAGTTTGCCCTGAAGATTATTGAATTACTCCCCGACCATGCATTATTTAAAGGGAAGTGCTGTTATTATAGAAGCCAGCTGTTTAACCATTGGAATTCTGTCTGTTGGCCAACTTTTAAGATACAGCAGTACATTGTGACTAAACATTATGTCTAGTCATGGAGGAGTCAAAGTCTAGGATAGGTGGTGGCCAACTTGTCTGGTAAGCAATCTTTGGTCTACATGCTATGAAACCTTTGAAGCAAAACTGACAAAATAAATATATAAATTTTTAATGTCAAGACTTTGTCAGCAAGAAAAATTATGTGGAATGTTATACATGCCTATTCATTCTAACAGTTGAGTAAGTGCATGAACACTTCCTCATGCCAGTACAACAGAACTGTTGGACCACACCTTGCTGTAGAAGGGACTATACCAGGCACCGGTCTTTTTTTTTTTTTTTTTTTTTTTTTTTTTCGTAGCATCGAGTAAGGACAATTAAAAAGTGTTTAGAGCATCTTGGGGAACTTCAAATAGATAGAAAACAACTTTTCACCTTCTAAGTTAGAATATATTTGCACCTCTTCCTTGAAGTGGTTTCCAACCATACTGAATATTGGGCCCAAGCCAGTTTTCTCCTTCATCTCTTCACTTGTTATAGAATGTCTGGAATAGAAAAGACCATAGCAGTCATCCACTGTGTTCAACATAGGAATCTTCTGCTAGGATCTCTGACAGATGTTTATTACAGCCTTTACTTAACTGTTTCCTGCAATGGGGAGTTCATTACTTTTCATTGAAATCTGTCCCATATGTAACACTTGTAAATTCAAATTGTTAGGAATGCTTTTCTTATATTAAGCCAATATTTGTTTTTCATTCACCTACCAGCTCTGATTCTGCCCACTGGGACAGAATTATACAGCACCTAATGAAGAGTTTCTCAAGGCAAAGATAAAACAATTAGTTCCATCTCATTTAAAAATTAGTCGAAATGACAATAGTTATAATTTAGAAGTCATTAAAAATAACTATCTCAAATAGGAAAATGTCAAATACTGAAGCCAATTGTTTTATTAGCTTTCTAATAAATTACATTGTATCAGGCCTCTACCTGTAGACCATAGCAGCAAATATCTTTATTGTGGTTCTGGAAAAATAAACAATATGTAGCATTTGAAGATATGGAACAAAACTTTGACCCTCAACTGTGATCTTTCAATTGGCGAGAAATGAGTTTTTTGTTTGTTAAATATTTTGATGTAGAGCCAGAAGAAATCAAGCTTACAGGGCACTTCAAAAGATGAATTAAACTTCAAAAGGCAATAGGTAAACACTTGTTATATTCATATATTCCCAATGACGTACAATGAGTCCATTGTAGACATTATGAGTAGACAAAGAAAAACATCTCTCTAGGATTGTGGTAGCTAGAGATAATTGGTAATTATATTTATGGCAAAATCGAAGTCTGTATACCACTATTTCAACAATATTTTTTAAAAAAACAAATGTAGACATAAGATAAACTTTCTCTATGGAACATTGCAGAAAAGTCCTAAAATTCTCTGTACCTAAACCCATCGATCTACAGACTAAAAAGCATGAGCTCAGAGTTTAGATGAGCTTAGAGTTTGACTGAGTCATGTCAAATTCTGAGCTCATTTAAGCAAGGTGATAAACCAGATGCCTGGTATTTCCTGTTATTTTTTTTGCTGTGATGATGATGACTTTCTATTTTACAAGAGGAAATCGACATGTGGTGAGTTTCATGGTTGTTTACAGTCACCAAGAAGTGAATATACAATCATAGAAACTCTCTCTGCCATCCCAAGATGAAGGTTAATGTCTTCCTCTTATAGCAGACAAGGAGCTCCAGCACCTGTGGGACCTCAGAAGCAGAATTAAGTTAGAGGAGCTTGAAAGGGAAATACTAAATAGGTCCTGGAATCCCAAAGCCTGCCCTTGTCTATCTTCAAAGGCTAACCATGAATTTTGAAATCAGTTGTTTCTGAGTTGGCTAACTTTGAAAGTTTCTGGAGCTCTTCCTACCAGCCCACCCCCAAACATCAAGTTACCATTTCATAATCAACAAATGAATCCCAATTACATCCCATTAGGAAATTTATAGTTTCAACAAAGGGCAATCATTACCTGTAATGGGCAAAAGATACAATGATCACAAAATAGGCCAAGTCACCTTTTCCTTCCTCCCCACCCACAAGAGAGAAGCCAAAGGGTATCAGCTGTGCTTTACTGGCTAGCCACTTAGCAAAAAGTACGTAGAAGTCCTTTGTGGATTACAAAGGACAGTGTAAGCCCATTTGTGTCTTTCCTCTAATTTATAGTTCCAGGAAAAGATTATAAAAACAAAAAAACAAAAAAATATTGTTTACATTGCTCAGGGGACCCGCTGAGACATGGCTTGCCAGGTCCCAGTCCCTCCCAAATGCCACAGCCATTGGGAGTCCACAGGGTCTGCTTCGAGATCTGCACAGCAGACTCTGCCCAGAAAGACCACAAATGAACCCTCACTGAGTTACTACCTCCAGCTGCCCTAAGAATGACAATAAACCTGCCTTACAGAAGGAAGCAGCCACCAGGGTCCTGTGCCAAGCATCAGGAAAGCATTTGGGTTCTTAGAGGTTGCCATGAATGCTGGCCCTTCCAGCAGGGAGGCAGCCAAACTGGTTTGGTAGCAGGCCATTACCATGGGCCTGATCTCCCCCAATGAGGGAGTGCAAAATACATGAGGATTCTGACTTTCCAAACCCTATCCTCAAGTAATGGTGTCATTATTACAGAAACATAGACTTGTGATTTAAAACGTAATGTTTTCTTCTGTCAGGAATTAAGATTGAATACATGTCAGATTAATAAATTGGATTCTTCTGTGCCCGTGATTTATAAAATTTCTTCCATAAAGCCTGAGCATCCGTGGAGAAGACCAGGAGAGATAAGGGAGGAGAAGAGAAAGCAAGTTTCTGTCCCTCTGCCCTTGCCTGAGCTAGAACAGAATCACATGAAAGATGGACATTTCGTTCACTGTTTCAGTTTGGCAGTTACTCAATAAGAAATAGAATTCATTGTTCTGGCCTCTTGGGGTGGTAAGAGAGGGAGCCCTACTAGATTGGTATTGTAATTAGTTTCAAGTCCCAAGACTTCTGTACACGGTCAATAGTGACAATGCTTCTTCACAAACCACATAGGATCCTGGAAACGGTACTCGCAGAAAGCTGGCTATGATTTACTTACGACTTACACTATATGTCAGGTGCTGTGCTATGCATTATTCATACTTGATTTCATTTAATCCTCAAACAATTCTTACAAGGAAGATATTATTAACTCCATTACATAAATGGGAAAACTGAGGCCCAGAGAGCTTAGTGACTTTTCCAGAGTCATACAACAGTTCTCCTGGGCTCCTCAATGAGGCACTTGGGCTTTGCAGCAAGTAGATCTGAGTTTGCATCTTGACTCCACGACTTACTGCATGAATGACCTTCAGCAAGTCTTTGCCACCTCTGAGTCTCAGTTTTCACATTAGTAAAATGAGGAGCCCTTTCCAAACTTAAAAACTCTTTGATGTTCAACCTGACTATATAGTCAAAGCAGTTAAACAAAAAGGCAAACATGTGAGCTGTCCTGCTTATAAAAGCAATGCAGCGTTGCCAACAAGATTAAGAAAACAATGCATGATCTTATTTTAATATTTCTATCATCCTCTGAAGCCAATATATAAGAAAAGACTAGGATTGGGCATAGACAAGATCCTTGCCTACAGGTTGCAAAACTTGGGGAGAGTTACCACAAATAGCATGGTGAATGAGTTAGTGCTAATGAGTGTGGTACAGACTCCGGGAGACATACTGGCATTCAGAAAGATACGTGGGGTCAGGAATCATTGGGGAAGTTTCAAGAAGAGGTTGAGACATTGCAGAATATGTAGGTTGACTAGCTGTGGGGAGAGGCAGGAGCTGGGTGGAAGACTGAAGAAAGCAGATTGCACCCTAACATGAGGCCACTCTGTTTGATTTGTGCAGACAAGCCCACAGGGTATGGCTCCAGCAGTCGGAGGGCGCCTCAGACAGGCATCGTGGATGAGTGCTGCTTCCGGAGCTGTGATCTAAGGAGGCTGGAGATGTATTGCGCACCCCTCAAGCCTGCCAAGTCAGCTCGCTCTGTCCGTGCCCAGCGCCACACCGACATGCCCAAGACCCAGAAGGTAAGCCCACCTGGGTGGGATCCAGCCATCCTCAAGTGGTCTCTCTCTTGTGCATGTGGGTGGGCCAAGCAGAAATCCTGCCCCATAGTCTCCTGGCTTACAAGTCAGAAAAGCTCCTTTGCACCAAAGGGATGGATTACATCCCCATCTCTTTGGTCACTCTGCATTGCAAATTTCCCCTCCCACCGCTATGGACGATGTGATGATTGGAAGATGTTACAAAACAGTGGCTAAACAAACATGGGCTTTGGTGTCAGACAAAAGTGAAGTCCTGGCTTTCTCACACACCAGCTTAGAGCCCTTGGCAAATAATGTGATGTACCCAAGCCTCAGTTTCATCAGTAACATTGGGATAATAATAATATCTACCACATCAGTTTGTTGTCAAAATTAAGTAGCTCATGCATATACTTTGAGATGCTTTTCACATGCCTGCATAAAGTAATTGTTGGACCATCGTTAATGTCTGCCATAATTGCACTTAATAACAAAGCTTGTAACCTTTCAAGTTCTGAGATTCTACAATCTTCCAAAGAAAATAAAAGGCTAATGGGAACTATTCAAAATTCATATTCAGTAGCAAGCATAATTAAACATGAAACATTAAAAATAGAAATTTCTGTTTGGCTATAAGAATGCCTAGACATTTGTAATGATCAAAATCTGCAGGCATCATTTTCTAAGAGCTAGACTGTAAACAAACCTCAGAGGTACCAACTATGCCATCAGTAGTACATAAAACATCTGATGCACATTTAGTCACTTGATCGATTTCTCTTGAATGAGTGAACGAATGAACAAATGAATATAAGAGATTAAAATTTTAGCCATTAAGTAGAAAGAATAAGAACTAAAGAGAAGGTAAAGGAGGAAAAAGAGAAGGCAAGGAAGTTGAGTAAGGGAAGAAATAGCTCTCGTTTAAGTATTTTGGGGACTCTGTTGAAAAAAGAAATGCCAACATGTGGTTTTAATCTTTGGAGCTAGAACTAATAATATTGTGCAAAAGCACAAGATGAGAGATCAAGAAGTTCACCATGACACCTTCGCTGCTTCCTGGTCTTAAACCTCAGCTGAGGCTGGAAGAGGACCATGGTGGCTTATTGGAGATGTGACCCCAGGGAGCCCCTCTGAAGGATGGAAGGGGACTGGGCAAGACCCAACACACACAGAACACAGTAGCCACTGGCCAGGCAGGAAGCAAGGATCTCAGAAAAGACTTTTAGGTGAATGTGGCAGGAAAGCGTGCTTGCTGGGGCAAAGGCAGATTCATTCTTTCTCTTCCCAGGTGACCCAGCGCCTCTTGGTTTCTAACTGGGGAGGGGGTAGGTGTCAAGAGATGAGTCCCAAAGTTCTGGAATGGTGGGTCTTGTGACTGAGGTCTAGACCCCTCTCCAGCATGAGTGCTGTCTCCTGCATCATATGGAGCCTGGGCATTCTGAGCTCATTCAAAGGGACACCATGGGAACCACTTGTTCTCAATGCAATTATTTTTGTGATGTTTACAGTATCAGCCCCCATCTACCAACAAGAACACGAAGTCTCAGAGAAGGAAAGGTTGGCCAAAGACACATCCAGGAGGGGAACAGAAGGAGGGGACAGAAGCAAGTCTGCAGATCAGAGGAAAGAAGAAAGAGCAGAGGAGGGAGATTGGAAGTAGAAATGCTGAATGCAGAGGCAAAAAAGGAAAATGAAGGACAGGAGGATTAAACAGACAGAGGCAAGGATGATGAGAGAGGAGCAGACAGCAAGAATGAAAAGCAGAAAATACAATAGAGGAAATGAAGAAAAGTAGGCCTGCTGGAGCTAGATGATGATGTGATGGAAATAGAAGTAACCTTTTAGAGAATCTCGCTAAGAAACATGGAGAAAACGGAAAAGAAAAATGTAATGCCCTAGAAAGCGCAAAGAAAGACAGTGGCAAAAATGAAAAAAAAAAATAAAAATTATAAAAGAGGCAAAAAAAGACACACTATTCTCTGCCTCTAAAACACAATTAAATAAAAGAATTTAAATAAAAATTAAGGCTTCTATATGCATTTTTAAATTTTGTATGAATCTGTTATGGAAGAATTGCCTATGTCAATATATGTTCAGAGTTAAATATTAGCCCCAAATGCTCAGCAAGACTGAATTGTGTCATAGAAGTTCCCAGATTCCCTTTTCCCGCAATGTCATTGGAGGCTGCATTTCTTAGTCAAGTCCAGGGTTTAGGCCAAAGGGCATCCGGTATTGCCTAAAACCCTGTGAGGTCTGTGAGGTAACTTTTGAGAAGAGGTCACTGCACTCTTCATCTTTTTTGCACTTTGGAATCAGATATAAAAGATGTATAAGTTTGCTAGGGCTGCCATAACAAAGTATCATAGGCTAGGTAGTTTAAACCACAGAAATTGATTTTTTCATAGTTCTGGGAGTTGAAAGTCCAAAATCAAAGTATCAGCCCTTGCAAGGGCCTTAGAGAAGGCTCTGTCATGGGCTCCTCCCCTCGGCTTGTAGGTGGCCTCCTTCTTCTCCCCCTGTGTCTTCACTTCATCTTCCCTCCATACATATCTCTGTGTCTAAACATCCTCTGTGTGAAACAACACCAGCCAGGTTGGATTTGGGCCCACCCCACTGACCTCATTTTAACTTAATTATCTCTGTAAAGACTCTGTCTCCAAATACAGTCATATTTTGACGTACTGGGAGTTAGGGCTTCAACACATGAATTTGGACACAATTCAGCCAGTGACAGAAGACTTCTGATCTCTGATGATAACCACTGCATTTTGATTACAGCTCCTAGAAAACACTCCCCTCCACCACCCCACCACAGATCTATTTTTATATCTGAAACCCTGAGTTTCTGCTCCATGAGAACCCCAGGAACATACTATGTTAGATCTGGAAGAAGCCTCAGAAATCCCCTTATTTTGAAGACTAGGACACTGAGATCCAGAAGTGGGTAAAGATGTGCTTGGGTTCTAAGCTGCTCTTCTTTTGGCCAGGAGACAACAGCACATAATCAAAGTGGGTCAACTAAGAAAGAATTCCAGAAGGAAAAGAGAGGGCAGAAATGAAGGGAGAGAATGAGAGCAAAAGTGCTGGATTTCCCTGAGGGTGAAGAAAAGTTAAATAGAATCACAGAATTCAGATTTTAGAGATCTTCTCCTTCAGATCCCTTGGTTTAATCAGTAGGATTGGGGTCTTCATAGATAATAAAGCAAAAACTCTCGCCATCCTCCAAGTTGTGAATTAGAAGAGCTGAGAAAGGGTACAAGACGGAAGTTCTCTACCAAACAAATGGTGACATTTTGGGGTAAGAATATGACTAACCCAGAAGTGAAGCATTTCATCCAAGTAGTCTATTTTGAAGATGTCATGGTATAAAGGAACCTCCTTTCTGCCTGGTCCTCCATGCCTCTGCCATGCTTTTTACTCCAGGATCACCCTTTCTAGTGGTTCACTGAAAACCCAGGATTACTTAAATATGATGGACATGTTCACGGCTCAATCCAGGAGGAAAAGGTCGAACTGAAAGCATGCCAAAGCCCCACATGGGAGCCAAGCCACTGCTGCTGTGGTTGCAAAGTGGATCCTGGCTTATCAGAGCAGAGAGAAGCCAGGCTCGTGCCTTAGCCCAAGTGGCCAGTCACCTTATTCAGGAGATACTAAGTTCTCCAGCTAAGACATCCATGCTTTGGGACCAGCTGCAGACAGAAGCCAATTCCTACTACAACCATCACCTTAGAGTAGCATATAGACACAGATGGCTCTTCAAAGGACCACAGTTCCATGGAATAACTAAGAATTCATGTCCTGTGGAAAGGTTTGAATAAACTATAATTATACCCAATCATAAATTTCATTCAAGAAGAACTAAAGCAAAGGCAAAGACAGAGAGAAGAAGGAAGGAAGGAGGGAGGGAGGGAGGGAAGGAAGGAAGGAAGGAAGGAAGGAAGGAAGGAAGGAAGGAAGGAAGGAAGGAAAGGGAAGGAAGAACAAAAAGACTTTCTAGTTAAAGAATGCTTAACTAGCAAACTATGTACTATAAGACAGTTCTTTTCGGAATGAGTTTTATCAACTCTAAAGCAATTATCTTGAATGCCTACATGTGATTACTGAATAATATGAACCAAGAAAACAGAAAGAATCTATATTATCTTTCCATTTCCTTCTTTCCAGTATCAATACCCAAGCCTCTAGTGATACATGGCATATAATGTTGGATGGATGGATGGATGGATGGATGGATGGATGGATGGATGGATGGATGAATGGATGGTTGGATGGACAAATGAGTAACATAGGCTGATGAATAGTGGTAGAAAGACACACCATAAAAACAAGTGGCACTTCTGAGATGAAATGATTCCTATTCTCCTACACAAGACAGTGAGGCAAGTACAGAGTAAAAAAGGAAAGGCATAGGAGCTATGCTTATACAAGTATTGTATGTTTGGAATTTCCTTCGCTGGCCAAATTGAAATTGTTCAAGGACCTATTGCTACAGGTGGCAACTGGCTAAGAATTTCATAGTGAATATTATACACCTATTACTCCCCTTAATGTTTCTTTGAAGTAAGCAGAATATTAATAATCATTTAAAATTCCAGTGTTTCAACTTCAATTGTTTCCTAGGGCAAATTGATAATTGTGTGTAAAACTAATTGGAATATGTATGGAATAATCATCCTGAAATAAAATTGGTGAAAAGTATTTGTTATTGGGCATCTACAATGTGCAAACCTCTGTACTAGGCATGAACAAGAGTTATAAGCATTGGAGAGGCTAAAATATAGTCCTTAAGGCTGGGCACAGTGGCTCATGCCTGTAATCCTAGCACTTTGGGAGGCCAAGGCGGGCAGATTGCCTGAGCTCAGGAGTTCAAGACCAGCCTGGGCAACATAGCGAAACCCCATCTCTACTAAAAATACAAAAAAATTACCTGGGCATGGTGGCACGCACCTGTAATCCCAGCTACTCAGGAGGCTGAGGCATGAGAATTCCTTGAACCTGGGAGGCAGAGGTTGCAGCGAGCCGAGATCCTGCCGCTGCATCCCAGCTTGGGTGACAGAGTGAGACTCTGTCTCAAAAAAAAATTAAATAATAAATAAATAGTAAAATACAGTCATTAAGAGTACAAAATGTAGATTCAGACTACCTGGGTTCAAATCTTGGCTCTTACTTGCATTGTGGCTTTGGGCAGATCATGTAACTTATGTGTGCCTCAGTTTCCTCATCTGTTAAATAGGGGCAACAACTGAATCTACCTTATTCAGTTGTTGTGAGGGTTTATTGAGATTGTGTGTGTGTATGTGTGTGAGTGTAGTGTGTGCATGTGTGTGTCTGTGCAAGGAGTGGGAGGTGTATATTCAGAGACACATATTACAGCACTTAAAATGGTATCTAGCACTTAGTAAGCATTATTCAAGTTTTAGTTAACATTATTTTACTTACCTCTGAAAATTGGAGCTATGTGAAAAAGAAGTTGGTCTCCTGAAGTAGAAGCCAGTCTTGTGTCACCAAAAACTTCAAGCCCAAGCTTGCCAACGCTTTTCCATGATGTGGTAGTAGAGTTTCAAGCATGTGGTAGGATAAGAGAACTCAATGACCTAAGAACCATTCCAACCCAGAGAACCCCTGGTTCTATGAATAATTCCAACTTAAATAGGTAGCTTGGCTCTCCCAAGTGAGAGCCATTGCTTCTGTTTCCGGGTCATATAATGAACTTTCAGAAAACCACCATTTTTCTCAACCAGTTAAAATTAAGTGTAATACGTGCTTTCATTTCATGGTGCCTGGGGAAAATTTAATTGTAGTATGAACTCCAGTTATTGGTAGTCTTAAGTAAAATTGCCAAAATAAATAGAAATGCAGGATATTTCTGGGCTCACACAGCTTCCGGGACACTTTAGTTTCTTGGGCTGCCAATCCAGTGCCTTTCACAAGCATTTGATCTTTTTTCAAACATCTCTTGAAAACAAACAAAACCTCACACAGCTTCTAATGTGTGCACTGTTCGAATGTAAGGGTGGAAAAGGAGGCAAAGAAATGAGCTCCCAAAGAGCAATTCCCCTTCTCTCGCCTCCATCCCTTGACGACCTCCCTCCCACTAAAGGGAAACATTGTTTTCTTAGGTAATAAATTCTGCAATTTCTCAAGTCCATTAACATCCACTGGGCAAGATGAGATCTATTCTTTTTATTTGCCCATAGGAAAAGAATAGTGCTTTTTTGCAATATTCACTAGATAACACAGAGTTGACTTTTAATCCAAGGGCAACATTGATAGTCTCTAGTTAAAGGGGAAGCCTTCAGGAGCAATGAAAAGATTAATAGTTTTAGATGAAGCAGAATCCAAATCCCTTTTTATGAGTTTTGAAATATCCAGTTTGTATGCTCACCTCAATACTTAAAGCCCAGTTACTGATTCCTTTGGCCTAAGCAAGACAGGTCAATTTTTAAAGAGGGAGTAGCTGAGGTTAGCAAAAATTCTCCAGGTCCACAAAACTTCCAGACCTGCAAGGTGAAAATCAGCTTTTCTGTCATCCCTAAAGGCCTAACTGGAATCAGAACTTTTCCCTGATGCCCACATATTTGGAGGTCCTTTTTTAATGGGACTCCTTAATGCCTTTAGTGCCATCCCATTTTCATCCAGTGTCCAAAAGAAATGATTTAAAAATATAAACGTATGTTTAAATTCCAGAAGAGAGAAATGGAGATTGAGAACAATAGGGAAATGATGAGAGCTATGGGAAAAGAGGTTTATGAGTCCATGTCTGATTCTTCCAGAGAGCCCCTAAGAAAGTTCTTATCATACCAGGAACTCAATTATAACTTTCATTGCCTATTGTTAGATGAGTAACAGGAGCTAGAAAACATTTTGGAAATTCCCATCTTTATTTTTTTAACTAATATGATTATAGTTTTAAGAACCATTGGTCAAGAAGCTAACTTTTTAAAAAGTGGAAGTATGATGGTTAGAAATAAGAATGCTAAAGGTGCATCAAGCTGATTTTAATTCTAAATGTCCTTGGCAGCAATTTAGAATCTGTAATAAACTACACCAAACAGTTTTGAGGGGAAGGGGATTAGTTTCTCCCCTTCCTTCGTGTGTGTGTGTGCGCGTGTGTGTGTGTGCACCTTTGTGTTCTAGCATTGTTGCACCCATTACAGAGCTGGGGGGAACTATTTTCCAAAATTATAGGTGAGAACAGTTTCTTGGATTGTCTTTCAGTGAAGGTAAATTCCTCTGTAAAAACTAACCATCATTCAGTAAAAACTGCAGGATTCCTTTGTCTTCTCAAAAGCCTGTTTCTCATCCTAAATTAAAAATTATTCAGGAAATAGAGAGGACATTATTGGAGGGGTGGAAATAAGTTGGTTTTCTTTTTATTGTATCTTTTGAGGATCCAGGGACTTCTACCATTTCCCATCTAACATACAGAGAAGGATTCTCTAGGTCCCTGTCTATAGACTGCAGTAACTTTCCTATAGAACCAATTTGCAATTTTAGAAATTTCTAGGTCTAATTATTGACCCATTACAACCAAAGGTCAATGCATCCAGCCAATCTTCCTTCTATCATCCCCTGCCCTTACTTCTATTAGGGACTGGGATTACAGGCAAAACCCATCAAATGCCTCTTCTACCACTTTCCCATTTCTTAACCATTAGCCTCTAACTTCCTCTATTCAGTTTCTCATATGCTTTCATGCCCATTGGGTCAGATAAAGGAACATTCATTTATTTGAGTAGGCATCTGTTATGATCACTCCGGAAAAAAGATGACAATGGGTTACCTTGTCCTCCTGGGCTTCTCTAACTGACATGGTCAAAATGCCCATATGAAGATAAGATGTTAAGAGCAAGATTTATGAAAAGCTGAGTATGATGGCAGCTCTTGTCTCATAAAATAACTCGAAAGTTCCCAGTGAAAGACCAAGAAATTTTACATCAAACCCAAACCGGCCAAATGGTCCAAGCTTCCAAGCTGGGATCCATGGCTAAAGTTTCTACAAAATTCTGGGTACAATGTATAAACATTCACTTGGGGCTTTCTGTCTAGCCAGCACCAAGAGGTCAAGTAATCAAGGACCAACTAGCCCTGCCATCTGTGAAAATATGTGCTATTTTCACGGCTTTAGTTCACAATTATGGCAAGACAAAAGTTCCAAATAATTAGGAGCAAGACCATGGCAGGTTGACGGTTGAGTAAGGTTCTCAATCAGCCGACAATTGTAGAGTTGGGGATGTGCAATGTTTATGTCATGGTGTAAGTATGTGGCATGCTTGACTAGCTTGTGAGGCACTGGAAGACTAGAAGGAATGAAAAATATGAATGAATCAATAAATGCATAGTATAATTACTGTTATTTTGTCAGTATTGTTTTACCTAGGTCACTATTGAATGCTCTGATTTGTCTCTTTATAAATAATAATATGTTTTCTTCTTCAAAAGAACACTAGGATGAAGGTAGAGGTGCTTTTGGCACAATGCCACAATTCTGATTTTTTTAAAACTGTATGCATGCATAAAATGTTCTTGAGCCATTCTCTGCCTTGGAATAGCACTGGCTGGCATTCTGCATGTTTACTTTTATATGCTGAAGGCCCCCATCAACCTCAAACAGAGGCAAATCAATTTAACTTCTCATAGTGTTATTTTGTTCATCCTAAAAGTTCAAGAGAGCCTTCCAAACTTCCAAAATTTCTCTCAATTCAGTGAGGAGGAAAATTCAGAACACAGCATTTGAATGTTCTGCCCAGATTTGTCACACACACAAGGAATGAGTGAAAGAGGGCAACACCCTTTCCTCCTAACCCTGTGAACTCATCACTATTGCATTGAAATGACACCAAAAGGTAAAAACCCTAGGCCTCACATCTCCCAAGAACACTGCAATAGGAGTTACTGCATACACCAGTTTAAGTAACTCTAGCATAAATTGTATGTCAGATGAAACAATGGCATTTTGGAGGCTTAAGAGAAAAAGAATAATCAAATCCAGTTTTTAGGTACTAATGTGCTGAATCTTTAGCACATAGCAGCAAAATTGCTAGAATCTGGTGTTTCACTTTTTAAAATACCACATTTGAACCTTTCAGCAATTCCAAAATCAACTCCCTCTGCGAAAGATAATAAGCTTAAACATTTTTTAAATTTAAAAATGTAACACAAACAAACAGCTAAGCAAACAAGCTGCCCATAAAATCAACAGTCTGGGGAGCCCTGATCCTGAAGTATTTTACAACATCCTTCATGACTATTAAAGGCAACATAAACACCTCTTGTCAGCAAGGGAAACTACCCTTGGCATTTTTTTTTCTTTGTTCCCCAGGCTTTTAAACCATTTTGATAGAGATTTTTTACATCACAGGCAGAAATATTTGAAATAGAGTCAGGTGGTAGTCTTTAAAAGAGTAAGAAAGTTGCTAAGTCAAGATAATCTTGGAATAAAGTCCTCTGATTCCTGGGGATTCCTAGGGATGCCCCAGTCACTAGAAAACAGAGCTGTAAGTCCACTCTCCCAGCACTCAACGGAGCTCCGGAAACCAAGGAGCTAGCTACTGTTTCCCCACATTCAGCCAGAGAAAGGGCAGCACTCTAGCATGCAAACTGCTTTGACAATAGTAACAATTAAAAAGTAAATTAAAAAGAATCATAATAGCTGATATTGATTAGGTACTTGCCCTGTGGCAAGAGCTATAGGGAATCACCTCATTTAATCTTCACATGAAGCTTGCAGAGTGAGTACCACAATTATCACTATTGTATAGACAGGAAAACTCAGGCTGAGTATGGCTAAGTGTCTTGCCAACGTCTTGGGCTAACAAGCGGTCAAGCAGAATCCAAACCCGAGATAGATAGACCACAGTGTGCTAATCAAGCACTGCACTCTCTCCTGCATTTCTTAGTTGATATTTACCATATACAATCTGTCACTTGTATGAGATGGCAGGGGGTTCTGTGCTATTTGTCCTTGTAGAGAATACCACAGGAAGAAAGTAAGCAGCCATGCAATATTTGCTGTTGACCTGAACTCCATTCCATCATTCCTGCAGGAAATTCGCATCCATTAAATGAGCATTTCCTGGTTTGCCACTTTGCTCAAACACTTTGCTTGGATCTGGAGAGGATATAGAAGTGAAGGAAATATGCTACCTGCTCTCAAGGAACTTATGTTTTAGTGGAGAGACAAACATGCAGAATTTACTCTACAGAACATCAATGCTTGAGCAAATGTAGACCCAGAGAGGGCTCTTACAGCACACAAGCCAGAACAGACTGATGGTGCTAACAATTAGGTTCAAGGTTTTTCTAAACAGTAGACTCTCCTGCATACAACTATACCGCATGCCAGGTAAATGACTGAGGGTTATTACATCCAATTATAACACCACTGTGATGTAGGTGCTCTTACCCCACACTTTCATTTTACAGAAGAGGAAATTGAGGACAGCACAATGTAGTGATTATCAAAGGTCACACGACTACTGTGTGGGAGAGCTAGGATTTAAACCAGATGCATAAGATGAGGTCCTCCAAGAAACAGAAGATGAGAAGGTGTTAAATGAGCAGGGGTTTTATTAGGGGGAATTAATGTGTGAACAGAAATAGGGGAGGATAGGCAAAGCCATCAGATTGCAAGGCAAGCCTAACCCCAAGGGAAGGAGAGAGAGAGAGTAGATTGGTTGGAAACATTTTTGGTGGGTCTATGGTCTAAGGAAAGTTCAGCAAAGTCATCATGGAGTTTTTGAGCCAAAGTTGGGCAATACAGTTGCCCAACAAATTTCTGTGTTTCTCAGAAATAGGTCTGCCTCAATGTCCCCACCATACTTGGTCACTGGCTCTTGGGAGGGGCCTGCCCTGTTCCAATCCACTAGAGCCAAAGAAGAGCCGTTGTACTGGCAGGGGGTGGGGGAATTCCTACAACCACATAAAAAGTGGGGTGAGGTTTCCAGAAAAAAACGTGATGCTGGGCTAACCAAAACTGTGTCCAGTAAGTACATATCCCTCACTCTGTTAAAGAAGCAGCCACATAAACAAGGAGTACACGTTTCTCAAAATGTGCACCTTGTTCTTTGGTTTTGAAGTCACATCCCAAAGTGCTGAGTAGATCGCATGACCCTCGCTTTGCCTGGCTGCCAGAGAGGAAAGGCTGATCCAACTCTCCTGGAATTTGAACTTGTGATTCCCTGAAGTAAAGAGATATCAAAGTTGATACTGAGACATCTAAATCATCCTCCACCATTTCACATGTCCCCAGGCCAAGCCAGCAAAATTGCTATAGCACATCCCTTTCAACAGGTAAAGGGCTGATATCTGAGCCCTCTTTCCAATCATCCACTGCTCTTTTCTTCTCATTTTGCCCTTTTTGGGAGCAGGTCAATGCTGAGTTAGTACTTTATGCTGTACAATAAGCTGCTGATATTCCATGCTGGACAGAATTTTCCCAGTATTTTTTATAGAGTGCCAGGCTTTTCCTAGACTTCATGTCATACAATACTTAACTTGTTTGGAGTGGGTGGAGATGGAAACATAGTCTATTGAAAACATCACTGCTTCCTCCCTGAAGTTTAAAGAGCCTATTTTTATCCTTTTAGATTCTATCTCTCAGGCAAAATCTCATAAAGATAAGTGGGGAGGAAAAAAAGGGGGTTATAATACCTAGGGAGTTTGCTTTTGCTAATTGAATACTGTGCTCCTAGACTTCTATAAATACCATTACAAATGGGTCCCAGCTTGTGGTAATACTCACCCTCCTCATTGAGTCTTCTGTCCCATGGCACAGCCTTTCCCTCCAAACTAGCATCTACCCCCATCTGGAAGCATGGGCAGCTCATGATATTATCAACTATTGCTATTGGAAAGTGATTTGGACTTGAAAGCACTAGATATTTTTTACCTCTTGGGGAGGCAGTTTAGCAGAGTGGTTAACTGGTGAGCTCCAGAATCAGAAGGAATAGGTCCAAATTCCAACCACTATTACATCTCCATCATAAGAAATTAGGCAAGTTGTTTATCCTAAGTTTCAGATTCCTTAAAGATAAAACAGTCAAGACAGTAGTACTTATCCCTGAGAGAAGTATAGGAAACAAGAAAATATATGCAATTTACATACATACTACAATCCCCAGCACATGACAAATGTTCAAGTAATGGGAACTGTTATTATTTTAGCCCTTTGTCTATCAGTTTGTTCCTCTGTGACCTCAAGCACATTACTAAATGTTAGCGAGCTTCAGCTTGTACGTGGGACTGACAGGAATAACACCGCATCACCTCATGTGGTGATTGTAAGGATTCAGTGATATTATTTTGTAAACTGTAAAGCCTTTGCAAATGTTAAGCAAGATTATTATTATTGCCGTTGTTATTAGTCCTCAGTGATCTTTTTTTTTTTTTTTTTTTTTTTTTTTTTTTTTTTTTTTTGGAGACAGAGTTTTACTCTGTCGCCAAGGCTGGAATGCAGTGGCACAATCTCAGCTCACTGCAACCTCCGCCTCCTGGGTTCAAGCAATTTTCCTGCCTCAGCCTCCTGAGTAGCTGAAACTACAGGCACACGCCACCACACCAGGCTAATTTTTTGTATTTTTAGTAGAGACGGGGTTTCACCATGTTGGCCAGGCTGGTCTCCAGCTCCTGACCTCAAGTGATCTGCCCACCTCGGCCTCCCAAAGTGCTGGGATTACAGGTGTGAGCCACCACACCTGGCACAGTAATCTTAATTGAAAAGTCTGTGGATAGCTTTCCAAAGGAAAGCTTGGAGCTTGGATAAGAACCAAGAGATAATGGGAGAAGGTGAATGGCCTCTTCAGGGCCTTTTCTAGCACCCTAAATATGCGTGTCTGTCCATAATGGGTAATCATATATATCACAAATCAAACCCTCCACAAACTTATTTCCTAATGTGTTTGTTAACCTTTCCTTCTAAAGGGTAAACTTCTTTAACCAACCCCAGTGAGCTGGAGGATCAATGTTTTCTTAATAGTCTTACCTTCGTTGGTGTCAATAGGAAACAGTATTTACTCACTACTGTTTTCCTTTTAAAAATCTGTCTAGTTGCATACTAGAAACAGTTTCAGCTGGTTTGTTTGTATTGGACAAGCTGCTGAAGTGAAAAGTTTTTGCTTGACTGAATGTGAGACAGTTTCATAACTCTTCAAGAAGTGCACCAAAGGTGGGTGCCAGCTCTGATGACGGCTGCTTCTAACATGCCTCCACTTGCCGCCCATTGTCAAGGGTGGCTGGCGTAATTAAGTTAAGACAATGAGCAAAGCAACAGATGCAACTGAGACCTAGTCCCTGAGTGCTTTTGTTTTGTCACTGTCATTGTCTGCAACAAAGAAGTCACATGTGACAGCCTGGGAAGAGAGCCAAATGCAAACCAGACGATATCCCAGCTGGTTTGAATGGCCTCCACCGTGCACGTGTGTGCATGGGAATCATGCTACTTGGTACAGCATCTGCTTCACTCAAGTGAGTTTCAGCCCATGGCTTTGCTGTGATGCTGAGACAGACCCAGAAGAAACAGACCAGGGAATCCCTCCGCTCAGACTTTACACTTTATACCTTGTGCTTTGAGAGAAAAGAAAAAGAATCTCTCTATTGGAGACAAAAAATAGGATGTATGTGGTTGGTCAATCTAACCTCAATTCTTTTTGCTATAGCCCCCCGCTAATTTAAAGAGTGAAGCATAGATGGTATCTTAATGTTTTCTTGTAGAAATTTGGGATTAATTTGGCTTGAGAGGAAGAATGGAGATTAAACGCTTTATGAGGCTTTCTTTTAATTTGTTCCCATTTCATTCCTGAATATTTTCTTAGTTTGGGCATTGCAGATGTTTAAAGAACTTCTTATTTTGAGCTGGTATGCCTCTTAAACAGAAAAACAAAAGGTAAAATTCAAATTAGTGTGTTTCTCCGCCTGTTAATTAATTTGGTTAGTAGTTAGGCAGAGAGATGGCATCCTTAATAATATCTATTTTGCGGGTTTGATCAGCTACAGACCATCAACAGTGTTGATTGAGAATTGAACAAAAACATTTCAAGGAGTTTGGGAACATTAGGGATGCTATTCTGTGGCCCCATGTGTCCTTCTCTCATTTTTCTAGAGAACTCCTATAAGAAAGCAGAACACGGCCAGGCATGATGGCTCATGCCTGTAATCCCAGCACTTCAGGAGGCTGAGGCAGGCAGATCACCTGAGGTCAGGAGTTCAAGACCAGCCTGGCCAACATGGTGAAACCCTATCTCTATTAAAAATACAAAAAATTAGCTGGGCATGATGGCGCGTGCCTGTAATCCCAGCTACTTGGGAGGCTGAGGCAGGAGAATCACTTGAACTGGGAGGCAAAGGTTGCAGTGAGCCTAGATCACACCACTGCACTCCAGCCTGGGTGACAGAGTGAGACTCCAACTCAAAAAAAAGAAAGAAAGAAAGAAAGAAAGCAGAACCCAATGGAAGATTAAGAACACACATTTAGCTTACGCCTGTAATACCAGCACTTTGGGAGGCCAAGGCGGGTGGATCACAAGGTCAGAAGTTCGAGACCAACCTGGCCAATATGGTGAAACCCCATCTCTACTAAAAAGTACAAAAATTAGCCATGCATGGTGGCAGGCGTCTGTAATCCCAGCTACTACAGAGGCTGAGGCAGGAGAATCACTTGAACCCGGGAGGCAGAGGTTGCAGTGAGCTGAGAACGCGCCACTGCACTCCAGCCTGGGTGACAGAGCGAGACTCCATCTCAAAAAAAAAAAACAACAAAAAAAAACAAAACACAAGTTTACTGGGAACTTAGCAGTAGATGCTTTGCACCACAACAAATGTATCTTAAGTGGTCTTTTGTGATATTTGAGGGAAAGTGCCAGAATTTAAAACAAATGGCATTTCAAGTTATTCTATACAAATGCCCAGTTTCTTTCTACCATCTTTTTTTCCTTTTTGCAGTGGTCACTGAGCTATTTTAGTGAATGTTTTTACACAATGATGCCATCTTCCTTCTACTCAGTCAGTACAAGATGTTGACCATCGACTCATAAAACACTAGCTACCTTTCATGAAGGACTTGGTGATAACTCTCATGTTCCAAGTAGAACCGGAAAACATGTGTAAGAAAACCTGCCGATCCCTATGGGCCTTGGCCAATAGGTATTATTCCCAAGGGGTGGCAGTTTATCTTTTTCCCCAGCCTTCATATTAAAACCTCTCACCTTCTCCAGGTCTCAGGTCTGTGTAATCTCAAATGTGCTTTAGCTCCTCACAATATTGTAACTGTGTGGGTGTTCATTACCTTAGCCAGAAGACAGTTTACAGATTCCAGGTCTCATGGAGAGAACTTTTGTTTTTGGTTATGAACCTCACTGTATACCAATAATTATCCATTACATCCTTCTGTAGAGGGCTCTCTGGCTAGAGATAAAACCAAAAAAAGAAGTACCTCAGGTTTATGCATATAAATGCCAGTTCCTCCTTGATTTTATTTCAAAACTCCTGTCTACATACTTTGCAATTTAAATACATTCAAGGATAAAGTAATAACTGTAGGAAAAGTATTATAATATAATGACTTAGTTCTGCACATCACAAGGGGGTCCCTCATACTCATTCATTCATTTCACTCATTTTACAGATATTTATTGAGCACCTGCAATAACCTGCACACTGCTCTAGACACTGGGACTATAACAGTAAACAGACAGATACATCTCTGGTCTCACAGGGCTTCTATTCTAAGCAAAACTCAATATCCAGGCCGGGTGCAGTGGCTCATGCCTGGAATGCCAGCACTTTGGGAGACCAAGGCCAGGCAGATCACCTGAGCCCACTAGTTGAAGACCAGCCTGGGCAATATAGCAAAACCCCGTCTCTACAAAAAAAAAAAAAAAAAAAAAAAAAAAATTGTCAAGGCATGGTGGCATGCGCCTGTGGTCCCAGCTACTTAGGAGGCTGAGGCAGGAGGATTGTGTAAGCCTGGGAGGCAGAGGTTGCAGTGACCTGAGATGGCACCACCACACTCCAGCCTGGGCAACAGAGTGAGACCCTGTCCAAAAAAAAAAAACCCTCACTATCCTTAAGATAACATCATTGCTTGTTGATGAGTGAATGTTAACACCAAATTAGGAACCCAGGACTTTTAGTCTTGGCATGGTTACTTTCCAATAAAGATGACAATACTAAGAAGAGAAAAATGATTTAATAATGATAATAGTGGCTAATACTTATGTAGTGCTTACCATGTGCCAGGTCTATTGTAAGTACTTTTATATATATTAATTATTTAATCTTTGATCCTATAAGGTAGATATTATTGTTACCCTAGTTTATAGATGAAGAAACGGAAACACAAGAGATTGCCACTCATACAAGTTTACACAGCCAGAAAATAGAAAAGCTACGAGTTGAGCTCAGCCCAGTATGTCTATGATTTTACAGACTCAAAATTAATTATAAGATTTCCTAATCTTCGATTTCTGAAACTCTGCCTTGCTCTAGAGGAAAACAAGAAAAACAATGAAAAATAAATGTCTCTTTTTTACAAAAATTAAAACAGAACAAACTGCAATAAAACAACAGAGGATGAATCCAGAATGTGATTGATTTTTTTTCTTACTAGGAAAGGATCTAGAGGCCAGAAGGCTGGATTTTTCAGGATCTCCTTTCAATCAATGAATCTGTGATAGAAGCAGATGAATCAAATCTCATCTTTGTGTGATTATAAAGCTGTCTGTGGTATTCACGCCACCAGGGGTACATAGAAGATGCCTGAGTGAGGTTTGGCAAAAGTACTAAGGGCCTGTCCACCTATACATGCCCTTCTCAGGAAAACCAAGGTTCAAGCTCTCTATTAGCTCAACTGGTAAGGCGTAAGACATGGAAGGTTGAGGCCCAATGTTAGAAATAGATGGATACATAAAACTTCATCAAGTTAATGTCACTTTTTCTCCTTTATTTATAGGAAGTACATTTGAAGAACGCAAGTAGAGGGAGTGCAGGAAACAAGAACTACAGGATGTAGGAAGACCCTCCTGAGGAGTGAAGAGTGACATGCCACCGCAGGATCCTTTGCTCTGCACGAGTTACCTGTTAAACTTTGGAACACCTACCAAAAAATAAGTTTGATAACATTTAAAAGATGGGCGTTTCCCCCAATGAAATACACAAGTAAACATTCCAACATTGTCTTTAGGAGTGATTTGCACCTTGCAAAAATGGTCCTGGAGTTGGTAGATTGCTGTTGATCTTTTATCAATAATGTTCTATAGAAAAGAAAAAAAAAATATATATATATATATATCTTAGTCCCTGCCTCTCAAGAGCCACAAATGCATGGGTGTTGTATAGATCCAGTTGCACTAAATTCCTCTCTGAATCTTGGCTGCTGGAGCCATTCATTCAGCAACCTTGTCTAAGTGGTTTATGAATTGTTTCCTTATTTGCACTTCTTTCTACACAACTCGGGCTGTTTGTTTTACAGTGTCTGATAATCTTGTTAGTCTATACCCACCACCTCCCTTCATAACCTTTATATTTGCCGAATTTGGCCTCCTCAAAAGCAGCAGCAAGTCGTCAAGAAGCACACCAATTCTAACCCACAAGATTCCATCTGTGGCATTTGTACCAAATATAAGTTGGATGCATTTTATTTTAGACACAAAGCTTTATTTTTCCACATCATGCTTACAAAAAAGAATAATGCAAATAGTTGCAACTTTGAGGCCAATCATTTTTAGGCATATGTTTTAAACATAGAAAGTTTCTTCAACTCAAAAGAGTTCCTTCAAATGATGAGTTAATGTGCAACCTAATTAGTAACTTTCCTCTTTTTATTTTTTCCATATAGAGCACTATGTAAATTTAGCATATCAATTATACAGGATATATCAAACAGTATGTAAAACTCTGTTTTTTAGTATAATGGTGCTATTTTGTAGTTTGTTATATGAAAGAGTCTGGCCAAAACGGTAATACGTGAAAGCAAAACAATAGGGGAAGCCTGGAGCCAAAGATGACACAAGGGGAAGGGTACTGAAAACACCATCCATTTGGGAAAGAAGGCAAAGTCCCCCCAGTTATGCCTTCCAAGAGGAACTTCAGACACAAAAGTCCACTGATGCAAATTGGACTGGCGAGTCCAGAGAGGAAACTGTGGAATGGAAAAAGCAGAAGGCTAGGAATTTTAGCAGTCCTGGTTTCTTTTTCTCATGGAAGAAATGAACATCTGCCAGCTGTGTCATGGACTCACCACTGTGTGACCTTGGGCAAGTCACTTCACCTCTCTGTGCCTCAGTTTCCTCATCTGCAAAATGGGGGCAATATGTCATCTACCTACCTCAAAGGGGTGGTATAAGGTTTAAAAAGATAAAGATTCAGATTTTTTTTACCCTGGGTTGCTGTAAGGGTGCAACATCAGGGCGCTTGAGTTGCTGAGATGCAAGGAATTCTATAAATAACCCATTCATAGCATAGCTAGAGATTGGTGAATTGAATGCTCCTGACATCTCAGTTCTTGTCAGTGAAGCTATCCAAATAACTGGCCAACTAGTTGTTAAAAGCTAACAGCTCAATCTCTTAAAACACTTTTCAAAATATGTGGGAAGCATTTGATTTTCAATTTGATTTTGAATTCTGCATTTGGTTTTATGAATACAAAGATAAGTGAAAAGAGAGAAAGGAAAAGAAAAAGGAGAAAAACAAAGAGATTTCTACCAGTGAAAGGGGAATTAATTACTCTTTGTTAGCACTCACTGACTCTTCTATGCAGTTACTACATATCTAGTAAAACCTCGTTTAATACTATAAATAATATTCTATTCATTTTGAAAAACACAATGATTCCTTCTTTTCTAGGCAATATAAGGAAAGTGATCCAAAATTTGAAATATTAAAATAATATCTAATAAAAAGTCACAAAGTTATCTTCTTTAACAAACTTTACTCTTATTCTTAGCTGTATATACATTTTTTTAAAAGTTTGTTAAAATATGCTTGACTAGAGTTTCCAGTTGAAAGGCAAAAACTTCCATCACAACAAGAAATTTCCCATGCCTGCTCAGAAGGGTAGCCCCTAGCTCTCTGTGAATGTGTTTTATCCATTCAACTGAAAATTGGTATCAAGAAAGTCCACTGGTTAGTGTACTAGTCCATCATAGCCTAGAAAATGATCCCTATCTGCAGATCAAGATTTTCTCATTAGAACAATGAATTATCCAGCATTCAGATCTTTCTAGTCACCTTAGAACTTTTTGGTTAAAAGTACCCAGGCTTGATTATTTCATGCAAATTCTATATTTTACATTCTTGGAAAGTCTATATGAAAAACAAAAATAACATCTTCAGTTTTTCTCCCACTGGGTCACCTCAAGGATCAGAGGCCAGGAAAAAAAAAAAAAAGACTCCCTGGATCTCTGAATATATGCAAAAAGAAGGCCCCATTTAGTGGAGCCAGCAATCCTGTTCAGTCAACAAGTATTTTAACTCTCAGTCCAACATTATTTGAATTGAGCACCTCAAGCATGCTTAGCAATGTTCTAATCACTATGGACAGATGTAAAAGAAACTATACATCATTTTTGCCCTCTGCCTGTTTTCCAGACATACAGGTTCTGTGGAATAAGATACTGGACTCCTCTTCCCAAGATGGCACTTCTTTTTATTTCTTGTCCCCAGTGTGTACCTTTTAAAATTATTCCCTCTCAACAAAACTTTATAGGCAGTCTTCTGCAGACTTAACGTGTTTTCTGTCATAGTTAGATGTGATAATTCTAAGAGTGTCTATGACTTATTTCCTTCACTTAATTCTATCCACAGTCAAAAATCCCCCAAGGAGGAAAGCTGAAAGATGCACTGCCATATTATCTTTCTTAACTTTTTCCAACACATAATCCTCTCCAACTGGATTATAAATAAATTGAAAATAACTCATTATACCAATTCACTATTTTATTTTTTAATGAATTAAAACTAGAAAACAAATTGATGCAAACCCTGGAAGTCAGTTGATTACTATATACTACAGCAGAATGACTCAGATTTCATAGAAAGGAGCAACCAAAATGTCACAACCCAAAACTTTACAAGCTTTGCTTCAGAATTAGATTGCTTTATAATTCTTGAATGAGGCAATTTCAAGATATTTGTAAAAGAACAGTAAACATTGGTAAGAATGAGCTTTCAACTCATAGGCTTATTTCCAATTTAATTGACCATACTGGATACTTAGGTCAAATTTCTGTTCTCTCTTCCCCAAATAATATTAAAGTATTATTTGAACTTTTTAAGATGAGGCAGTTCCCCTGAAAAAGTTAATGCAGCTCTCCATCAGAATCCACTCTTCTAGGGATATGAAAATCTCTTAACACCCACCCTACATACACAGACACACACACACACACACACACACACACACACACACACATTCACCCTAAGGATCCAATGGAATACTGAAAAGAAATCACTTCCTTGAAAATTTTATTAAAAAACAAACAAACAAACAAAAAGCCTGTCCACCCTTGAGAATCCTTCCTCTCCTTGGAACGTCAATGTTTGTGTAGATGAAACCATCTCATGCTCTGTGGCTCCAGGGTTTCTGTTACTATTTTATGCACTTGGGAGAAGGCTTAGAATAAAAGATGTAGCACATTTTGCTTTCCCATTTATTGTTTGGCCAGCTATGCCAATGTGGTGCTATTGTTTCTTTAAGAAAGTACTTGACTAAAAAAAAAAGAAAAAAAGAAAAAAAAGAAAGCATAGACATATTTTTTTAAAGTATAAAAACAACAATTCTATAGATAGATGGCTTAATAAAATAGCATTAGGTCTATCTAGCCACCACCACCTTTCAACTTTTTATCACTCACAAGTAGTGTACTGTTCACCAAATTGTGAATTTGGGGGTGCAGGGGCAGGAGTTGGAAATTTTTTAAAGTTAGAAGGCTCCATTGTTTTGTTGGCTCTCAAACTTAGCAAAATTAGCAATATATTATCCAATCTTCTGAACTTGATCAAGAGCATGGAGAATAAACGCGGGAAAAAAGATCTTATAGGCAAATAGAAGAATTTAAAAGATAAGTAAGTTCCTTATTGATTTTTGTGCACTCTGCTCTAAAACAGATATTCAGCAAGTGGAGAAAATAAGAACAAAGAGAAAAAATACATAGATTTACCTGCAAAAAATAGCTTCTGCCAAATCCCCCTTGGGTATTCTTTGGCATTTACTGGTTTATAGAAGACATTCTCCCTTCACCCAGACATCTCAAAGAGCAGTAGCTCTCATGAAAAGCAATCACTGATCTCATTTGGGAAATGTTGGAAAGTATTTCCTTATGAGATGGGGGTTATCTACTGATAAAGAAAGAATTTATGAGAAATTGTTGAAAGAGATGGCTAACAATCTGTGAAGATTTTTTGTTTCTTGTTTTTGTTTTTTTTTTTTTTTTACTTTATACAGTCTTTATGAATTTCTTAATGTTCAAAATGACTTGGTTCTTTTCTTCTTTTTTTATATCAGAATGAGGAATAATAAGTTAAACCCACATAGACTCTTTAAAACTATAGGCTAGATAGAAATGTATGTTTGACTTGTTGAAGCTATAATCAGACTATTTAAAATGTTTTGCTATTTTTAATCTTAAAAGATTGTGCTAATTTATTAGAGCAGAACCTGTTTGGCTCTCCTCAGAAGAAAGAATCTTTCCATTCAAATCACATGGCTTTCCACCAATATTTTCAAAAGATAAATCTGATTTATGCAATGGCATCATTTATTTTAAAACAGAAGAATTGTGAAAGTTTATGCCCCTCCCTTGCAAAGACCATAAAGTCCAGATCTGGTAGGGGGGCAACAACAAAAGGAAAATGTTGTTGATTCTTGGTTTTGGATTTTGTTTTGTTTTCAATGCTAGTGTTTAATCCTGTAGTACATATTTGCTTATTGCTATTTTAATATTTTATAAGACCTTCCTGTTAGGTATTAGAAAGTGATACATAGATATCTTTTTTGTGTAATTTCTATTTAAAAAAGAGAGAAGACTGTCAGAAGCTTTAAGTGCATATGGTACAGGATAAAGATATCAATTTAAATAACCAATTCCTATCTGGAACAATGCTTTTGTTTTTTAAAGAAACCTCTCACAGATAAGACAGAGGCCCAGGGGATTTTTGAAGCTGTCTTTATTCTGCCCCCATCCCAACCCAGCCCTTATTATTTTAGTATCTGCCTCAGAATTTTATAGAGGGCTGACCAAGCTGAAACTCTAGAATTAAAGGAACCTCACTGAAAACATATATTTCACGTGTTCCCTCTTTTTTTTTTTCCTTTTTGTGAGATGGGGTCTCGCACTGTCCCCCAGGCTGGAGTGCAGTGGCATGATCTCGGCTCACTGCAACCTCCACCTCCTGGGTTTAAGCGATTCTCCTGCCTCAGCCTCCTGAGTAGCTGGGATTACAGGCACCCACCACTATGCCCGGCTAATTTTTTGGATTTTTAATAGAGACGGGGTTTTACCATGTTGGCCAGGTTGGTCTCAAACTCCTGACCTTGTGATTTGCCCGCCTCAGCCTCCCAAATTGCTGGGATTACAGGCATGAGCCACCACACCCTGCCCATGTGTTCCCTCTTAATGTATGATTACATGGATCTTAAACATGATCCTTCTCTCCTCATTCTTCAACTATCTTTGATGGGGTCTTTCAAGGGGAAAAAAATCCAAGCTTTTTTAAAGTAAAAAAAAAAAAAGAGAGGACACAAAACCAAATGTTACTGCTCAACTGAAATATGAGTTAAGATGGAGACAGAGTTTCTCCTAATAACCGGAGCTGAATTACCTTTCACTTTCAAAAACATGACCTTCCACAATCCTTAGAATCTGCCTTTTTTTATATTACTGAGGCCTAAAAGTAAACATTACTCATTTTATTTTGCCCAAAATGCACTGATGTAAAGTAGGAAAAATAAAAACAGAGCTCTAAAATCCCTTTCAAGCCACCCATTGACCCCACTCACCAACTCATAGCAAAGTCACTTCTGTTAATCCCTTAATCTGATTTTGTTTGGATATTTATCTTGTACCCGCTGCTAAACACACTGCAGGAGGGACTCTGAAACCTCAAGCTGTCTACTTACATCTTTTATCTGTGTCTGTGTATCATGAAAATGTCTATTCAAAATATCAAAACCTTTCAAATATCACGCAGCTTATATTCAGTTTACATAAAGGCCCCAAATACCATGTCAGATCTTTTTGGTAAAAGAGTTAATGAACTATGAGAATTGGGATTACATCATGTATTTTGCCTCATGTATTTTTATCACACTTATAGGCCAAGTGTGATAAATAAACTTACAGACACTGAATTAATTTCCCCTGCTACTTTGAAACCAGAAAATAATGACTGGCCATTCGTTACATCTGTCTTAGTTGAAAAGCATATTTTTTATTAAATTAATTCTGATTGTATTTGAAATTATTATTCAATTCACTTATGGCAGAGGAATATCAATCCTAATGACTTCTAAAAATGTAACTAATTGAATCATTATCTTACATTTACTGTTTAATAAGCATATTTTGAAAATGTATGGCTAGAGTGTCATAATAAAATGGTATATCTTTCTTTAGTAATTACATTAAAATTAGTCATGTTTGATTAATTAGTTCTTTTGGATAATGTTGGTGTAATGTGTCATTCCTTAAGAATTCTACTGTTATATACCATTTTTATTAAGGTCATTGCAATAAATAAACATGAAAACATACCCAGAAAAACAAAACTAATCACACACAAAAATGAAGACATCTCATAGAATTTACAGATTCTATTTAAAAGTAAATATGTTTCAAAGGACTTGCAAAAGCTATGTAAGAGATGTATGAATTGTACAATATATGCATTAACAATAAAGCAGTTGTACGTAAAATCCCCTCACTGTCACCCAACAGTGACTTATAATCCCTGACACAAAGTGGTTGGGAAAATATTCTATTGCCAGAAGGTTCACACGTATCAAATAAGGCACATAATATATAAATGGCATCTAATACATTCCCATACCAAGAGATTTATAAGAATGTGATCTCTCAGCATTGAGTTTTTGTTTCAATAAATCGTTCCAATTTTTTACTGAATAGATACTGTGAATATCAAATTCACAACAGCATTTATAGAAGTACAAGGTATAAAGATTGGTAATCTCCCTCGTTTAAAAGCATCTCATTTCATTTTTTAAAAATTCATTAACTATTTGGAAAGTTACCCAAATATAAAAAAAGTCTCACAAGTTTTGTACTTAGTTTTAAGGAAATTATAGTAAAGTTTTCTTTAATATTTTCTCACGTGCCATTGGTGTCCCATCTCACGTTCATTCCTACCTTTGCTCCCTCAAAATGTCCAAGAATCTCCCTGGGACTAACATTATGCGGGCCCCTTCTTCCTCCAAATGTCTTGTTCATGCTCTTAGCATTTTGCCTCCTATAGTCATGGTGTTCTGTACTACTTCTCCCCTCGCTCCACTCCAGACAATCCCTCTCTCCTTTCATTCACACTAGGGTGATCTAGCCACAGCCTTTCACTAAAGATTTTGTAAACAATGAAAAGGGGATGAGTTAAGCACAGGACAGAAAATACCTTCCATTTCAATGGCAAACATCACTATTACTATGAATCCAAGGAATTTCTGGTGGCTCATGTGCCTCCTGTCATCTTAGCAAGATCTTTTCCACTCTTCTGCAAACTCTCCCAGGAACCACTTTCTATCAAACCCTTTATCCCCTCCTTTGGAAAGAACTTATAAGAAAATTATATTGTATTCTTATGCAGGGCAATCTTTCCCCATCCCAGCTTTGCCAGTGGTGGGGGTGGGGGCAGGGCTGGCTCACCTTTTGTTACTGAATATGTACAAAAGGTGTTCTTTCCTAAAGGAAATACCAATTCTATCCCTAAGAGGAATTCTATCTTCCTTCCAGGTCATCTACGTCAAATAACAGCCTCTTTTTTTAAAAGAACATCTTTTTCTTCTGTAAGATCTTTATTGGAGATAATTACCACCACTCCAACAATAAGGGTGGTTAATATTTACTGAGCACTTACTGTGAGTCAGTCATTATGCCAAGTGGTTTACCTATATTATCTCATTCATCCTTCCAACAAGCCTATGCATCAGGCACTATTGTAAACACTGACTGATAAGGAAATGGAGGCTCAAAGACATTACTTAGTTTACTGAAGGTCACAGACCAGCAGAGAAGGCTTGAATCTGGGTCTGAGGACATCAAATCTGGGTCTGAAGACACTTGCTTTTACTACTCCACCACTTACACCCAATCCAGGCATGAGGACAGCTCAGAATACTGACTGATACTTTCTTGTTCAAAATTGGCTTTACACGCTACAGGCAGACACATGGCTAATGGCACCTTTGAGTGATGACCTATTATTGAGTATGATATTATCAGGATAAAGAAGCATTTCTGCACGGTAACCAATGTATCTAATAATGTGTCATTCCCCACTGCCGTTCTTCCACATGTGCATGTCAGTTCTGGATAGTACTTCATGCTATGCAGGTAACACCCAGGGATATAGAGCCAATCTCGGGATACCTCCATGAAGAAAGTTATGTATTGGCTCTTACACAGTCTAGGAATAAACCATTCCCACCTAAGTGAAACTGGAAGCTGATTATAAAGAATCTTACCAAGACCTCTGGCAACAATCCAACTATTTTTCTCTTGACAGCTTATTGAAGTTGAGGTAGTCTCAAGTGCTATGGTTGAATCAGGGCTTCTGGAGAAAAACTGTGGACTTAGAGCCTAGAGTTCCATGAGACAAACATTCCCATATCCCTGCCCTCCAAAGTGGTCTTAGACAGCCCACACAAGCATTCCCAAAGGGTGGAGTGGTGCTGGTCCTAGATAATTTGGGAGACATTTGGCACTGTTGCAATGACTGGGGAGAGCATTTCTGACATTTATTGGGTATGGACCAGGTCTCCAGACATTTCAAGTAGGAGATAATCCTGTTTATAATCACCTAAGTCCGGAATATAACTCCAATTTTTATAAACTCAAAGTGTTTTTGCACAATTTTAACATAAACCGACTTCTTCAGGGATGCAATTACCATACAAATTAAGAAAAGGTAGAACTTTACCAAGTCTTTTTCACTGTTTTAGAAAATCACATCATCAGTGGCAATGCTAATTGTGCTGTTTGAATCTTTCCACTCCACATCTGCATCAGTCCGCACATGCAGCTGTCCCATGCGTGATTCTCCACGAGTATAAACATCTGACCACTTCCGTGTGTTTTCTAGGAGAGTTGTGCCTAAGCATTCTATCTTGTAATGCATGTTATTTTATTACAAACTTTTTTCCTTTTATTTCTACTTTATGTACAGTTCAGGCATCATTTTGCTTTTTGTTAAAATTGTGTATGTTGATATTATCTGTGAATTTCACTTAGGGACATTAAAGGGTAGATCATAAAATATATGTTATAAAAAGGAGAGCTTTGGGTCTGATAGGGTTGAAACTGCTGGGCTATACCCATCCATTATGAGCCTCCCCGAGTCATAATGACAGATGGATGGCAGAGCCTTCGCCCCCTTCTCAGTGAAGCATCCTAACTGTAAAGCTCAGCTGAAAGCTGGTATCTTCCTCACCTGTTTATGGATAGAGATTAAACCTCTGGGATCCCATAAAGGATAATGGTTATAGTTAATACAACATCTGGTTTCTAAATGTTCTTTTCTTCGCCCTGTGATGGAATGAGATGGCTTGTAAAAGAATAAAACAATCACTAAAAACAGGAGCAGATGTAAATTGGATTTGAGACAATTGCAGCAGTACATCAAAAGTAAAATTTGACTTTGAACTACAAGTAAAGTAGGAAATGTGGCCTGGTAGGGAGGTTTTCCTTTTAAGAGGAGATTTAAAAATTGAGTAACTGTGCTATAATTTTCTAACTCCACCTCACTTATTTAATTCAGTGGTTCCTGCTTAGGTGCAAACCTCCTTCAGAAAGAACCCTGAGTAGGGTCTCTCCCTTCAAATGGACATGTAGGGGATAACAGGGATCATAGAAATGTCCCTATACACGTGCTATCGCTGAAGCTATCACTCCACCCCATGAATATGGAACTGTCTTTCCCAAACCCAAATCTCTAAAAGGGAAACAGAGGTGGGAGGTGATTGTTCCTGGAGAGAGGGAAGGAGAAAACAGTAAGAAAGAAACACGACCCAGGATTGTGCTTCTCCATCCTATTTAGTTCAGAGCTTCAAATTCAGCCACCCTTATATGATCTAAAATACTCAAAAATAAGGCTACCCCAGAGCCAAATTTCTTTTTATTTCTTCTGCCTCACTCTGCTTTAAAGATGAATTGGAAATAGAGACATCCTCATCTGTCAACTATCACCAAGTAGATTCTCTTAGATAGTTAATATTGAAAAGCGTCCTCTGGTATCTCTAGACCTCACTGCTATAGTAAAAGGTACAGTGGAATAACTTAATACAGATTTGTGCTAGAATGTGCTGGCTGATTACTTGTCTGCTCTCATATCCATTTCCCAACATTCCCTTGATTTGCTCGTTTTCACAATGAGCCACATTTCTCAGCACCTATGAGCTCTGGTTTCTGGGTAAGTTTGGCCAATAGGAGGCATTAGCAAAAGACAAAAGACAAGAAGAAGGGAGAAGCCAGGTATTATCCCCCTTTTCTCTTTGCCTCCAACAGCGTCTTCAGCAGTACTTGCAGCTCTTGGCTCCATAACCCCTTCCTCCCAGTGCAAGCAGCATTCTGTTCCCCTAGTGGACCTAGATCCATGCAGATGGTTTTTCCCCTCTCTGAGTATCTCTAGCCATAGGGATGGTAGTGATTTTAGGATGTTGTTTTTTCTGGGTTGACTCCCCTCCCTTATTTAGCTACTCATCTCTTCCATCATCTGTATTAAATCCTCTCTGTTGAATGTGCACAGTGGCTCACACCTATAATCCCAGCACCTTTGGGGGTCAAGGCAGGAGGATCGCTTGATTCCAGGAGTTGGAGACCAGCATGGGTAACAGAGTGAGACCTTATCTCTCCTAAAAATAAAAATAAATAAATAAATTTTAAAAAAGCTGGGTGTGATGGTGCGCTCCTGTAGTCCCAGCTACTCAAGAGGCTGAGGTGGGATGATCACTTGATCCTAGGAGGTCAAGGCTGCAATGAGCTGTGATCACGCCACTGCTTTCCAGCCCAGCAGCCCAGTCTAGGCAACAGAGCGAGATGTCTTAAAAAAAAAAAAAAAAAAAAGAATCCTCTCTGTTTAAAATGCCTGGTCTAGAAGGGTTTCTGCTCTCCTTACTAGGCCCTAACTAGTACAAACAGGAATTACATAGTAGTAAGAAACAAGTGCTGAAATCAGGCAGATGTGGGCTTGTGTCATGTTCTAATATGTGCTTTGGACAAATTAAAATGACTTCTGTGGGGTTTAGTTTCCTCTTATTTTGATAATAACAGCAATATCTGCCTCAAATTATTATTTAAGGATTAAACATTATCATACAACAGTTCCTAAACTTCTAGATTTCTCAAAATATTGAAATTTCAAAAAATAAAAGTAGAAATTGAGAAAAATCAACCTGAGGTGTCAAAATCTTTATTTGCCTAAAATAAGGAAATAAAAAAATCATCTATCATCACCATTGTATCACTGAAAATGAATTAATTTTTTAAAAACATGGCAAGAATATAATCTAAGAAAAAAGGGCAGATTCTTTAATTGTGTAAATTAAGCTTTATAGAAAACTCATCATTAATTTAATTTTTTTCATCTTTTTTAATTTTTCTGTGGCTAGATGAAACCACTGGCATAGTCCAGCACTTGTCTGCTTATCAGCTCTTGTTTTGTGTGGTTTCTGGTATTTTTACTATTACTTTTATTATCATTACTTCTGCTATTATTAAGAATGAGAGTATTAATTAAGGATCTAAGATAGCCAAAGTAGAATTCTCTCCATTGGCTTTGTCACATCATTTTCTTTCTTTTTTTTATTTTTTATTTTTAATTATACTTTAAGTTCTGGGGTACATGTGCAGAACGTGCAGCCTTGTTACATAGGTATACACGTGCCATGGTGGTTTACTGCACCTATCAACCCATCATCTACATTAGGTGTTTCTCCTAATGCTGTCCCTCCCCCAGCCCCCCAGCCCTTGACAGGTCCCGGTGTGTGTCACACCGTTTTCTATATATACTCTTAACTCATGGTCTCAACATTTCTGACACTGACCACATTTCCCCCTAATTTGACTCTGACCAGAAAAATCAGGTAAAAAGTGCTAGTGCAGATCCTTGCACCACAATGCAGATGTAAAAATTTCAAGTCTAACATTTTCTTACTGTGTCATAATTCTTTATCTTTCTTCACTCCAGCCCAGCCCAGCCAGCAGACATGCAAAGTTTTCATGTAATAATTTTTAACTACTTATTTGATATTTTCAGGCTGTCCCTTTATAATGTTAAAATAATTTATCTTCAATGTAATCAATTTGAAGGAACAATGCAAATAAGTATGTTGCTTGTCTGTGTACAAACCAAACACTAAGAATTTTTCAACCAGTTTTGCTGGATTCATCAGCATATAATTTTATTCTGCCTTTTACTTTTAGTCATATTTATTCCATAACATATTCTTTTAAGACATCACTATTAGTCTTAGAAATCAATGAAATAAGATTTGATGGTCTGGTCTCTTACTTCTCAGCCTCCAAAATTTTCCATAATGCCAAATAAGAGAAATATCCCTGGTGTAGCAATCTCCAATTCCCTGAAAGAGAAGTGAACTTGAAAATAATTTTCAAGTCCTTTTTAAGCCATGAAGATTTATTTTGAATCTTTCAGTGTGTGCATAGCATTATTCCAAGTCCTCTTCAGGGTAACTCTTGTAGGACCCAGGGTATATCTGTTAACTGAAAAAGCAATTTGAGAACCTCTAAGACTGATTTTTGAAAATGCAGTATCCAAAAAAACAGATTTTAGATGCCATCCCAGCAGGTGCTGGTAACTCTGTACTTGTGTGGAAGATGCCTTCTGTGGGTTTGTTTAGGAGTTGTTTTATGGATACCAGCATTCTTCTCAAGAACACTGAGAATTCTATGCTGTATCCTTGTATGACCAATTGACAAGAATTCTGTGTTGACTTATATTTCCCAGTAAAAGTACGAAGCAAGCAAAAGCAGTCTGATAAGGAAAATCTGTTGGGGAAAGGTTTGCTTAGAGAGTCTTTTGGGCACATTCATGCTCTCTAGGGCTTTTTTGTACAACACTGGTAAGCCAGTTCTCAAAGTCAAACTGATAATACTCCAATACTTACAAGTAGACACTTGTACCAAAGAACTATACGCTCCTGGGTGCTCACACTGCCCTTTGCTTGAGAAGTAAATGAACATAGGAACGCAGATGCAGGCAGACATGAGCATGACAGTTTCATGTGCATTTGTTCATGGTGTTGTCTCTGAAAAGGTGATCTCTGTCCCAAGAGTTGAGGAAGGAGGGCAGACAAAACTTCCTGAAGAAGCAACTAGATAAACCCACTTGGAGTTATTCTTCCAGTAGTTTAAATAGATTGCGCACACAACTGCTCACACTTTCTCACTGGGCCCTCTTGGGACCAATGCTAGATAGTTTTGAGACAAGCAGACAGGATTAGGGGTCAAGTCTGTGAACCATGGAATGCAATTTTCCTCTCCATGAAACTAACTGGCCCTTTTGGGGATCAAACCTATGACCTTGAGCTTGTTAGCACTCTACTCCAACTATGCCCAAAACAAATACAGGTCTGAAGCCAGAGGAGCTCCAAACCACACATAAAAATGTAATCAACAGAGCCACAAGGAAACACATAAAGTAAACACTTTCTATATAGGCAAAAAGAACAGAAGATTTGGAAAGAGCCTACATTCTCTGAATCCCTTAGTCATCTGAAGGCTTACTGGAAATTTCCACGTGGATATCTTCCAACACTTTGACTTCAACCCATTTTCCTCTCTAGTCTTCACCTCTAAAAGCAATTTGCTATTTGGAACTTTCTGTCTATGGCACCATAATTCAGTCAACCAAGTTCAGAACCTTGGAGTTTTCCTCAGCAACACATTCAAACATCCAGTGCTCATTAGGTCATCCTTCAAGGTCATTTATGCTAAATAACAGCCTCTTTTTAAAAATAGAGATCAAAATATGCCAAGGCCATTATTCAAACATCTCTTATATCTTTCCTCCTCCTACCCCCAAAGGCATCACTCTTATTAGTCCAACCTTTATTGCCTTCTGGACAATTGCAATGGCTGCTCACCAGTACTCCTCTCTCAATCCATTTGATATAGCATTTTTAAAGTTTTGCTTGGCATACCTTATGAAAAACTTCAGTGGCCACCATTTTCAATTTGATATCTTTCTTTTTCTTAATAGCTATTGCAACTAAAATATTCACATGCACCACACCTTTGCATAAGTCATTCACCCTACTTGGAAAGCTTCCCCTTGCTTCCCATACATTCAAAGGCTAGCCATCATTTAAGGCATAGACCATGTTTCAATTCTGTATTTCTAGGCTCCTCCAAAATCAATGACTCTTTCTCTCTGTTGAACTCCTGGACCCAACCTTAGCAATATCATTCATCAGGAATCTAATTCTCTATGAATCTATCATTAGTATATTTTTCCTCTATGTAATGGTTTTTTACCCATCATATTGTAAATTTTCTGAAGGTAGAGATTAGACTTTTATCTCACAGGCATTTACTGAGCACTAATGTGTGAGAGATGTTATTCTGGAAATATAATTGTGAGCAAAACAGATTTACATTATGGTAATGAGGAGATGGACAATAAACAAATACATGAACAAGATGCTTGCAAATAGTAGAATTAAAAAACCAAGAGGTCCATATGTTAAAAACATGCATTGAATCACTATTACTAATTCACCTCTTTTCAGGGGCTGGGCAGTCTAATGGAAAAACCAAACCTTTGCAAAATGAATTGTTCCCCCATTCTATCTTAGGTTCCCTTCTCTTTTAGTATTCTCTCTCTTACAAAGTTCATCCTATTACCTGGTTTCCTCTTCCATACAGGTGATTTTAGATTGATGCCTGTCTTTCGAAGTGCAGTTATCATAATCTACTGCCTGACAATCACCTCCACCTAGAATTATACTATCCAATACAGCAGCTAGTGAGCACTCGAGATATGGCTAGTACAAATTGGGATGTGCTGTGGGTATAAAATACATATGGGATTTCAAAAACTTAGCCTGAAAAAAAGAATATAACATAATCAATATTTTATGGCAATTACATATTGGAATGAAAGTATTTTGGTTATATTAGGTTAAATAAAACATATTATCAAAATTAGTTTCATTCTACTTTTTTTAATATGGCTACTAGGAAAATTTAAATGACCCATGGCTTACATTTGTGGCTCTCATATGTCTATTGGACAGTACTGACCTAGATCTACCAACCATTCAGATATGGAGCACTTACTGCATGCCATGATTCTACTTGGTGCCTAATTTCTTATACTGTCAGTACTTCAATCTGGTGAGTCTAAACTGAATATGCTCCTTCCCCTTTCTCATCCCAAGGTTACTCTACACTTCCACTTTGCCACTTTCATCAGTTACTGTGTTCCAACTTTCCAGAGTTAGAAAGTCAGACATCTTTATCTTTTCTCACAGTGCATCATTTGCCAGGTCCTGTGCAGTTCCCTCAATAACGTCCTCTCTGTTTTCTCTTTCCCCACTATTCTCATGCCACTGACATCTCTCAATGGACAACTTAGTAGGTTCCCTGCCTCCTTCTCTTCCCACCCCAGTCTAATCTATATGCTGCTGCCACATCAGTCTTCCTAATCCACCAAAGTGATGTCAGAATAAAAGAATGGTGCATTTGAAGGGGCCTTCCAAATCTCTGTAGGCTCCTTTCAAAATGAGATGAATAGATAAGATTTACAGGGGAAGTACTGCCTGTTTGCCACTGACTATTAATAGCTCACATGCATAATCATGTGAAATCATTCCAATAATATTATGAGAGAGGTATTATTTTTATTATGCCCATTTTGCAAATGGGAATCCCAAGACCCAGGGAGATTAAGTAAAATACCCCAAGGTATGTTAACATTATTTGTGAGCCCAGGTCTATTTGCCTCCAGAGGTGTTGCTCTTAAATTCTATGCTATATTATTAAAGTAATTGGGGAAAGTCTTCATAGTCCTCTCCCCCCAAAACTTGCATCTTTCTAGATCAGTAAATTCATCCTATGTCAGATCAAAAGTCCTATTCATCCTATGTCAAGTTAAAAGTCGAAGTCATTTTTGATGCTGTTCTTTGTCACACTCCAAATGAAATCCATCAGCGAATCTCATAATCTCTCTCATAGAAACATACACCAAATCTTCATATATACACTGTCATCATAAGCCCTGCCACTGCTCACTTAAAATTTAATTTGGTTACTTAATGCTGTAGTGGGTTGAACTGTATCCCTCAAAAAGATATATTTGAGCCCTACCACCCGCACACACACACTTATTAATGTGACCTTGTTTGGAAATGGAGTCTTTGCAGATGTGGTTAGTTAAGAATCCCATGACTGAATCATTCTTGATCTAGGGTGGATCCTAAATCCAATAAATGGTGTCTTTCTAAGAGCAAGGAGAGGGTGATTTGGACAGAGACACTGATACATGGGGAAAGGCCATGTGAAGAGGGAGGCAGAGACTGGAGTTGTGCTTCCACAAGCCAAGGAATGCCAGAAGCCACCAGAGCTGGAAGATGCAAGGAAGGATTCTCCTCTAGAGTTTTCAGAGAGAGAGCATGGCCCTGCTGACACCTTGATGTCTTACTTCTGGCCTCCAGAATTGTGAGAGAATACATTTCTATTGGCTTAAGCCACTCTGTTTGTGGTAGTATGTTGTGGCATCTCTAGAAAAATAATACTCCATCCTTTCATCTTCTACAGTCTGTTCTTAACACAGGAACTTCTGGTTTCCGGTCTTGCAGGTAAGGATCTTAGAAGTCAAAACTCCATTCTCAAAACAAGTAAAAAGCTGAACAGAGTGAACAATCAACAACTCTTTTTGGATCCATAATAGAGGGGAAGACACAAGGCAAACTGCTATCCACAAGACTGGAGACAGAGGCAAATACAGGGAATCATGGCTTCCCAGGACATGCTCATGAGCAGAAACTGCCATGGGAACTAGTGCTGTGGAGGAACACCTGAACTGTAATTGACTAATTACTGGGGACTCAGCGCTGACAAGCCAGATAATTAAAAACTTTAGGGGTCTCAGGAGCTCAACCAAGTTCCCACAGTAAGCCTAAGAGAAAAATCCCCTCATGTTTCCATCAGGGGGAGGGTAAAGGGAACCATTTTGAAATAGGCCGGGGAATTCTGTTCTTAACAAGATCTTCCCCGGAATAAACTAATTAATCAGAGTCTAACCCCCTAGGGTATCATCAGAAACTAACTGACCTGGGGGGAAGGAAATACCCAACTCCATCCCACTCTAGCCATTCTGTTCCACCTAAAAGGGAAGAAAAAAACTGAGAAAGACTTCTGAAGTTCACAGTTCAAAGGCATAGACTCACTAAAGGACTGAGACCTAAGTATATGACTATAGATTGCTTTCCTGCTCCCCACAGCTTACCCCACACTACAAGGGGCTTACTTACCTGATACATCACATCCAACTGCCAAAAAATTATAAACCATACCAAAAGACAAAAACATCATTTGAAAAGACAGAGCAAGCATCAGAACCAAATATGGCAGGGATATTGGAATTATCAGACCAGGAATTTAAAACAACTGTGATTAACATGCCAAGGGCTCTAATGGATAAAGGAGATAGCATCCAAGAACACATGGACAATGTAAGCAAACAGATGGAAATCCTAAGAAAGAATGAAATAGAAATGCTAGATATCAAAAACACCATAACAGAAATAAAGAATGACTTTGATGGGCTTCTTAGTAGACTGGACACAGTTGAGGAAAGAATCTCTGAGCATGAGGATACAGCAATAGAAACTTAAAAACTAAAAAGCAAAGAGAACAAATACTGGGGACAAAAACAGTACAAAATATCCAGGGACTGTAGGACAACTACAAATGGTGTAACATATGTACAATAGGAACACCAGAAGGAGAAGAGAAAAAAGCAAAAGAAATATTTGAAATAATAATGGCTGGGAATTTCCCCAAATTAATGTCAGGACGACAAAGTGTTGCAAGGAGCCAGTTAGTGTTCTACTGCATTGAAAGGTAATAAAATATTCGTAAGGTATTTTATAATGTAAAGGATATTTGTGCTTTTCGTGAGTAGCTTTGGTGAATCAGAACAAACATCACATTGAGGCTGAAGTAAAGAATGAGTGAGAGGTGTGGAAATGAAGAAAAAAATGTGTAGAAGACTTTTAAAAAGAATGTTGACCAGGAGGAATCAGAGAAACAGGGCTGTGGAATTAAGAGATTTTTTTTAATGGAAGGTGCTAGAAAAGGTATTGATGCTAACAGAAATGACAAAGTAAAATGACAAACCCACAACCAACATAATAATGAATAGGGAAAAGTTGAAAGCATTCCCTCTGAGAACTGGAACAAGACAAGGATGCTCACTCTCACCACTCTTCTTCAACATAGTACTGGAAGTCCTAGCTAGAGCAATCAGACAAGATAAAGAAATAAAGGCATCCAAATTGGTAAAGAGGAAGTCAAACTGTTGCTGTTTGCTGATGATATGATTGTTTACCTAGAAAACCCTAAAGACTCTGCCAGAAAGCTCCCAGAACTGATAAAAGAATTCAGCAAAGCTTCTGGATGTGAAATTAATATGCACAAATCAGTAGCTCTTCTACACACCAACAGTGACCAAGCTGAGAATCAAATCAAGAACTCAGCCCCTTCTACAATAGCTGCAAAAATAAAATAAAATACTTAAGAATATACCTAACCAAGGAGGTAAAAGATCTCTACAAGGAAAACTATAAAACACTGCTGAAAGAAATCATAGAAGACACAAACAAACTGAACAAATCCCATGTTCATGGATGGGTAGCATCAATATTGTGAAAATGACCATACTGCCAAGAGGAATCTGCAAATTCAATGCAATTCCCATCAAAATACCACCATCATTCTTCACAGAACTACAAAAAAAAATCCTAAAATTCATATGGAAACAAAAAGAGCCCACATAGCCAATGCAAGACTAAGCAAAAAGAACAAATCTGGAGGCATCAAATTACCTGATTTCAAACTATACTATAAGGCTGTAGTCACCAAAACAGCATGGTACTGGTATAAAAATAGGCACCTAGACCGATGGAATAGAATAGAGAACCCAGAATAAACTCAAATACTTACAGCGAACTGATCTTAGACAAAGCAAACAAAAACATAAAGTGGGGAAAAGACATCCTATTCAACAAATGGTGTTGAGATAATTGGCAAGCCACAGGTAGGAGAATGAAACTGGATCCTCATCTCTCACCTTATACAAAAATCAACTCAAGATGGATCAAAGACTTAAATGTAAGACCTGAAACTATAAAAATTTTAGAAGATAACATCAGAAAAACCCCTCTAGACATTGGCTTAGGCAAGGATTTAATGACCAAGAACCCAAAAGCAAATGCAATAAAAACAAAGATAAATAGCTTGGACTTAATTAAACTAAAGAGCTTTCACATGGCAAAAGGAACAGTCAGTAGAGTAAACAGACAACCCACAGAGTAGGAGAAAATCACAATCTATAAATCTTCGAAAAAAGTTATAGAAATGGCCAACAAACATGAAAAAATGCTCAATATCACTAATGATCAGGGAAATGCAAATCAAAACCACAATGTGTTACCACCTTACTCCTTCAAGAATAACCATAATCAAAATATCAAAAAATAATAGATGTTGTCTTGGATGCAGTGAAAAGGGAACACTTCTAAACTGCTTGTGGGAATGTAAACTAGTACAACCACTATGGAAAACACTGTGGAGATTATTTGAAGAATGAAAAGTAGAACTTACCATTTGATCCAGCAATCCCACTACTGGGTAACTATCCAGAGGGAAAGAAGTCATTGTACAAAAAAGATACTGGCACATGTATGTTTATAGCAGCACAATTTGCAATTGCAAACATGTGGAACCAACCCAAATGCTCATCAATCGAGTAGATAAAGAAACTGTGAGATATATATATGTGTGTGTGTATTATATGTATTATATATATGTGTGTATATATGTAAATGTAAATGATAGAATGCTACTCAGCCATAAATAAGGAATGCATTAATAGCATTCACAACAACCTGGATAGGATTGGAGACTATTATTCTAAGTGAAATAATTCAGGAATGGAAAACCAAACATTGTATGTTCTCACTCATAAGTGGGAGCTAAGCTATGAGGATGGAAAGGCATAAGAATGACACAATGGACTTTGGGGACTCAGGGGGAAAGGGTGGGAAGGGGGTGAGGGATAAAAGACTACAAATTGGGTTCAGTGTGTACTGCTCAGGTGATGGGTGCACCAAAATCTCACAAATCACCACCAAAGAACTTACTCATGTAACCAAATGCCACTTGTTCCCCAAAAAACCTATGGAAATTTAAAAAAATGATCCAGTATAAAGTTAGAGGCTAAAGGTAAAAAAGAGAGAAAAGAGAAAACTTGAAGAATGAAGTCCTTGAGAAGATGAGAAGGCATAAAATCCAAAATCTTGCAGGAGAAATGTTACTTCCTTGATGACAATGGTGCGGCGAGAAGAAGAAAAAAAAAGTGCAGCTGCAAGTAGGTTTATAGACTTAGCAGAAAAAGTAGGGTGTGCCTATGTGATAATGTCTATCTTCTCCATGAGGTAGAGTTCAAGTCCATCACTCAAAGTGAGGATAATGGTGAAGAAGTGGGCTGGAGGGTGAAAGTTTGAAGTGAGCGTAAAAGGTATAAAATGTTCATTGTGGGGCAGGCATGATGGCTCATGCCTGGAATTCCAGACTTTGAGAGGTAGAGGTGGGTGGATCGCTTGAGCCCAGGAGTTTGAGACCAGCCCAGGCAACATGGTGAAACTCTGTCTCTTAAAAAAAAAAATTACAAAAAATTAGCCTGATGTGGCAGCACATACCTGTGCTCCAAGCTTCTTGGGAGGTTGAGGTAGGAGGATCTATTGAGCCCTAGAAGTCAAGGCTGCAGTGAGCCATTATGACACCACTGCACCTGGCCAATGGAGTGGGACCCTGTCTCAGAAAAAAAAAAAAAAAAAAATGCTCATTGTGGCAGGCAAGACAACTTTAGTAGAAAACTACATCAACAGAGAAGGTCCTTTTGAAGTTCTGAATTACAAATATATAGTGACATTTTATCCCCAATATGACTTTCACTATGGCCCCAGGTTGAATGTACAAAGGAGAAAAGTCAAAGTCTTTGCTAAATGCAACATTAAGTTTTACTTTCTTTCAACCTTCAATAAATTCCTTGCAGTCAATCAAAAAGTGTATACTCCATCTGGTATTTATTTTTTGATACCAAAGAATTGTTTGGGGAATATTTTTAGTGTTGCCTTGTTGAAACAATCCTGGGTAATTTTCCATTGCTGAAATAAGTAGTATTCTTTTTGTTTTTGCAGATGAACTAAGAACAAATATGTATACACAGGTTATCTTCAACTCCTCTGTTCTCACTCCTACCTGTGGCCTCACTCCTATCTGTGGCCATCAAGCCCTGCACACTCTGCCTCCTAGGTCGTTTTTCAATCCATCCTCTTTCTCCACATCCACTGCTATCACTCTAGCCCTACACATCAGTGGGACAACATATAGCTGCACATAAGAAAACTCTGAGCCCCACCCAACTGGCTCAGAACTTCTAGAAACTGGGACCCTAAATATCCATTTGTAATAAACTCCCCAACTGACACTTCTTCTGTCAACATCTGTCCACATTTGGAACCCATTCCACCAATATGCAACCTGCATTTTGGACTTCCTTGACTTTGGAAAAAAGCAACTGCACCTAACAGAAAAACAAATCTGAGAAAGAGAAAGAGCATCCCATTTTTGAACCAATACATGATCCTCAGAGACGACCACTTGAGTCTAGAATACACATAGCCATTTTGTGTGTAAGAATTAATGTTTATGGAATGAATAAGTGCATGGATAACAGTTGATCCCACAGGAACGAATGAGGAGGTGCTTCATTCAGTAGTAGTCTACAAGACTTGTCAGGAACTTTGCAATGTTGAAGGTCTGCCAAGGAGGAGAAATGCCCAAGGCCAAGGAAAAGTTTTGTAAGAGGAAAACTTAAAGAGGAGTATGGAAGTTTGAAAGGAGCCACATATGAAATAAAATGTCATTTATTCTTTTCTAATCACAATTTAGTTTAATAAGGAGATTTGGCAGGGAGGGAGCCCTGGTTGGAATAAAGATATTCTGTTAACCAGGGAAGGCAGTGGAGATTACAGTAGCCAAATACACTGGCCTTCCCTAACTTACCAGCTGTTTCCTTTCTGTTGAACGGAAATAGAAAAACTAAGCCTTCTAAACTCAAAATGAAAATAATTTTTTCAGACTCTAGAGAGCATGATCAGGTTCTTACAAGAGAAACGACTTAGCAGTGACTTAATAATGCATCCCCAGAATACAAATTCAAGGGACCAGACATAGAATGTTCGCTGCCTTTCTAATGACATTCACAGAGTTATTTTTATGCTTAATCAAATGAGTCTCAGACAGCTTTTGAATATGGAAAGGATGATACACAAATGTTTGTGCCAATTTCTGGTTATGCACTTTGCTTAAAAATTGACTTGGACTAGCTGAAATTTTGGCTGAAGGGATTTCTTGGTGAAAACACAGTAAAATATGCAGGCATTTCATCTGAATTGAGGGAGGTGTCACTTCACTTTGAGTTTCAGGGTTGTAAAAGGTCAGCTAGGTGACAAAGTGACAAATTCTCATTACACTATTTAACAAGATCTTATAGATTACATGTTGAAGTAGGCAATTTCCATTACCATTTCCTGGATGGGGAATACATTGAAATCCTCTATTAAAAGTATAATAAATTACTCATATCCTAAAAATTAAGCATGTTCCCTTCATTTGCTTTTGCCTTAGAAATGCAAAATTATAATATGATATAATTCTGAACAAAAAGACATAAGAAACGTTTAACTTAAAACATCTGTTTCACAAATAAACAGAAGCTGTTAGATTTAGTTCAAAATTAGAGCACCCACGAGCTGACTGGATTTATGGTAGCACTGTCAACTTAGTACAATTTTCCTTATATGTTATATATCGGGAATAAGACCAGGGCTCCCCAAATACCCCATGGACAAGCAGTTTTCATTTCCCTCGAAGTCCTTGTCTTTATATTTTACCCACGCTGTGCTGGTTTCTAGGAAATACCTGGTTGAATAATGCAAAGCAAGGAAGGGAAGACCCTAGGAAAATCTCACCAAAACGAATTCATTTGAAGAGAAAAAAAAAAATCATTTTTTCCTTGGCGAAAGTAATTTAGTTTGGCTTTCCACATGACCCAAATTCACCAGATAATTACCAGTTCTCTGTTTCTCTTCGTGCCGTTTTGGTCTGGCCTTTGAATCCTGGGTGTACCCACAGTCCAAGGGATTAACTGAAAATTTCCCCTGACATTATTAAACCCATATACCATGCATTTTATGGCCTGCTGCAGGACCCCAATTGCCAGCACTAGGAAATGTGCTCAGGAGATTGGCCCAGGCCCCAAAATCAGATAAAGGGAAAACAGTTATTGGAATAGACTAGTTGTAGTTGTAAACTACATGAGGGCAGGGATATGCCTATCTTACATGCCATTTTATCCCCAGCAGTCAGCCCAGTGCCTGATAGGCACATAGAAGGGGCTCCATAAATATTTCTTAAAAGCATATACAAATGAATGAGTAGAAAATCAAATTAACAACCCCAGAAAGGTGAAATAGTAAATAAATAACTTCTCTTTTTGTTATTGCAAAAAAAAAAAAAAGCTGTCAGATTGTTAGCTCTGTATCATACACACACACACACACACACACACACACACAAATTTGGCTGGGCACAGGCAGTAAGAACAACTACAACAGGCAATTATTAAACTATACTATGTAGCAGGCATTGTTCTAACTAAGTCCTTCCTGTGTATTAATTTATTTAGTCACTGCAAACTATGTTGCAGAAATTATGATACTGTGATTGAGGAGACAAGGAAGCTAAGAATCTAAGGGTTTTATAAACTTCCTCAAAATTTCCCAGCTAATAAGAGGAGAGAACCAGGATCTAAGGCAGTCAGTCTGATGCCAGAGACCACATTCTTAATTGCCATGCTGTATTAACTCCTAAAATTAAACCTAGGGCATGAGGATGGTTGCTGCATCCAGTACAAATGCTGAGGGCCTATGCTCCACATCTCCAAGCATCTTCTGGAAATCATGCCTATGTTTCACGGTATTTATTAGTGACCGTGGTCACTGAAAAAGGATATCCAAATAGATAACTCATATGGACCTTAGCAAAATCTGGGGACATTGTGGGGTATCACTTCTGCTGAAAATCTATGGGTTGGTATGTAAGCATATGTTTACAGAAGGTTCTCAACAGCAAAGGCTGAGAGAGACAGCTAACATGGCCCTCCCCTAAATGGCAAAGCAAGGTACACTGTCCACTTATACTTGCAGGCTCTCCTCCCCATGGTCCCCTCTAGCATCTTCATCCCAACCCTCAGCCCACCACTTTTCTCCCTCCTCCAATCAGGTCACTATCAACTACCCACTAGCCCAGAGAGGGGGTGGGGTGACCTCGTTCTTCCCCTGTTCTCTTTGTAACCTAACTTTATGTCATGGACAACTTGCTTCCTTAAAGACCTTCTCTTTGGATTCTCAAGCTTCTTCCTCTCTCATTAAGAACCTGGCTCTTGCAAGTCAACACTTTAGCATTCGAATCCATGTTTCTATTGTGGGGTGCAAGAATCTATTTTATTAGTTTCTTTCTTCTTGCTGTCCTAATCTAACAATGCTAACTCTCCTCAAAGCAATATGGATGCCTCTGGCTGAACAGGAAAGATATGCTGTAAACATAAGCAGAGATGATATTTCTAAAACAAAAACCTTCCTTCTATGCCAGTGAACTATAGACCACTCAGCTTAAGAAATCATCAAAGCATCATAATTTACCTTGAAGTGTTTAGCTTTGCTGTCTCCTCCCCAAACCTGAGGAAACAATTCTTAGATGTAGTAGAAAGAAGCTCTGGATCTTAACTTTTCTCCTACATCTGCCATTAAGTTGCTGTTAAACTTGGGCTAGCCATGTGTCTGCATTGGGGGATCTTCCCCAGCTGTACAGTTTATGGAACAATCATCTCACTCACTAATTATGAGGCAATTACTATGGGCCAGACCCTCTCTGGGAAGTGTACATGCATTGCCTCTCTTGACCTTACAATGATCTTCAGAGCTAGGGAGGTATTTTTATCCCCATTTTACAGATAAGGCAGCTGAGGCCTATCACCCAGGTATAGTGATAAATTTTGATTCCAATTCAGATTTGCTGGGCTTTGAAACTCTTTCCACTCTACAACTATATAGTGTTTAGATTAGTTTTCAGTGTGTATTACTACAGAGCTGCTAAATCTATCACAAGGGCAGCTTTAAGGGGCAAATACAAAGTCTGAAACATATCTATGCACAGTACAAGAAAGAGAATACCCAATAGTTAGACACCCCAGTCAAGGGACAGAGTCATGGAGATACCCTTGTCCAAGAACATACTAGCAGCAAATGTGATTCAACAAGCAAATTCCCTTTGGTTGACCAATCTGGGTTGATTACATTGATGGGATAATTTCTCACCCTCCTAAGACAAGAACAGAGTTGCAAAATCTTGGGGGAAAAAAAGGGCAAGGCAGAGACCACAAGCATTCTGGCAAAAATCTGATTTGCAGTGGCTTCTCATGTGACTTATTTCTGCTGAAATGATAAGGAGTCCAGGCAGGCTCTCTGGGCAGGAAGCTCCAACGCCTAGGGAGGGAGCCTAATTGGGAAATGGACAATGAACCATACACAGACTCTTGTATCCCTGACACAGCATAAAAACTCCCTTTGCTCTGGATGGCAAACTTGTTTTCCCACTGTGCGCGTGGGAGAGTGATGACGCATTCTGTGACAGTAACTGCGAACAGGTGGGGGGAAAAACAAGGGTCACTTCCAAGAGGGCTGTTAAAACTTTCCCTTTTCAAAGTCTGAGGAAATAATAATGTGGCTGCCCAAATGAAAACCTATCTGTTGCTATGCGTTCAGTGTACACCTTGCTTATCCACTCAAAAGTCTCAATTAAAATCACAGCTGTTATTTATGTATTGGATTCAGATGCTCTCTCACAGCTGTGGCAAAGGAACAAAGGACAATACCCTTGTTGGTTGTTACACCTGCAACTGGGATAAATGGTGGTTGATGTCAGCTGCACTTATATTGTATCTGGAATAATAATAATGCTTTTCATTTGCAGAGAGCTTTACAGTTTATGAAGCCCTTTTGCATGCATTTCATGCATTCACTAAAATTAAACATGGTGCCTCCCTTACAGAAAATAATACAAAGGGATCCTTTTTCAAAAATCAGCTTCTGCATCATGTGGATGGCCCAACATTTCTGCATATTTGAAAATATTTATTACATGGTCATCATGATGACCCTAAGGTTTCCCACTGAACAATTTTTTTCTTTACTATAACAACAATAGCAGCAAATACCACACACACATGCACACACGCATGTTTCCCATTTTTAATTGACTTTTCTTCTTTGCTTATTGATTTGTAGGAGTCACTTACATATTCTAGGATGAGTTCTTTGTCAGATATGTGATTTTTTTCATATCTTCCAGATGCTTGTTTGGTCTGTGATTCACATACATTCTTTGGCCTTTAGAATTAGAAAAATTGCTAGTGATTCTTTAGCCTGACCTCTTCACTCACAGTTGAGGAAAATGGGCCCAGAGAGAGGTTCATGTAGCTACTTAATAATAAGATTAGGAGACAAATCTTCTAACTTTTTCTCCTCGTCTGTAGCTAATAATCTGCACTGATGAATTCTTAAGTTGTGGTAGTCTTACAATTCACACATTGCAACAACAACAAAAAGACTCCTGACATATGCAACAATATGGATGAATCTTAGACACAAGGTTGAGTGAAAAGTCAGACACAATGGGTTATATACGCTGTGGTTCCATTCATATAAAGTTCAAAACTAGACAAAACAAACCTACAGTGATAGAAATTAGATCTATCCCTTGAGAGAGGGTAGTGAAGGCATGAGGAAGCTTTCTCCAGTTGTCAAAATGTTCTGTATCTTGATTTGTGAGATAGTTACATGGGTGGATACATATGTAAAAATTCCTCACACTGTACACTTAAGACTTGTGCATTTTACTGATGTATATATGTTATATATCAGTAGAGAGCAAAGGAGAAAACCAAAGCAAAATAGAGATTTCACTATTCCTCATTAATGTGATGGATATTGACCAAAGAGAGTAATTCTGGCCCTCAAATAACTTTTTAACCTCAATTATTCTTTTTGGCTGATTTCCACTATTATACAAGCCATGAAGTTGCCAAATCTCTACTTCTTTGAATAATCTGGCTCTGCCTTGAACAAGCTGTGGGTTGGGCTAATTGACCTTCAAAGGGTCTCCTAAGTCCAAATTTCTGGGATTTTTTAAAAAAGGGATGCCAATCTCTGAGTGGGAAGGAATGTCAGAAGTTGTCTTGTTCTTGTCTGTTATTTTGTAAGAGAGAAGAGTGAGTTTGGAGAAAGAAAACGACTTGCTCAAGATGGCATCAATAGTAATTTGCTGCAGACCTGCAGGCCTCATCTCAACTCAACTCAAAAAATAACCCATGAGTGCCTGCTATTGGGCTAGGACTGACTCAGATGCTACACTGGATTCCCAGACTCCATAATGTCACAGATAATGTTCTCATTGCACTGTTGTGTGAGAGAAGCAACGATCTCATCTTCCACATACTCATGAGGGCACCAGCAAACAAGGTTAGAAGCCTTCAAAATGAAGCAAGACCAAGGTCAAAACACCAAAGTTATGTAACCACATCCTGTCTTTTCCTGCACTCAAACACACAACCATCAGACAAAGTCTTTCCTTGTCCTAGGGTAATGGTTCTGGGACTCTACATCATGATAATGGAAAACAGTAATTTTAGAATCTACTATATAAAAATTCTACTCATATGGCCTAAAATTATGTAAACCTGAACTTTCCTATTTTATAAATTTCTACTTCCTTTCTGGTGAAACTCGCATTCTTAAGCAAAGCACATTCCTTCTCTTTGAACTTAGCACACATGATGAACTAATGGCTATAGCCTTCTTACAAAGTGGTTGTAGGAACCAAACGTGAAGAGTGTACAATTTACCCCTCAAAGCATGCAAAGTATGAGAATTCCCCATTGTGACCGGAGCATAGCACAGTAGATGCAGGCTAATAGAGAAAGTCAGAAGACATGGATCTGTTTGAATTCTACCGCTAACTAGCTCTATGACCTTTTTTTTTTCCCCTGGACAATCATGTCTCCTTTCTGGACCTCCATTTCTCCATTCACAAATTGAAGAGGTTGTACCAAAGAATCACCAACATTCTTCTTAGCAATAAGTTTCAACAAAGGCTGTAACTCATGGGCCCATTAAGAAATGTTGGAGTCTGGTAGGCTTTATTGTTGTTTCTGGGAGCACTATGGGCAGTGAGGATGCAGAGGGTTAAAGAAGAGGGGAAAAGACTGAGAAGATAGAAGAGGGAAAGGGGAGAAAATTGAAGAGACAATGAGAGGGAGAGACTTCATTGAGGTCTGCATGACTAGCTGCTAGTCAGGGTCTTCAGGTGGCTCCAGCATTAGACTTCTGACCTCCCTTCATTTTCCTTCACAACTGTACCCACAACATATCTGGTTCTATCTTAATCAAGGTGGTCCACAAAAGTCCCAACACCTCACTGTGGAGTGGTGATTGGCTTATAACTATACTTTCCCCACTCACCTCTCACCTCTCCTTCTTCTATGCCATTGCAATCTATCCCAAAACTTCTCTGTGCCTTGTAGGCACAATAATCCACACAACACATTTTCTTCTATTCCTGAACTTCAAGGTTGAAGTCAATACCTGTAACTGCTGGGCCTAATGGAGACCATGTGAATATATAATGCCCACCACCAATCTCCCTTAGGTCTTCCCTTCATGAAGCTTTGCACGGCTCAGAATTTACGTGGGATACAGTTGAGGATTTTTCAACAGTGAGTACAGGATAGGTGCCCACTGTGTCTCTTAAGAAAGCAACAGGAGTATTCAGAGCCTTTATCTGAAAGACGAACAGTTACTCTGAGGGCATAGTTGAGCCCACTTCATGGAGTGGTAGTAAAGCATCCCTTCCCTCAACACCATGGGTGTACAAACCAGATTCAATCTTGTTTTCTAACACCACCATTTATTGAGGCCTAAACAGAAATATGAGCCCGTAGGAGCCACCTCTTGCATTGTCTCTTCACCATCTACAAAATTGAAACCAAACTCCCCAACATGGCATGGAAAACTCTGCATGAACTTTTTACATCTCCATTATAATTTGTAGCAGGTCTCCAAGTGCCTGCTTTGCCTTCTTGAATCTGATGCTCTCGTTCTGTGGTCCTCAAATTGGGTGCAGTGGTTCCATGCATTAAAATCACTGGGGGAGCTTTAAAAATGGAGATGCCCAGGCTATATCCCAAACCTCTTAAATGGGAACCTTGGAGGATAAGATCAGGCCTCAGTATTTTCTAAAGCTCCCTGATGATTATAATGTACCAAAGTAGAGAACAACTGCTTTATTTTCAGTTTAAAGAATCACTGAGGGGGTTAGTTATGAATAAACGTTGTCAGGCTGCACCCCAAGATTACAAATCAGTAAGTATGAGGTTAAGATCTTGAAATGTGTATTTCTAATAGGCTACCCAAGGAATTATGGATGAAGATGGCATGAGGACTACACTTGGAAAAAACACTGCTCTTGGCCCACTGGGTGACTCAGTCCAAGTTGCCGGAGTAAATCAAGCACTCTCACTCTCCTTGGATTTGTTTCGGCTTTGCTCTCTGCTTGGAAGGCCCTCCCCTCTCCCTGACCTCTGAGAGAACTTTTGATTACCTTCCAAATGTAAACTCTTCTCTGTGACTTTTCCTGACCCTTCCCAGGAGGAATTAATCACACTCTCGTCTGAGTTTCCATAGCACTTTGTACATGCTTCTGCTAAAGCATTTATCACACAATATTATGGCTGTTTCTTTATGTGTCTGTCACACCCTTTAAACTGTTCTTTCCTTTTTTCATCTTGCCAGCACCTAGCACAGTGCCTGGGACATAACTCAAGTCAGTAAATGTTTATTGAATTAAATGAAGTTGTTTGTGGAGTTGATCACCATATCAGATGTCCATCTACAAGTGGCAAGACTGCAGACACTGGAATGGGGCACAGGAAAGAGCCTAGTGCCAGAAAGGAGGGTTGGTCATAATGAGGCAGGGTAAGAGAACTGCCCGCCCCAGGATGAGGACTAGGGCATGACTCCTCCAACACAGAGGGTATGCAGAACAGATTCAGGTTTGTTTTCTAACACCAGCAAGGACAGGGGAAATATGTAAGATGGTAATTTAAAGTTCAAAATGGACATGAAGCAAAACTTAAGGCACAGGGATGTAGTAGATGATTATAAGAATAACTGGGGCACTTAATATTTAAATTAAAATAAAACAGACTCCTGAGCCAAAACCCAGACCTACAATCAAAATCTCCATTAGACATGCTGCGAATCTGAACATTTAACAACAGCCCCAGGTGATTCTTATCATCAGTCCAGTTTGTAAAACATGGTGTGTATTAGTCTGTTCTCATGCTGCTAATAAAGACATACACGAGATGGGGTAATTTATCATGGAAAGTTAATTGATTTACCTTTCCACATGGCTAGGGAGGCCTCAAATCATGGCTGAAGATGAATGAGGAGCTAAGTCACACCTTATGTGGTGGCAGGCAAGAGAGAGTGTGTGCAGGGGAATTCCCCTTTATAAAACCACCAGATCTCATGAGACTTATTCATTATTACAAGAACAGTATGGGAAAGACCCGTCCCCATGATTCAATTACCTCCCACTGGGTCCCTCCCATAACACATGGAGTTTATGAGAGCTACAATTCAAGATGAGATCTGGGTGGGGACACAGCCAAACCATATCATCCCATGATCCCACTTGGGTGGGGACTCCATGGTCCCCACCCAAATCTCATCTTGAATTGTAGCTCCCATAATCCCCACATGTCGTGGGAGGGACTATGGTAGGAGGTAATTGAATCATGGGAGCAGTTACCCTCATGCTGTTCTCATGATAGTAAGTGAGTTCTCACAAGATCTGATGGTTTTATTAGGGGCTTTTCCCCCTTTTTGCTGGGAACTTCTCCTTGCCACCACCATGTGAAGAAGGATGTGTTTGCTTTCCCTTCCACCATGATTATAAATTTCTTGAGGCCTCCTCAGCCATGTTGAATTGGGAGTCAATTAAACCTCTTTCCTTTATAAATTACCCAGTTCTGGGTATGTCTTTATTAGCAGCATGAGAACAAACTAATACAGTAAATTGGTACCACAGAGAGTGGAGTGCTGCTGTAAAGATACCCAAAAATGTGGAAGTGATTTTAGAACTGGGTAACAGGCAAAGATTGAAACTATTCGGAAGGCTCAGAAAAAGACAGAAAAAATGTAGGAAAGTTTGGAACTTCCTAGAAACTTGGAGGGCTAAGAAAACAGGAAGATGTGGGAAAGTCTGAAACTTCCTGGAGGCTTGTTGAATGGCTTTGACCAAAATGCTGATAGTGATATGGACAACAAAGTCCAGGGTGATCTCAGATGGAGATGAGAAAATTCTTGGGAACTACAGCAAAGGTAACTGTTCTTATGCTTTAGCAAAGAGACTGGCAGCATTTTGCCACTGCCCTAGACATCTGTGAAACTTTGAACTTGAAAGAGAGGGCTTAGGGTATCTGGCAGAAGAAATTTCTAAGTGGCAAAACATTCGAGAGAAAGCACAGCATAAAAGTTTGGAAAATTTGCAGGCTGACAATACGATAGAAAAGAAAAACCCATTTTCTGGGGAGAAATTCAAGCCTGCTGGAGAAATTTGCCTAAGTAACAAGGTGCAGAACGTTAATCACCAAGATAACGGGGAAAATGTCTCCAGGGTATGTCCAAGACCTTTGCAAAGGCCCCTCCCTTCACAGGCCTGGAAGCCTAGGAGGGAAAAATAGTTTCATGGGCCAGGCTCAGGGCCCCCCTCCTCTGTGCAGCCTTGGGACATGGTGTCCTGTGTCACAGCAGCTTCAGCTCCAGCCATGGCTAAAAGGGACCAAGGTACAGCTTGGATCATGGCTTCATAAAGTGCAAGCTCCAAGCCTTGGCAGCTTCCATATGGTGTTGAGCCTGCAGGTGCACAGAAGTCAAGAATTGAGGTTTGGAAATCTCTGCCTAGATTTCTGAGGATGTATGGAAATACCTGCATGTCCAGGCAGAAGTTTGCTGCAGGGGCAGAGCCCTCAGGGAGAACCTCTGCTAGGGCAGGCAGAAGGGAAATGTGAGGTCAGAGCCCCAACACAGAGTCCCCAATGGGGCACTGCCTAGTGGAGCTGTGAAAAGACAGCCACCATCCTCCAGACCCCAAAATTGTAGATCCACCAACAGCTTGCACCATGCACCTAGAAAAGCAACAGACACTCAATGCCAGCTGTGAAGGCAGCAGGGAGGGGGGCTATACCCTGCAAAGCCACAGAGGCAGAGCTGCCCAAGGCTGTGGGAGCCCACCTGTGCAACAGCATGCCCTGGATGTGAGACATGGAGTCAAAGGATATCGTTTTGGAACTTTAAGATTTAATGACTGCCCTATTGGATTTCAGACTTGCATGGGGCCTGTAGCCCCTTTTTTCTGGCCAATTTCTCCCATTTGGAATGGGTGTATTTAGCCAATGCCTGTACCCCCACTGTATCTGAGAAGTAACTAACTTGTTTTTGATTTTACGGGCTCACAGGTGGAAGGAACTTGCCTTGTCTCAGATGAGACTTTGGACTTGGACTTTTGAGTTAATGCTGGAATGAGGTAAGACTTTGGGGGACTGTTGGAAGGGCATGATTGTGTTTTGAAATGTGAAGCCATGAGATTTGGTAGGGGCCAGGGTGGAATAATAGGGTTTGGTTGTGTCCCCATCTTGAATTGAGTTCCCATATCCTCATCTTGAATGTCCTCATCTTGAATTGAGTTCCCATAATCCCCATGTGTCATAGGAGGGACCCAGTAGGAGGTAATTGAATCATAGGGGCAGTTACCCCCAAGCTGTTCTCGTGATAGTGAGTGAGTTCTCATGAGATCTGATAATTTTATAAGGGGATTTTCCCCCTTTTTGTTGGGCACTTCTTCTTGTTACCACCATGTGAAAAAGGATGTGTTTGCTTCTCCTTCCACTATGATTGTACATTTCCTAAGACCTTCCCAGACATGCTGAACTGTGAGTCAATTAAACATTTTTCCTTTATAAATTACCCAGTCCTGGGTATGTCTTTATTAACAGCATGAGAATGGACTAATACATGGGGCTAAGCCAACATCAGGAAGTACTGGGAAGAGGCAGAAAAGGTTCTTAATGCAGAGGAAACCCAGCATCCTCAGGCACCTAATGATCTGTCCTGGTGGTACTAAGTCCCAGGTGTGATTGGAAGTGAGGGAAGTTGTAAGTTTGTGGGACAGTGGCCAAGGGTCATTCCTGGTTCCCAGGAGGCCACTTCTGACTTTTAGAGAGCCTTAATAGTGAGCTGCACCAGCTGCATTGCAGGTCTTCCTATCTATCCTACCTCCATGAAGCCTGGAGCTGAGGCAGGGATGAGTACAAGATGAGGCATATTATGCAGAGAGGGTCTGGAAGCTGAGAAATGAAGCCAGCACTAACGGAGTGGGTGAGAAAATAAACTAGAACACAAAGAAAATCCAGTCCTGTCTCTCTCAAGCTACAACAGTGTAAAGTTGTCATTCCAGTCAACTGGATAAGTTGTCATTACCCAGGAAAGGCGGGGGGGTTGTAGGTGTTTCATTACCTGGAGTTAGCCAAAGTGGGAACAATCTCCCAGACTGCCCTAAGTTTTGACACTAACTGCGAGTTTGGGGAAGTCCCTAAACTACCTCAGATTTGATAATTATTTAGAAAGATTCATAGAACTCACTGAAAACTATTATACTCACAGCTACGATTTATTACAGAAAAGGATTAGGACCAGCGAAAAGAAAAGACACACAGAATAGAGTTTAGGATTCCAAATGAGAAGCTTCTATTGTCCTCAGTACAAATTATCTTTCCAGCATTGATGTTTAACAATACAGAGTATTACCATCTTGGGGAACTCAGCTCAGTGTCCAGAGTTTTTATTGGGGTTTTATGATATAGGCATGATTGATTGATTCATTAATTATCAATCAATTGATTGCTCACATGGTTGTACCCTGTCTTCAGCTGCACTCCTGCTTTCTTGGATGTTGGGGGTCAGGCTGGAAGAGGCCTGAGTGGTGGCAGGGAAGGTAGGCCTGGTCTTTGCTATCTTAGGAATGGAGTTAATTCTTACAGAACCAAAACTGGATTTTCCTTGTAGTCACATTGCATAGTCATAGGATCAATCTAAGAACAGATTAGAACTAGCACAGCTGTCCTGAAAGTTTGGAATGGAGGTAAAAACATCAAATATATATACACATGGTGACTATATTTCAGTGAAAAAAAATCAATTAGGACTCAATAAAAAATATCAATTAATTCTTGTAGAAAAAAGCATCCATTATGTGCCCAGTACTATTCTAGGCATCAAACCATAACTAGAAGAATACTATAGAAACATGAGATACAATCAAGGATGCAAGAATTTACAATCTAATTGAGGAAGATAATTCAGACAAATGAAATAATAGGCAGAGGTTTTCAAATAGAATGGAGTGGGGCATGTCAAGCTCTCTAATACTGATGATTACTGATGAAGAAATGTGTTGATGATGGGAATGTGTGAACTTATAACTACATGAAGGCAGAAGAGTGTCTGAAGCCCTGAAGGAATAATGTGTAACAGCATATAATTAAGGGCTTAGATGTGAGATATAAGCTATACATGTGAAAGGAGCTCAAGGAGAAGACCAGCAAGGCCTGAAAAAAAAGCAGGAGTTTCCAGACAAACCTTGAAGCAGCAATGATTTGAAGCAGAATGATTTGGACAGAACAAGTGGAAAAAGAAGGCCACCTCAACTGCCCTGCTGGATAGTAAAGAGCTAACTCCATACTATATCTATTTCACTAGAACCAGCCATCTGAGCAGCAGCCTGTACATTCTGATAATGAAAGTACGAAGCAGAAGCTTTAGAATAGCCTTCAAAAGCTGATACACAGAAGCAAATGGCATATTCATCAGGATACTGGGCAATAACAAATATACAAGGCCCCTTCCCACCATCTGCATGAAGCAGCTGCTGAATAATCAAAATATACCACTTAGAGAAGAAAATGTTAAACAAAAAATGGGAAAGAGGGAGAGAGGTCTGTTGCTAGCTGGAAAAGGAAACAAGGGTAACCAGCAGGGAGGGTTGGGGGCACTTATTGAAGAATAGGGATCAACATAAAAGCATCCCCAGAACAGCGGAAGTCATTGGCACAATTCTGAATGACCAAAGAACTTGGAAGACAGCAAAGGTCCCTGAGCAATTTCAAAAACTCTCTAAAATAGCTTCTATTTTACTCCTTACTAATTTATTCAAAATGTTAAGGTTCCAAACATCTCAGTCTGATTTCCAAGGCTTTCTAGAATCTGTTAACAAATCTTTCCTCTGTCATAAATTAATTAAATCATGTATTCAACAAATACTTGAGCAACTCTACAGTTCTAGGCTCTGAGGATTCAACAACCAACAAAAAGTCTCTCTCTTCGTGGAGATTATATCCCACTGGAGAGGGACAGATAAGAAACACATACATGTCTAATATGTAATACAGTTACCAGTTCTAACATGGAAACTAAATCATGGATAAGGGGAAGAGAGAGAACATGGGGTAGTGCTGTTTATATAGGGTGCGAAGGGAAGGTTTCACTAACAAGAGCATTTGAGCAGAGAGCCAAATGAAGTGAGGGATTAAGCCATCTGGATATGTTGGGGGAAACATTCCAGGTGGAGGGAACAGCTAGAGCAAATCCTTGAGGCTGAAATGAGCTTTACCCATAGGCTTAAACATGGCAGGCAATTGGATAAGTGGAATGAGATAGAGTGAGAGAGGTAGGCAAGTGCCAATTTACATAGTATTTTGTAAGCCTCAATAAATTCAAATAAGTTTGGATTTTATTCTGGTTGCAGAAGAAAATCTTTGGAGGGTTTGCTTTATGATTTTATGTGCTCAGTAACAGAACTGGTTAAATAAAAATATGTCCTGCTCTTTTCATGTCTTCTCTCAAAGCATGGCTTCCCTGGTAAAAAGACCATAGTGAAAATTTATTATTTCCACCCTCAACTACTCATCTACGTTCCTTTTATTTTCTCTTCAAATGGCCACTGTTTCTATTGTGAAGTGACCCAAAACTTGACTCCTGAGGGATCTGAGTTTTCAGTGGTTCCTGCCTATATAGAATTGCTATATCTTCCCTTAACTTACCACCAGACAGGGGAATCCTAAAAGGTTCCTTTAGATTCATTTATATTCCTCTCTGATCCCACTGTGTATCAAAATATGTATCAGAAATCTTTGCTAACAGGATCAGTCACCCCAGCCAATACTATGACCCATATTTTCCCTGCCAAGTAGTAAAAGGAGCCTGAAATAGCAGGATGGCAGTATCTGTTGCTTCCTGTGGTTAAAGCATTTCTCCTCCAACTACTAAAATCCTATACATTTATTGTCCAGAGTCACAGGTGTAATATTAATGTGATCATGAGAAATGGCATTCCCATTTCCTTACCTTGGTCCCTGGATTTATCTTTTCAGCAAGAGCCTTCATCATGTATCAAACACAGGAAAACACGTCTCACCTCCAAAATGGTACCCCAACCTTTCAAGATTTCAACTTCAAGTTGGCATCATAACTGAGTCTTACCTCAGTCATTCCACTGTTTTGTAAAGCCAGTTGCTTCCAGGACAGAGAGTTTATAAGAACATGAATTTTCATGTGTGTCAGCCTGTTGGCTTCCTCTCCCAAAAAAGTTTCTTGGTGAGAAGCAACATTGGGTGGGATACTGTGATAGTGAACAAGGAATCTAGATTATCTACAAATCATAGCTTTGGCAGAAGCAAGGTGGGGGAGGAAAGGAAAGTAAATCCAAATCCAAATAGTGCTTATTTTAGTTACGGTATAGTGCTTCCTCCTCCCCAAAAGAAGGAGTTAAATATGGCTCACCAGCCACCATGTGACTGACCAGTATCCTTGGAATGGTATCAGATGGCAGTGTCAGTGTTTGTCACCAGAGCTGGCAAATTGATGATGTCAAGAAACCCTTGGTGAAGGGAAGCTCACATAGTTAAGCTAGGATGTCACTTTCTGCCACCATGGCCACTTGACTAACAAGTCCACTGAGCACCATTGACAAAGCTGAGGACAAAGCCCTTCAAAGGGTAGATTACATTAATCACCTAATAATTGTGGGGAACCACAATGTTACATGGAACTCAAATATTGTAGATTCATTATGAGGGCACATCAGATTAAAGTACACCTGGACACGTCGGAATGTATGGTTTTGTAATCAGAAAACATTGTTCAGAATTTCAATTTTGTAACTATTTTTAATTACAGAAACAAATTTGTAATGATCTACCAAAAAATTATATTGAGTAGCTCAAAAAATCTCTAGGAAAGTCAGCAAATCAGGCTTCGATGCTATACATTAAGGGATCATGTTCAAAATCATGCTACAAAACCCTAGTTGATAAAGACACCACTGTTACCACTACTAAGTGGGTGTGATGATCCACACTCCCATGACTGGGAATTGCTAATTGCCCTGCAGCCATTGCTGTCCCTTGAAATTTGAAGTAATGCTGTTGCTGCCACTCATCACTTCAATAGATCTATGTGATCCTTGAAGTTCTGCATCCATCCCTGTTTTGTCTTTGTGTTTGTGTTTATTTGTATTACTGGAAGGCTTTTTTCTCCAACAGTAAAGTCTAGAGAGATAACATAGAGTTTATAACATAAAACAAAGGAAAGGAGAAAATGAGTGATAAACTAAGAGCAGCTTTTCTATTCTAAAAGAAATTAACCATTGGATGGGAGAACAATCTCAGGAATCTTGACTGGTGTTGATATAAGGTAGGTCACTTGGAAATAAAAAGCACCCTGTCTCCTTCATAGGGTCAAAAGCCCAAAGAGTTCAGTGAAAGAAACCTAGGGTATGTTCAGAGAAACCTAAGGACTGAAGGAATCATTACCTGGTTTCCCAGTTTGTGGCTTGGGAGACTGCAAAACTTGCATGGGAGACTTCAATCCAAAATGAAGATGAAGTAGCAATGACTGAGAAACATGTAACAGTGAAAGTCTAGTCAGAAAAACAGAAACCAACTGAGGCATTTTAAGCAGAAAGAATTTAATACAGGGAATTGGTTACATAAATGATGAAAGAGCTAAACAGCCAAAAGTGGTCACCACCTCTAGAGCTGGAAGGACAAAGAGAGAATACAGCATTACCAGAACCAGAAACTAAAGCCATTTGGTGAGAGTTAAAACCATGGCAGGGATCACTCCATAGGAGCTGGAAACACAAAGAATGGGGTTAACCAATAAGAGCTAAAATTTCATAAACAAACAAAAGTAGCCACTGCTGGAAGCCTCATTTAAAGCAAAAAGGAGGAGAAATGCTCTGGTTCATCTGCTCTGCAGTGCCTCTCATTAGCCAAACCTACCTGAAAACCAGTTGGTAATGGAACCTGGGAAACATAGCTCCCTGCAACAGAGATGGCATTAGCTCTCCAAAGGGTCCAGCAGAAGGCACAGGAGTCTCTCTATGTTGCCCATAAACACTATTGAACTCAACTATCTGATTCAGAGCAGGCTTCAGCACGAATACTGCAAGCCTGGGGTTGCCATGGTCAGGCTGGACGTACTCTGTCTCAGGTCTCATGGCTGGAACACAAGTCATCATTGCGGAGTCACACATGTGTGATATCTAGTGATTATTTCATAACCTGTGACTAAAGCAGCAATGAACACTGATGCCACCATGACCACACTAGGTTCAGGGGTGATGAGATTGAAGGTCATGGAAGAACCTAACTGTGTCATCTTTTTGTACTTGTGGGTCCTAAGAATCTACACTCAGTGAATGTCTCCTATTTTATATCATCCCTAGCCTTTGGTGAGACTTCTTTCCTTTAAGTTGACCTCAGCAAGGTATAACTTGCTATATTAGTCAGCGTTCTCTAGAGGGACAGAAGTAATAGGATAGACATATATACAGAGGGGAGTTTATTAAGTAGTATTAACTTACACAATCACAAGGTCCCACAACAGGCCATGTGCAAGTTGAGGAGCAAGGAAGCCAGTCCAAGTCCCAAAGCTGAAGAACTTTGAGACCAAAGTTCGAAGGCAGGCAGCATCCAGCATGGGAGAAAGATGTAGGCTGGGAGGCTAAGCCATTCTAATCTTTTCACGTTCTTCTGCCTGCTTTTTATTCTGGCCAGACTGGCAGCTGATTAGATTGTGCCCACTCAGATTAAGGGTGGGTCTGCCTTTCCCAGTCCACTGATCAAATGTTAATCTCCTTTGGCAGCACCCTCACAGACACACCTAGGAACAAAACTCTGCATCCTTCAATCCAATCAAGTTGACACTCAGTATTAACCATCATATTCACCTAAAACATGTGTACTGGTCATGCCCATTTTCACCAATTCTCATACCCAGTCCTCTGTTGGACTAATGAAGAGGCTAGCAGCTTAAGCTGTCAGGCAGCCAGACTTTCAAGAAAACATTTGAAGCTGGGAGATGAAAGAAACAATGGACAATTCATTGCACATACTAGTTTGGTTATTTAGGAGAAACTTTGTCTCTGGAGCCAAGTCCTTGAGACCTTCACACAAAATTGGCTTGCTTTCTTCTGGGGAAAGATCCCCTAGGATTATTTGGGCAAAGAAGACATACTAGGCACTCAGCATCCTGAGAGAAGGGTGCCATATGTAACCTTAGTACTTCTCAAATCTACTGGGTCATGAGTTTATACAACTTCTCTATAAGAAGGAGGTGGTACCCCATTTACAGATGAAGAAACTGAAATTTAGGTGATTAAGGCAATTTCCTAAGGACATACAGCTAATGAGTGGTAATACAGTTTGAATGGGTCCCCAGAAGTTTATATGTTAGAAACTTAATTCCCAATGCAACAGTGTTAAGAGATGAGACTTTTAAGAGGTAATTAGGTCTTGAGGGCTCTACTCTCATGAATGGATTAATGCTACTGCGATGGCAGCATTAATCCATTCATGAGAATAGAGGTTATATTAGAGGTTGCTAATTTTTTATTTAAAAAAATTAGCCCTCTCCTCTCCTTTCTTCTCCTTCTTCTCCTTCCTTCCTTCGTCGTTTTCTTCTGCTCCGTCCTCCTCCTCCTCCTCTTCTTCTTCTTCTTCTGCTTCTTCTTTTCTTCTTCTGTTTCTGCTTCTTCTTCCTTCTTCCTTCTTCTTCCTCTCTCTTTCTCTCTCTCTCTCCCACCTGTGTGATGCTTCCTGCCATTTTATAACACAGCAAGAAGGCCCTCACCAGGTGTGGCCTCTCAGTCTTGGACTTCTCAGCCTCCAGAAATGTAAGCCAAATAAATTTCTATTCATTATAAGGGATCTAGTCTGTGCTATTCTGTTATTGCAGCACAAAACAAAACCAAGACAAGTAGCGGACCCAAGTTTGAGGTAACAGCATCCAAGACTATCCTTCTAGAAAACATTTAGGAATCCCTCCCTCCAAAGAATGGAGAAAGGAGGTAAGTCAAGGAATTCTTAGGGTCTAATAACCCAAATTGGACAAATTAAAGTATCCTAAGGCTGAATTAGATCTGATTCCATTGGGATTCATAAAGATTACAAGGGAAAAATAGGCAGGCATTCAAGACATTGCATTGTCATAGGATTCTGGAGCCTTGTCTAACATCAATTATTTCCCAAACTCTTCTTTTATTTGCTTTGGATTATCAGTGACCCTCTAGTATAGCCTAGACAATGGAAATATTGCAGCAAATTACACAATGCCATTACATGGTGAAAGGAACCTACTTAGGTTGATGGATTTACCAATCAGTGTTCCCTATGATTCACCTTATCTGAGGGTTGGAAGAGGGAAAAGAGGAAATTGCTCTTCTTCCCACTTGCTTTCCAGCACAATATACCTCTCCTGCCCCTTCTCCCTACCCCAGCTCACATCTGACTACCTTCCTCTGGAGTGGTCTCTCTCATACATTATTTGTTGGGCAGGAACTCTAGGCAAGGCACTTTCCCACCTGGGAGGGAATTTTAGGGTGTTAGCTTTCCAGAAGTGGAGTGGAAGGCCATGCTACTGGTAAGCCCAGCTCAAGTTCAATGCTTCCTATTGCACACACTCACTTATTCTATAAAACAATACTTGTAAAGCATGAGACAATCCCTTCCGGCCATGGCCTGTCACTGCAATTCCCATCATTATGCTAGTCTTTCTGTCAGGGCTTCTCTGTCAGTCTCCTGGCTTGGGGACTCTGAGGTTCTCTCTCTTTTCAGAGAGTTTGTTTCATCTCCACATTCTAGCATCAAGTTAAACTATTGTTTTATGAGAAGTGTTAGAACAGAGAAAGGAAGGGGGGAAGTTAGGGCTGGTCTTGCTCTCTGGGTCCCAAGAGAAACCTGGTTCTTTCCTGTTATCTATCTTCTCCCTTCAGCCCATAACCTAGGTCTTTTTAGAGGATGTCCTTTTTCCTGTCTCTGGATTAAACAACTGGGATCTCTGACTTTTGGTCCTGAGGGCTTTATCTGTAGCTCTGCATTTATTCTGTATCCTCTTTGATCTCATCCCTCTTCCTGCCTCAGTTTTTCTCCCTTTCATACCCCATCCCCATTCCCCAAGCTTGATTTTCCTGACTCTACCTTTTCGTGTTCCCTGATCTCTCAGGTTATTGTCCCAGGAACTCAACCATCATGATCTTTTCTACAAATAACTTTGGCACTACCTGCTCACATCTGACACAACTATAGGTCCTGGCCTCTTCCTCCATCCTAGACAATGCTATTTTCCTTGAAAAGTCTTGTTCACAGCTTCACAATGCACAGCTGCATTTCAAAGCAATAGTTATTGGTTCCTACTATGCCAGCAAAATACTTAAGGCTACACTTTTTTCTATTTTAACAAAACATTTTTAACCAATCATAACTACTTTTTTCAGATCTTAGTGCATTCTTTCCTAGAGAGAACACTGGAAAACATACACAGCAAATCAGAATATTCCTGCAAATATGTGTGTATGAAATGTTTCGGTGTAATGTTAAAGTTGATATGTTTCTAAGAACAAGTTTTTCTCCTTTCCTCTCTTCAGTGTCATAAAACCTTAAAACGCCACCAAAAACCTCCATAATCTATTGGGAAATTGTTCCTCACATATTCCTGCTTTTATTTACCATACACATAGGCAAGTCCATTAAAAGGAAAATTTATGTTGTTCAGTGTCAAAAGCCAAAAGGAAAAAATGTATTTCAGAATGAAAAAGAAGCAAGCAACTACAAAGTCAAAAAATTCTGGAAAAACTTCAAGGAATGATGTAGTAGGACAAGCGAGAGATAATTGAGGCAGAGAAAACTGATTTTTTGTAGATGGATTTCTTAAGCCAGAGAAACTCTGCTAACATCAGTTCCCACATGCGCCACAAAACTCAAACTACAATTTAAAGCTACTCTAAGGAAATTTAGGTACCAAAAAGCAAGATATTTCATGGACTCATAGTTTCAGAGCTGGGAGGGACTTGAAAGATCAGTTATCCAAACCATTAAACTGCAAAAAGATAGACTTGTATAAAGTGAGTGCTGGTACTGGATAATGGAATGACAGCTAACATTAATCACAGAAAACTTACAAACTGACATGTGCTTTCTGTACATTATCTTATTTCACCTTACAATAGCTCTAGGAGGTCAGTATTACTATTATACCTATTTTTCAGATGAGGAAATTGAGACCCAGATGGATCAAGTAACACATTCAAGTTTTCACAGGTAGAAAGCAGCAGGGCTGATGTACCTATGGTGACAGCCTGACTGCAGAGACCTCTTAACTACCAAACTGTATAATCATCACAAGAATTTGGTCAATTCAAACCTCTGGTTAAACCTCTCCGGTAATGAAAGCAAATACATTTAGGAAGGACTTTTTGGCTTTCTGGCTGGATGGTTCCTGTATGAGTTAGCACAATCTAGTTTGTGCTACATTAACAAACAATCCCCAAATCTCTATGACTTATAACAGAGGTTTATTTATTTCTCGCTCATGGTACTTTGGGTTGGTAGTGAGTTTGTCTTCACATTGTCATCACTCAGGACTCAGGCTTGCAGACCTGCATCCTCTGGAATGTTGTTGGTCACCATGGCTGGAGGAAGGGAAGATGTCTCCTCCGCTGAACCTAAAGGCTTCTACCTGAAGAGACGTACATCAATTCTGCTCACATTTCATTGGCCAAAGCAAGTTACATGGCCACACCTAATTTCAAGGATTTGGGGAATTGTGGTCTAATATGAGGATCACTTGCTAATACATTATATGGCTTGAGAACACTGCAGGAAGAGAAAGTCTGGAAATATTGATAAATAGTTCTAATGACTGCTTTAGTACCAAATTCACAAAATTGTCCTGTGAGCTCACTTGACTCTAGTGGTGTTGACTAGCCCTAATAAGAGTTTGGATGTTGTCCCCACCCAAACCTTATATTCAAATGTAATCCCCAGTATTGGAGGTAGGGCTTGCTGGGAGGTGATTGGCTCATAGGGGTGGATTTCTTATGAATGGTTTAGTAACATCCCCTTGGTATTGTCCTCACGATAGTGGGTGAGTTCTCATGATATCTGGGTCATTTAAAAGTGTGTAACACCTCTCCTCTCTTTCTCTTGTTCCTGCTTTCACCATGTGCCATGATTGGAAGCTTCTTGAAGCCTCCTGAGAAGCAGATGCCACTATGCAGCCTGCAGTTCCTGTACAGCCTGCAGAACTGTGAGCCAATCAAACTTATTTTTTTGTAAATTACCCTGTCTCATTATTTCTTTATAGCAATGTAAGAATGGCCTAATACAAGCTCTAACTCTGTAATGTGAATTTGTTTGTGTACTTTGGATTTATTTGTGTACTTAATGAACAAGCCGAATTCCAAATTATTTGCTACCTCTGTGGCTCTTTTTAACCACTGAATACACTTTCCTTCAAGTGTAAAATTACATAGGCAACACTTCAGACAAAATTGCTAAAAGGAAGACTTAAATAAAATCCCATATTCCAACTCATAAGCAGAAAAATTGAGATTCTGTGACATGAGATAGCATATGCAGAAATTCCTAGCATATTGCCTGGCACAGAACAAGCACTCAATAATTGTTAGCTTCCTTAAACATTTCAGACTCCAATTAATCTTTCTCCAAGAGACACATCTATCTCAATAACTGCCAAAGATTGTTGAAGTCTAGCAACACTTCTGGCTCTAATACTGATTACCAGACACATGGCATACTATGAAATTACAAAGACAAAAATGAATGACCTTGGAGGGGGTTGTCCCAAAGCTCTTCCCCAGAGAGAAAATGGTGAAGATAAGTTAGTTCTCCGAGCCAGTAATTTTCACGTGAGTTGAACTTTCTAGAGCATGGCTCTTTCTAATTAACTAGAACAGTTTTCAAACACTTTTGACACATGCTGGTCCTCATTGCCACCCTCTTTGTCATGCGATGACACATTTGTACAGAATACTGGACGCAAAGGCAGGTGAAGGGCAATAAAGGTTGTTTTCTCAAGAAGAAAAAGCAAAACCACAATTGGCACAATGGAATTTTCCTGTTAATTGCAGGAAAGATAGACTTGGGTGTCCAAAGGCAAAATGCAGGAAACCCCACACAAAAGTGAACCTTGGTAACCAGAATTGTAGATCTTGGGGGAAACCCATGGTATGAGAGCAATTCCCTTTGAGAATTTAGAAAACAAACAAGGGCAGTGCCAATCGCATAATTCTGTTCATTCCTTTTCTGATTAAAACCAGGATCAAAGGAATACCAGTCTACTAGAAAAAAAAGAGGATATTTTTTACTGGCCTCACCCATGATGAAGACACTTTGATGATGGAAGATCCCCCTAACTTTATTCTACCTTACTTGACCCCAGATATGAATACCTACAAGTGAAACCTTGCTTCTTCATTTTGCAATATGAAGAAATGCTTGCTGGGGGAACTTTCTAGCCGGATACCCTTGAATGCACTTCCTGATGAAGTGGGAGATGCGCCAGCTGCCACTACAGATGCTGAAAGAACTGGGAACAAGTGAAGCTGATTGTAATAATATGTTGCACAAGACTGAAGGAGCTATGGTGATGGAGAGCCCCAGTACAGTGTGGAGGTACCATCCAGCTAAACAAAGGCCAAGGCAAAATTTGGCCCATTCCTCTAGCACAACTATGAGGATTACTTGCTAATATATTACATGACATGAGAGCGCTGCAAAGTATCTCTTAAAAAGAAAAAGAAATAGTAGCATCAGGGAGAAACTGAAAGGTTTTTGTTCCTAGGAATTATAATTGGCAATTTAAGTAGATTGTATAGGCTGTGATTTCAGAGACATGGAGAAGGCTCTCAGCCAAGAAATATATCATTTTACTACTTGCAAATGCTATCATTTCCATCAATAGAGATATATTTAAGTCCTGTCCTGTTGTTAAAATAAAAGTTTAGGGCTTAGTAAATCAGCGTCAAATCATTTATACCTGACTATGAATTAATTAGTATATTACCGTCCTAGCCCAGAGATTTGTTGACATATCCCAGCAGCAAAATGGGGGAGAAAGAAAAATAAAAGAGTGTTTCATGTTTGAAGGAGATGTTACAGCATACAGGAACAGATTACTTTAGACTTCAAAAGCAGAGGGGTGGGAATGAGGTTTCTGGGGATATAATACAAAGAGGAAGACAGATAGTGAAGGCAAAGGTAAAGTTAAATTTTATTCCTTCATTTGAATGTTTTTGTTTGTTCAATAAATTGATTGATTGATTGATTGAGCCATTTGCAAAACACTGGATTTTTTAAGGCTAAGAGATACTAACATTTTAGGCCAAAGATGAAGACTTAATAATTAGTATTGTTTTTTTCTTTTCACTACTTGTAACTGCCTTTTCACTGCCTAGAATACCACCAGGCACATGTCAGATAATAAATATTTTTTTCATGACTGGATAAGTGAATGAATAAAACTAAAGCTCTAAAAGCAAATAAACAGTGTTTCCTTCAAAGTTATCACATGGGAGATTGTGTACTTTTTCCAATCATTTCTTTATTGCTCAAAACATATCCAGACACTCTTCTATGAACCACCAAGGCAAGCGACAAAGTCCATTTAAAATCATCAGTGGTACTGACATGGTTTGGCTGTATCCCCACCCAAAACTCATCTTGAATTATAGTTCTCATAATCTCCACATGTCATGGGAGGAATCCAGTGGGAGGTATTGAATTATGGGGGCAGTTTCTCCCATGATATTCTGATGATAGTGATTAAGTTCTTATGAGATCTGATAGTTTTATAAGGAGCTTCCCCCTTTTTGTCACTCTCATTCTTCTCCTTCCTGCTGCCATGTGAAGGACGTGTTTGCTTCCCCTTCTGCCATGATTATAAGTTTCCTGAGGCCTCCCCACCCCTATGGAACTGTGAGTCAATTCAACCTCTTCATTATAAATTATCGAGTCCTGGGTATGTCCTTATTACAGACTAATATAGTAAATTGGTACCACAGAGAGTGTGGCACTGCTGTAAAGATATCCCAAAATGTGGAAGTGATTTTGGAACTGGGTAACAGGAAGAAATTGGAATCATTGAGAAGGGTCAGAAAAGGACAGGAAAATGTGGGAAAGTTTGGAACTTCCTGGAGACTTAAAGGGCTCAGAAGACAGAAAGATGTGGGAAAGTTTGGAACTTCCTAGAGACTTGTTAAATGGCTTTGACCAAAATGCTGACAGTGATAAGGACAATGAAGTCCAGGATGAGATTGTCTCAGATAGAGATGAGAAACTTCTTGGGTGCTGGAACAAAGGTGACTCTTGCTATGCTTTAGCAAAGAGACTGCCTTAGAGATATGTGGAACTTTGAACTTGAAAGCAATGGCTTAGGGTATCAGGTGGAAAAAATTTCTAAGTGGCAAAGCATTCAAGAGGAAGCAGAGCATAAAAGTCTGAAAAATTTGCAGGCTGACGATGCTACAGAAAAGAAAACCCCATTTTCTGGGGAGAAATTCAAGCCTGCTGCAGAGATTTGCCTAAATAACAAGTAGCAGAATGTTAACCACTAAGACAATGGGAAAAATATCTCCAGGACATGTCAGAGACCTTCATGGCAGCCCCTTCCATCACAGACCTGGAGGCCTAGGAGGGAAAAATGCTTTAGTGGATCAGGCCCAGGGCCCTCCTGTTCAGGACATGGTGGCCTGCATTCCCACTGCTTCGGCTCCAGTCATGTCTAAGAGGGGCCAATGCACAGCTTGAGTCATTGCTTCAGAGGATGCAAGCCCAAGCCCTAGCAGCTTCTACATGGTCTTGGCCCTGTGTATGTGCAGGAGATAAGAACTGAGGTTTGGGAACCTACGCCTACATTTCAGAGGGTGTATGGAAATGCCTGAATGTCCAGGCAGAAGTTTGCTACAGGGGTGGAGCCCTCATGGAGAACCTCTGCTAGGGCAGTGTAGAAGGGAAATGTAGGGTTGGAGCCCCCACACACAGTCCCCACTGGGGCACTGCCTAGTGGAGCTGTGAAAAGAGGGTCACTGTTCTCCAGACCCTAGAATGGTAGATCCACTGACAGCTTGCACTGTGCACCTGGAAAAGCCAAAGGCACTCAATGCCAACCCATGAAAGCAGCCAGGAAGGGGGCTGTACCGTGAAAAGCCATAGGGGCAGAGCTCTTCAAGGCCATGGGAGTCCATCTCTTGCATCAGCGTAACCTCGATGTGAGACATGGAGTCAAAGGAAATCATTTTGGAGCTTTAAGATTTAATGACTGCCCTATTGGATTTCAGACTTGTATGGAGACAGTGGCCCCTTTGTCTTGGCCAATTTCTCCCATTTGGAAAGGGGGTATTTGCCAACATCTGTAGCCCCATTGTATCTAGGAAATAACTAACTTGCTTTTGATTTTGCAGCCTCATAGGTAGAAGGGACTTGCCTTGTCTCAGATGAGCCTTTGGACTTGGACTTTTGAGTTAATGCTGGAATGAGGTAAGACTTTGGGGGACTGTTGGAAGGGCATTGAATTGTAGTTCCCGTAATTCCCACATGCCATGGGAGGGATCCAGTGGGAGGTAACTGAATCATGGGGGAGGTTTCCCCTGTGCTATTCTCATGACAGTGAGTGAGTTCTTACGAGTATGAGATTTAATGGTTTTATAAGGAGCTTCCCCCTTTGCTTGGCTCTCATTCTTCTCTTTCCTGCTGCCATGTGAAGAAGGACATGTTTGCTTCCCCTTCTGCCATGATTGTAAGTTTCCTGAGGCCTCCCTAGCCCTGCAATTGTGAGTCAATTAAGCATCTGTCCTTTATGAATCACCCAGTCTCATGTATATCCTTATAGCAGCAGGAGAATGGACTAATATGGGTACCAAGTCATATTCCTCGGTGACGTATTTTTTTTTTATTTTTCTTGTTGTCACAAGTCCAACAACAGGTGAACTTTCAAGCAAGTCCTATTTTTTAACAAAAAATGAGATATAGTTTTATGAAAAGGTAGACTAACTTTCTTGTGGCATGACCAAATCTAAAAGGGAATCCCAATCACTCCAAGAAAGCTCTAAGAAATTGTTGGGCTGATTGGCTAGCCCTCCCAAGAGGCTACCTTGAAAGATAATTCTTATTTAAATATTTAAATTTTGGATTATTTGCTATTAAACAACAAATGAACAAAAACATATTGTATTCAAAACCTACTCTATGTTTCCTTCTATTATTCATTAAGTACATCATTTTAAAAAGATAAGATTTTACAAGTATATACTCCAGTAGGGCAGGACAATGATGTATACTTTGTTTGCATCACCTCATCTCATCACTCAGCCAAGATGTAGCTTAGGTAATAACTATTACATGTATACAGTAAGGAATCCTACACATATATCTCCACCTCTGACCTATCCCCTGAACCCTAGATTTATATTTTCAACTGTCTACTAAACTCCCACTTGGATGTATAATACTTATCTCAAACTCAACAAATCTAAACAAAATTTTGCATGCCCTAGTTTTCTCCCTCTCAGTTAATGGTTCCACCATTCCCCAGTTGCTTAAGCCAGAAATCTAGGAATCAGTTTTGATTCTATTCATTCCTTTAATCCCCAGACACTATCTATTAGAAAATCTTGTGAGTTCTAGCTCCAAAATATTTCTAACCTCTCTACCACTCCCATCCTAATCCAAGCCGAGGATAACTGGGCCAGTACAATAGCTTCCTAAATGGCCCTTTCTACTTTCATTCTTGCCTATAAATCTTATCTCATCAACCAGACTGATCTTTCAAAAATATCAACCAGGCAATCTAAACCCTCTAAGACATCCCATTACATAAAAATCTAACCTTATTGCCATGGGGGCAGAACCCTTTGACATGGCCTCAGCCTCCTCCTCTTCCAACAACTCTACTGCTTACTTGCTCTGCTCCAGCCCCTCTGCACTGTTCACTGTTCGCAGAACCACTAAGCTTACCATGGATTCAGCCCCTTACACTTTGCCTTCCTTCTGCCTAAAATTCCCTTCCCCCAAACCTTCACAAGTCTGATTCCTTCTCATCACCAGGACTCTGTTCAAATGCTATCTTCTATCTAAAATCTCCACACTCTAGCCACTCTCTATTCCCCAACCCTGCTTTATGTTACTCATATGACTAACCATATCTGAAATTGTTATTTTGTTGTTGGTTTACTGTCTGTCTCCCCTACATCTCAAACACGAGTGCCACGAAGTAGGAATTTTGCTTAGCTTGTTCACTGCTAGAGTTTAGAACACACTTGGCACATAGCAGGCACAAGATAAATATCTGTTGAATGAATGATTAAATCAGTATTCAATAAACCATACAAATTGCATGATAGTTGTATTAGCCAGAGTTCTCCAGAGAAATAGCACCAACAGAAGATGGATGGATGGATAGATAGATAGATAGATAGATAGATAGATAGACAGATAGATAGATATAAGAGGATATTTATTGCAGGCATTGGCTCATGAAATTACAGAGGCTAAGAAGTCCCATGATATGCCATCTACAAGTGGGAGACCCAGGAAATCCAGTGGCAGAAGTCAATCCAAGCATGAAGGCCTGAGATCAGAGGAAATGATGGTATAACTCCAAGTCCAAGGCCATAAAACTGAGAACCTTGTGGTGAGTGGGGGCATTGTTTTAAGTCTTGAAGTCCAAAAGCCCAAGAAATAAGAACTCTAAGACCCAAGGGCAGGAGGAGTTGGACGTCCCAGCTCAAGAAAAGAGATTAAATTCACCTTGCCCCACCTTTTTTTTTCTATTTGGCTCTCAATGGATTGGACGATGCTCACCCACATTGGCAAGAGTGTATCTTCTTTTCTCAGTCTGATGATTCAAATGGTAGTGTCTTCCAGAAATACTCTCACAGGCACACCCAGGACAAATGTTCTACCAGCTATCTGGGCGTTGCTTAGGCCAGTCAAGTTGACACATAAAATTAACCAACGAAGTAATTCTAACAAAGATTTATAACCAGATTACACTCTTCTGAAGCTAAAGAACTGCTAATGGAGATAGCAGTCATCAGTTACTGTGATAGTTAATGTTGAGTGTCAACTTGATTGGATTGAAAAATGTGAAGTATTGTTTCTGGGTGTGTCAGTGAGGGTGCTGCCAAAAGAGATTAACATTTGAGTTAGTGGACTAAGAAAGGCAGACCCACTCTCAATCTGGGTGGGCACCATCTAATCGGCTGCCAACATGGCTAGGATAAAAGCAGGCAGAGGAATGTGGAAGGACTAAACTGGCAGAATCTTCTGGCCTCCATCTTTCCCCTGTGCTGGATGCTTCCTGCCCTCAAACATCGGACTCCCAAGTTCTTCAGCTTTTGGACTCTTGGACTTACATCACTGATTTGCCAGGGGCTCTGAGGCCTTTGGCCACAGGCTGAAGGCTGCACTATCAGCTTCCCTACTTTTAAAGTTTTGGGACTTGGAATTGCTTCCTGGCTCCTCAGCTTGCAGACAGCCTATTGTGGGACTTCACCTTATGATCATGTGAGTCAATACTCCTTAATAAACTCTTAATAAACTTTCATATATTAACCTATCCTATTAGTTCTGTCCCTTTAGAGAACCCTAATACAGTTACATAGACAAACCATTGGATTTAAAACTAATGTGTTCACACAGGCCTGGCTAGGTTACTAGTTGTGAACCTATATTAAGTGTTAGCTGGTAAAGGGATCTTAACAGGGTGTCACACTAGTTTCAGGATCTTTGAGTACTAGATAAAATGCCTCCTTGGGCAGGTGGAAGATGACTGAAATAAAAAAATGTGCATATATCATCCTGGTCAGTCCTCACAAGGTGCAGAAAATGACCAATGCTGGCATTGATTGACTGTCCTTCTTTGCTTCTCTCTCCTTTTAAGAGTGTGGAGTCTATTGGAAAAGAAGCATTAAATGAATTCACAGCATTATCTTACCAAATCCCTGTAATTATTTTAAGTATGTGGCATAATCTGTGCACAGCCAGTGATTAAGCCATGCCACAATTAAAACAATACCATGAAATAATTACAAAAGAGCTAGACAGACTGTGCTATCTCTCTGCTTGGTGTCCAAATGTTACACAGAAGAATGTAATTCTACTCTGCAGAGACCATTAAAATCTTCCAACGTATTTTTAAATCCCTGGCTGTCTGAGGGTGAGTGAGGTCAGGGAAGGCTGGGTGACAACAAAGAGTGGGGAAGAATCTTGAATGAAGCTTGGGCTATTTAGATAAGCCTTTCATCACAAGAGAGAAAATAACTAAAAATAATTCTTGAGAAAATACATTTTTTTCTCTTTATAAAAATGGATTTCTGTCTAATCAGAAATCCAGATAGCTTGGCTGGACTACAGGACCTATCTAGAAGACAGAAAGACCTGGCTAATATTTCTCCATTTAGACTGAAGCTACAATTATTCTCCTAGTCAGAGCAGATGAAGGAAAGGAGAAAAAATCCAAAGGCTAATGTTAAATTCATTATTTTACACAGTTATCCACACAAGCCCAATGGCATGAATAAACAGTTTATGTGTATGCATCTCTATGTTAACAATACTTTTGCAGGTTGCTTTCATTGATACTATCATTGTTTTTATTTCCAACTAATGACAAGAGAGGCAGCCCATAAATACAGGTTAAACCACAAAGGAAGGTATCTGGCACAAAAAATTTGCCCCAGATCAGTGGAAAACAGCTATGAAATAAGTAATTCCAACTGATTCTTTTATTTGAGTCCAAGGCTACCTGGACAAAACCATACAAATGGAATCATCTTGTGGCATTATATGAGGGAATGAGAGAATTTGATTTGGTGGAAAGTGTCAGGGCTTACCTTAGTTCAGCTGGTCCTAAACCAGTAGCATTTGCATTGCTTGGGGACTTCCTAGGAATGCAACTTCTGGAATCTGAACTTAAACCTACTGACTCAGGAACTCTGGGGGTGGGGGCCCAGAAATAATGTGTCTTAGGAAGCCTTCCAGGTGATTCTGATGCCCACTCAAGCTGGAGAGCCATAGCCTTTGAGTCTCTTCACTCTTTCATAGAGAATTATAAGGATCCAAACATGCCATCACCTGGGTGTTCCAGGCTTCTCCTTTGGCTCTAATCCCAGCCTTCTCATATGCTAGGCGTGTGAGTAGAAACAGAAATAAACTGCCAGCTAAACTCCTCTCTACCCCTGAGGGGAAGGTTATAGGTAGACCCATCTGCAAAACCAAATCAGAGAAGCTAGAATGTCGTGTATTTTCTCTGGATAGAGTGATGCTATTAAGAATAAAGTAATTTAGGGTAGCATTATACATTGGATCTTAGATCTAAAGAGTAAGAGATCTTGAGTTCTTTGATTCCTAGTTAAATATTCTTCAGTACCTGACACTATATTTTGACTGTATTGGCATTCTGTAAATTTTGGTGTAAGTAAATAAAGTACAAATTACCCTACTTATGGGAGACACTTACTTTCAGTTCTGTTTTCTCTCTACTGTCTTCACCTGGCCATGTATATCATCCTGAAAAAAAAAAAGAAGAAGAAGGAATGGCCATTTCCCAGGTTCCCCAACTTAAAAGTCAGACCTTACTGGAAAGGCATGAACGTTATTCATTCATACTTCTGTTCATTCAACCAATGCTAACTGTGCATCTGTCACATGTCAGGCACTGGGTTAAAAACTGGAGAAACAAATTCAGGTATGGCATTGCCATACACCTGGGAGCACACAGTGTGCTATAAGGGAACACGCATAAGTAATTAAGGACAATAAGGTCTTCTAGTTGCTATGATCATAGGGAGCACAGGATATGGCATGCATACAAGATGGTATGTTTGAGTCTACTTCTAAGAGTCTGGAGGGGTGTCTGGTAGCCTTGTGCCTGAATATACTCCATAGATATTTCTATGCCAGCTTGGACTAAACCAACTCTGTAAGGATTCAGAGCTTGTTATGTGACCTGAGATTCATAATGACCAGAATTTGTCAGTTTGGAATCAGTCAAGGACAGGAGGATTTGAAAAAAATTTTTCCTTAGACAGAGTCATCTGAACATTTTCACCACATACTACTTTTTTGGGACTGTCTACCGAATCTGTGTGTCAGCTCACTTGTGCCTCCTTGACAACTGAAGTCAAGGCCGAATGCTTGGCAAAAATAGTTCAAGCAGCATGCCACCCACTCCCCTCTCTGCTGCCACAGTGATTCTAGACTCTGTGCAAAACCACCCTAAGCAACTAGGGACCATAACTAAGGAAATTGATTTCCTTAAAAAGCAAATGGAAGGGAGTTGCCAAAAGAGTTTCTAGGAGGATATGCATGGAATTTGGGATTTTTGATTTGTGTTTCTACAAACCCTGGGCAAGCTGCCCTACTAAAATTACCATTAAGTTGAATTTATGACCAAGTAATGGTGCATTTCTCTCGTTAAAGACAAATCTTCTCTATCTGTCTGGGCTTGAGCGTGACCTGCGTGGGAAAACAATAAATCACCAACCCTGCACTGCTTTTTTGTGTGCCTCGGGACTGGAGGGGGATGCCAAAGCACTTAAGGTCAGCTTTGTGATTTGTGTCTCAGGAGGGCAGAAAAATCAGTTTGAGGATTTGCTAAAGGATCAACAAAATAATTGATAACCAGTGCACTGGCATGATTCTGAGGTTGGAATGCCTTTGAAACAGTTCCCAAATGGCACCAGGGATTAGGAAAGATTCTTGAACAGAGAATGAGTTATGTGACCTGGGATGTACTTTAACTCTGCCTTTGACCTGGGTGTCGTCGTGAAGAACACTTGGCCTCCATGACCTCATCGTCTGTCAAGTAGGTAGAATAATGGCTGCAGCCCAGATGGAACACACAAAACATCCAGAGACACCCTCCAAAAGCTGGCAGTTATTTCTGGGGGCTTCCACAGCTTTTTTATTAAAATAAGAGAAACAAAAACAGATGAAAATAATACCTAATTTTAATCCTTAATTTCAAATTATGGGATATTGACTGCTAATGTTTTTGCTTGAATTTTTCAGTGCTGCTTGTCCTTCAAATTTCTCCCTAGAATAAACAATAATTGTAATATTTTATATTTACTAAGTGTTTAAAACCCTGGGCCAGGTACTATACTAAGCCCTTTACCTGCATCTCCTATAATCCTCACCACCACCTCTTCAGGTGGGGATTTTAGTTCCATTCTGTAGGTTAGAAAACTTGGGTTTGTGGAAGCCAACCCACTGATGATGTTGAAACTCAAACTCAAACTAGACTGTTCTGGAGTTTGTACTTATAAGCACTAAGAGAGGAAATAACAGGGATGATGAAGGAAATTCTACCTGTTCTTAAATTTCTAGATCAAATTTTTCAAATGCTAGATATAAATTCTTAATATTAGGAGGTTTAATAATTGGTTGGTTGGGAATTTCTCTTTTACTCTTACAATACAGAGGTCCATTCAATACCTGTTCCTTTCTCTCCCACTGACAATTAACCATATCCTTCTATTTCATATTCAGAATATTTAAAGCAGAAGAATTTTCAAGATAAACCCTCTACTTTAACTTCATTCAGCAGTCTCACTCCCTTCTTTGGCAAGTTTTATACTTTTTATAGCTTCTGATCATATCATAATATAAATTATATTATCAAGGAGTTAACTATACATTCTTCAAAACCTTATTCCCTTTAAGAACTTATAATTTATTCCAAGCATTTCTGAGATAAATTATTACAAATCTCATGACTCCATGTCCTCTGGGAAATTCATACTTAAAAGGCTTTCTATACAAATACAAAATATATCCAGACTTCTTTGCATTCTAGTTTTGGGGTCTGTATTTTCTCTGTCTCTCTTCCCACTGTTGTGAACTGTTTTTCCACATGCTGTCAGTGTGGCCTCACTGGTTATAATCTATCTTGCTTTATAAATAATTGTCTACATAAGTACCTGAAGGCAGATCCATGTTTCTACTGTGAAGTAAAGTGCACAAGCTTTGTGATACATATTTTATATTATCATTTAGTTTATTATACCTGTGAGGTCACAACAGTTTGCCTGATGGTTATATTTGACCAAAGATGTAAGTTGAATATGAATATAAGTTGGATTTTTTGCAAGTTATACATACATATATAGAAATAGAAATAGATTGGTGTATGATGATGTGGGAGATATAGATATCACACATGGGTGTTTTAGCTTAGACTCTTTGTAGACCAGGCATAATACTGAGAGAAACCATGAGTCTAAATTGGTGGCTGTTCTGAAAAACATGCATAAAGCCCAGAATTCAAGCTAAAACATTACTTACTACAATGTTTACTTATACTGCAATACTTTATACACAAAAGTCACTTAATAAAAGCTAACTAAAGAAAATCTTACACAAAGGCATTCAATGCCAAACCATTGAATGGTTTGCTAATGTCTTTTTCTTCCCAGATCCACCTATGCTGCTCTTTGAACTTAAGAGTATGTAAAATATTTCACATGTTAAGATTTTTTCCTCTTTAAGAACATACCAAATATTAATAGAATTAAAATATAAGTCAGACTGCAAGAAAATATTTGCAAATTATGTATCTAACAACTTTTATGCACAATATATTTTTTAAACTCTCAAAAATCAGTAATAATTTTTAAGAACTAGAAAAAATATTGTGACAGACACTTCACCAAAGAAGATATACAGATGGCAAATGTATTAGTTCATTTTCACACTGCTATAAAGAACTACCGGACACTGGGTAATTTATTAAGAACATAAGTTTAATTGACTCACAGTTCCATGGGCTTAATAGGAAGCATGACTGGGAGGCCTCAGGAAACTTAAAATCATGGCACAAGCTGAAGGGGAAGCAAGGCATACCTTCTTCCCATGGTGAAGCAGGAGAGAGTGAGTGTGGAGGAACTGCCACACACTTTTAAACCATCAAATCTCACGAGAACTCACTACCACAAGAACAGCAAGGGGGAAGTCTACTGCCATGATTCAGTCACCTCATGCCAGGCCCCTCCCCCAATACACAGAGATTACAATTCAAGATGAGATTTGGGTGGGGATACAGAGCCAAACCATATCAGCCAATAAGCAGATGAAAAGATTTTTAACACTATTAGTTACCACAAGAATGTACATTTAAGACACAATGAGATACCACTACATGCTTATTAGAATGGCTAAACTTTAAAAACTGACCATACAAAATGTTGGTGAGAATATGGAGAAACTAGAACTCTCACAGACTACCAGTGGGAAAGTAAAATTGTTCCACGACTTTTGAAAAGTGTGGCCATTTCTTTAAAAATTAAACATGTAATTACCATATGATCCAACCATTCCACTCATAGGTATTTATTTACCCAAGAAAAATAAAATCATGTGTCTATGTAAGTATTTATATGTGAATGTTCACAGCAGCTTTATCCCTAATAGCCCCAAACTGGAAACAACCCAAATGTCCATCAGCAGGTAAATGGAAAAACAGATTGTGGCATATCCATACAATGGAATGCTGCTCAGCAACTTAAAAAAATGAACTACTGGTACATGCAACAACATGTCTGTATCTCAAATCAATTATGCTGAGTGAAAGAAGTCAGACAAAAAAGAATACATACTCTAGAATTCCATTTATCTAAAATTCTGTAAAGTGCAAACTAATCTATAGTGATACACAGCAGCTCAATAGTTGCCTAGAAGCTGGGGTAAGAAAAGGGAAAGGGAAGAACACAAAGAAATTTGTGGAGATGATGGAGATGTTTACTGTTTTGATTAGGTAATGCTCATCGGTGTAAAAGTATGTCAAAAATTCTCAAATTGTACACTTTAGATTTTTCAGTTTATTGCTTGTCAATTATACCTCAATAAAGCTATAGCAAAGAGAAAAAAAAACATACCAAACAAAGGAAAGGGAATAAAAGTGATTGCAGAATCAAAATTTAGATACAAAAGAAATCGAACAGATCAAACCATCTACTTATCTATTTTATGGATGAAGCAATTGAGGCCTAGACAATGGTTATTCACTAGGTAGACTAATTAGGAACACTAAAATAACAAAAATTAACAAATTTAACATTTGGTAATTCAAAAAATGCATCAAGTAGTCACCTTGGTGAAAATCAGAATTTTGTTGTATTTGCTTACATTACATCTGGGGTCATAATATCATAACATGTTCAATGTGTAGGGCTTCTAAGTATCTTAATCCCATTATGTTCCTAGTAATGTCAATTGGCTTGATTGAGCTCACACAGTTGGTGACACAGCAACAATTTGTGTCTCTAGATTCTCATCTCAGACTCTACCCTTTAGAACAGATTCACAGAGCTGGAAGAAAAGTCCATACCTGAAGAATTAGCAGTCAGATGACCTGATGACCCCCAACTGGGAAGAAAAAAGAATTATGCAATCCAACATATGGGCATCTCTCTTGCCAAAAGCACCCCTGCAGAAATTACCTCTTTGTTAGGTTGTGCAAACTTCCACTGCTCACAGAAGCTCACCCCTAATCCCTGCTTCAGCTTGGGATTTGTCTGCTACAGATTCCTGCTAAACAGGAGGCAGGCACAAGTGGGAAGTCCCCAAGAGGGAGTAAACACAAAAGAAATCTATAGACTGTCTACAAAGGAATGAGTCACCAACTAACAGGAAAAATAGTACTGAGAAGCATCTGATAGTCTCTTCTCACAAACAGATTACTAGGTGTCCAGGTTTCTATTGCTGTATATTAAGCTACCCCAAAATTTCATGACTTAAACAGCAATAATTATTTAAGAATTTGCCATTTTGGCAGGTCTCAGCAGGACAGCTTATCTCTGCTCCATGTGGCCTAACTGGGGTTGGATGACCCACCTCCAAGATGGCTTACTTTCATGAATGGTAAGTTGATGCTGCCTATTGGTTCCTCTCCATGAGGTGGCCTAGGCTTCCTCACAGAATAGAGACTAGGTTCTAACAGCAAATATCCCAGAGATAGGAAGTGGAAATAGCCAGTTTCTTGGTATATAGTTCGGACCTTACCAGATCAAGTGCCAGTTTCCAGACCTGTATCTTAAGAAACTGCCACAGCAACACTTCTGCCATGTACTATTGGTCAAGTAGTCAAAAACCCAGCTTTAAGGAAAAGGACATAGACCACACCCAACCTCTACAAGGAAGAAGTTTCCAAGAATTCAGGGGCAATATTTTAGAGCCATTACATCAAAATGCCACATAATCACTACAGTTAAAAAGTACCTGGAGGCTGGACATGGTGTTTGAGGTCTGTAATCCAAGAACTTTAGGAGGCCAAGGTGGGAAGATCACTTGAGCCCAGGAGTACAAGACCAGACTGGGCAGCATAGTGAGACCTGGTCTCTACAAAAAAATTAAAACAATAGCCAGGTGTGGTGGCACGTCTGTAGTCCCAGCTACTCAGGAGCCTGAGGTGGGAGGATTGCTTGAGCCCAGGAGATCAAGGCTGCAGTCAGCTGTGATCGTGCCACTATACTCCAGCCTAGCTGAGACCCTGTCTGAAGAAAAAAAAAAAGTACCTGGACACTTTTGTTGGTTTCTCTTTAAACCTTCACTCTCTGATAAGAGAGTAAAGGACTGTGTGTATTCACCTTGACCACAATCCCAGTACTGTAAACAAGACTGGGAGACATTCTCTGCTGGCTTGTGTGTGATCTGGCATCCACTTTGTTTTCACACTTTATAAATAGAAATGGTAACACTGCATTTTTAAATCCACCTAAAAGCTCTCTGTAGACAAGGATTTTATCATGTTATAGTGCCCCAAACTTAGTAGGTACTTACCGATATTGCAAATTGATATAATAAACCAAGTTGGCCCTATACAACTGTCAGATTTTTTGGTAAATATTTATCACCTCAATATTTGGTAATACGATAAAAGAGAAATGGAAGCTATGACTTCTTCCTTCACCTCACCATTAGGTGGCAAGTGTAATAAAGGAAATCTTAGACAATATTCTGCTACATAGAAATATCTATTAGCAAGCAAGCTTCAAAATAGTCATAGAAACTATTCCCCTGGCTTGAGGAAGTCAGTCCCTGATATCTATCTTTTAGGCACTCCAACAAGCTTTACAATAATAATCTAACAGAAGAATCAGCAAAGCCTGTAATTGGATCAGGTAATAGAGCCTTGATTAAATAGGGAGGTGTAGAACCAAAGTTCTAGACCCAGGGGATACTCTGAAGATGTAAGGCTTCTGGGCTTGATGGGTCCTTCAATACTGTTCCTTCAAGGACAAAGATGCCTGTGTAATCTTTTTTCAGCCAGACATACATTGGACACCATTTACTTATCCCCCAAAATTATGCTCAACATCCCTTACCCTCATCAATGAACCCTCTGGTGCAGATTTAAATAGCAGCATCTGTATTCCTGCATTAGGTGACCTCACACTGGGAGCCTGAAACCAGCCATGGTGAGAGTATTGATGGACAGAAATCAGCAAATGCTACAAATCAGGACTCTACTCCTCCCCAGAGCTGGTTGTTAAACATTTTTTATTACATTACTGTAACTAACTGGCCCTAAAGTATTGATTAAAGTTAATTTGTTTACATTATTTATACTGGAGTATTCAAAAGTAACTTACTAATAACGTAATATGTAAATATTAATTGATTATATTAATTATTGTATACAGTTCTATATTTAAATGAGTAGGGATGTGTAAGTGTGTGGGGATGTGTGTGTGTGTGTGCGTGTGTGCACCGTAAGTGAGGAGTTGTTTGTCTAATCTTTCCAGCTCAATATATTCCATGAAGTTTTCAGTGACATCATATTGAATACAATAGAATAGCATTTGTCCAGCAGGACTGAATTAGATCACAGTGTAAGAGCTTTTATATGATTAGCCAATTAAGGTTAAGACTGATCAAAGATAGAATGACATACTAATCCAATTTTAATTGTATTTTCATTGAAAATTCTGATTTCTCCTAACCTGAGGCACAGTCCATAATTTTATGTGCAGCATGATAAGAAACACCAGAGTTCAAGTTTCAACTTTGGCATATCTTACCTGTGTGACCTCAGACTAGTCATTTCTGAGCTTCAATTTTCTCATGTGTAAAAGGGGGTGATAAAAATGAGATTATCCATGTGAAAGCACTTGCAATTTGTATAATGCTGTAACATACTGATAATTTATTATGAAAGAGCCTCACAAAGAACTAGTTTCTAAAATGTTAATAGATCAGGGGCTGGGCATAGTGGCTCACATTTGTAATCCTAGCACTTTGGGAGACCAAGTTAGTAGGATTGCTTGAGCCCAGGAGTTCAAGACCAGCACAGGCAACAGACCGAGACCCCATCTCTACAAAAAATACAACATTTAGATGGGCATGATAGCATGTGCCTGTAGTCCGAGCAATGCAGGAGGCTGAGGTGGGAGGATCGCTTGAGCCTGAAAGTTGAGGCTGCAGTGAGCCATGATCGCACCACTGCCCTCCAGCCTGAGTGACAGGTGAGAACTCGTCTCAAAAAAAAAAAAAAAAAAAAAAGGCTAGGAATGTCCTATTCTTCTTTCTTTAATGAGAAATAATAATTTTACATTTTAAAAAGAATTTATCTGTCAAAATCAAGAGTATTAAAATTAACTTTTCTGGATTCTCTATGATTGCAAACAAAGCCTGATCACAAAACTGTCATCAGTTACGTACACTTTGACACATTAAACGTCATCATCCTCCTGCGATGTATATGGGATGTTCTAGCTGAGGCTCACTGCCTCAGAACCAGCTCAGGTCCTGCAGTTCATTGCCTGTCACTAGTCTATATTTACAGTGTTTCCCCCAGTGAACTATATCTTCACATTTTTTCTTTCCGTTTACTTCTTTATTATAAAACACCCTCCTCTCCCTACCCCATCCACACTCACACATATGGAGGAGGAAAAAAAAATGGCCCTGAAGTGTCTGTCCTTTAATCTAATTTTCATTTTCAGTAAACACTGCTCCACCTTACCCCCACTTAATAGGTGCTGGAACTTTATTTGTATTATTCCATTTATCTCTCTTCAAAATATTCTCTTTTAAAATATAAGAAAACAAACTGAGCTTCAGAAAGTTTAGAGACTTGCTCAAGGCTCACAAAGTTCATAATTAGTATAACCAGAAACGATTCTCATTTTTCCTTGCTAAGAATCCCTCATAAGCCTTATAAGTGAAATCACAGACTCTCAGAAATCAGTCTATTTTAAAAGGTCTTCTACACCACACAGTAGTTTAATGGCTGAATCTCTTATTTCCCATTAGAACAATGAGCAGTTGTATTAAAACTGTATGTCTGACACTGAAACGTACACTTGTTAAAAAGCGTGCTTTTTTATCTTTGAACTCCTAGTGAGTGTCCCAATGCTTTGGCAAAGGGAGGCGTTTAACAAATGTTTGTTCTTTAATGAAAGAATGATTCCATTGGCCATGCATTCTGACCAACTGAACACCTTCAGTGACAGAAAAGGCACTACTGCCAGAGGAAACCATCACCTTCAAGACCTCCTAATGTCAAATTACTTGTCTAAAAACAAAAGAAAGAAAGGAAGGGAGAAGGGAAGAAAGGAAAAAATAAAACTTAAACAAATAAAAGGCTCACAGTGGCTCATGTCTGTAATCTAGCATTTCAGGAGGCTGAGGTTAGAGGATCACTTGAGCCCAGGAGTTTGAGACCAGCCTGAGAAAACACAGCAAGACCTCATCTCTACTAAAAAATTTTGAAAAAAAGCAATTAGGCATGGTGGTACACACCTGTAGTCCAAGCTACTTGGGAGGCTGAGATGGGAGGATCATTTGAGCCCAAGAGTTTGAGACTGCTATGAGCTATGATTGTGCCACCACACTCCAGCCCGGGTAACAGAGCAAGACCTTGTCTAAAAATTAAAAAAATATATAAAAATAGAGGCTTCCCAGGAATAGACTTAACTACTTGAAACAAACTATTTTCAAATGAGATGCACTGGCCAGGAAACCAAGCAAAGACAGACATCCTGCCTCCTTTACTCCCTCCAAAACAAACCACATTGCACTCTATAACAAAGGAATGTTTTTTTCAATAAGAGCTAAAAGATTCAGAAGACTACACTGTTGTTAGTAAATGGAGAGCTTTCGTTCAATAGTCAGTTCACAAAAATAACTCGAAGTTAACTATGGAAACTGTGTCAGTTTTGAAAGTGATGAAATAATAATGCACATATGCCATAAAAAATAAGCAAAAAGAAGATTATTTGAAGTTTAGAATTCTTTTTGGATTAACATTTTATACTTTTGAAATTTCAGAGTTCTGGGGTATGTTCACAGCTGCTCTGATTCTTCAGACATGTATAAGTTAAAAGTGCCTCTCTTTTCTCAACAGATGAATAAGTGAGTGAGGAAGAAAGTGGCCCCAAATGAAGTTGTTGTGGAAATAGGCAGGGCTGGATCATTCACGGCCTTGCAGGTCATGGTGAGGAGTTGAGATTGAGTTGCCTTTAGAAAGGTAATGGGGAAACACTGAATGATTTTGAGCAGGGATTTGACATGCTCAAAATTTACTTATATTTTTAGAATGTGATAAGATTTATGTTTTAACTTTGACTGCTGGGTGGATGATGTAGTCTACGAGGACAAAAGTAAAAGCTGTGAGATCCTCTGGTTGACAAAGAAGTCCAGACAACAGATGATGACAGCTTGGACCACACTAGTGACAGCAATAATGGAAAAAAGTAAATGGGTTTTATATTTATTTCGGAAATAGAATCAATAATTATAGTGGTTACTGTTGTATTGGATGTATGAGGTGAAGAAGAGAAAATCAGGAAAACACTTGAGTTTCTGGCTTAACCAACTAGGTGGACAGTGGTACAACTTACAGAGATAGGCTTAGGGTGGAACAGGCAATGGTTGGGGCAAACCAAAAGTTCCATTATATATATGTTAAGTTTCAGACATCACTTGGTCCTCTGGGTATGCATTTGTTGATTTGAATATCTGTTAAATCAATGAATATAGTTCTAATTTCACTTAGGATACAGAAACTGCAAAAGAATGTCACTATCACCAAAACAGGAAAAGTTGGTAATCTAAACTCTTAAATAATTTACACTGCCTCAGGAAAAAAAAAAAAAAAAAGCTGAAAATCTACAAAATAGTTTTCAAGTTCATCAGTGCGCTGAGGTTGATCAGTTGAACTAAATTCCTAAGGGTGAAAGGCTCCTCATAGGTAACATAGGACACTCAAATGTTTCACCTTTTAGGGAGAATAGGAGGGAAGGGAGGCAGTTATTGGAGTCAGTAAGATGAAAATAGATGAAATTTAGCACATTCTTAAAGGACAAATGTGGACTAGTGTGAAAGTGTAGAATCTTCAGGTGCCACAGGCACAGGCAAGTCTGCACCCACTCATGGGGTTCTTGATGGGTCTCATCTGAATATTCACAAGAACGATTGAGGGCAGGTAGGAAGCTGGAGAAGGCGCCTCTTGGTGGCACAGGTGTACAGGGTCTGCTGAGGTTTGAGAGAAGAGCAGGAGTGTCTAGGGAATTTCTTTTTTTTTTTTTTTTTTTTTTTTTTTTGAGACGGAGTCTTGCTCTGTTGCCCAGGCTGGAGTGCAGTGGCGCCATCTCGGCTCACTGCAAGCTCCACCTCCCGGGTTCACGCCATTCTCCTGCCTCAGCCTCCTGAGTAGCTGGGACTACAGGCGCCCGCCACCACGCCCAGCTAATTTGTTTTTTTGTATTTTTAGTAGAGACGGGGTTTCACCAAGTTAGCCAGGATGGTCTCGATCTCCTGACCTCGTGATCCGCCCTCCTCGGCCTCCCAAAGTGCTGGGATTACAGGCGTGAGCCACCGTGCCCGGCCACAGGAGTGTCTATGGAATTTCATCTCTCAATGGGCTCTGCATGAGTACAGTATGGTGAGCAGCTGCTACTTCCCACAGCCCAGAATGTTCTCAGATAGGAAGTAAAATCTGTCGCTGTTGAGATGATAGAAAGAACATGTTCACATCCCAGACATGACAATGCTTTTATATGAAGTAAAATGAATCTGCCACTGAGGGAGGGACATGAAACCCTGTCATGTCCCTATTTCCAGGCAAAGGTAGGCTGCTACTGGGAAAGTGGTAGAAAACTTTCTCATGCGCAGGATCCTGCACTAATACAAAGAAGAGGACTGCTATTGCTGGGGGCGGAGGCAGAGTTCACCTGTTCAGCGGGGAGGGAAGTACAGGAAACCTACCTGCACTCTAAAACATGGACTGAAAAGGAGGCAAAGGCTTGTCATGGGAGAGACATGGGGGTATTCAAAACAACTGACATCAGGCTCAGGAGCACAGGACCTGCCTGAAACTAAGGCTGGAACAGGAGAAGTGAAAGCTTCCAACTCCAGCATGAGTCTTGCACAGAATAACAAACAACTGAAGTCTCTAGGCTAGGGTAAATACAAGAACATGGAGATAAATCCCCCCAGTGGCAAAGTCATACATGGATTGCTGAAAGCTGAGAGTGAAGAAACATTTAGAAAATTCCTCTAGCACTTCAGACCTCACACTAAGGATAAGGTAGCACTTGTCTACCGCAGGAGGAATTTGAAGCCTAGGGTTCACTGAATATAACAATATATCAACACGACAACAGCAAACTTAAACTCAGCTCATGTACATATCAGAGAGCCTCAACTGCCCAAAGACTCATGATCTAACAGAAGAAGAAGCATGCCTACTGCTGGGCATAAATATTATTTAGCTCAGTTTCTAGTGTTACTTTGTACACATTATCTGGTATGTAAACAAAATTGCCATATACACAAAAAGCAAGAACATAACAACCCATTGTCAAGAGATTAAACAAACTCAGAATTTGGTCCAGATGTTGAAACTAACAGACAGGAACTTTAAAATAATTATAATTAATACGTTAAAGGATCTAATGGAAAAACTATAATACATACTTAAAGAGATAAAGATTTCAACAGAAAGATGTATTCTTTTCCTAGGGGTACCATAACAAATTACCACAAACTGGGTGGCTTAAAATAAGAGAAAATTATTCTCTCAGTTCTAGAAGCCTCAAGTCTGAAATCAAGGTGTCAGCAGAGCCACACTCCTGGAGGTGCAAAGGGAAAATCCTTGCTTTTTGCAGCTTCTGGGGGCAGTCAGCATTCCTTGGCTTTCTTGACTTGTGGCCACAGCACTCCAATCTCAGCCTCTATCTTCACATTGCCATCTCCTCTGTCTGTCTGTGTCTTAACTTCTTCTGTATATTACAAACACACTTATCATTGAATTTAGGAATCACACAAGTAATCCAGGATGATCTACTCTCAAGAACCTGAACTTCATTCATCTGCAAATACCCGTTTTCCAAGTAAGATAACATTCACAGGTTCCAGGGATTTGGACATAGATATATCTTTTGAGAGGCCACCATTCTACCTACTAAAGGTGGAAATCCTGAGAATCAGATGGTGTCATCAGCACAATAATGGGACACCCCATTATTACCAAAGATGTCCATGTCCTACTTCTCTGAACCTGTGACTATATTACCTTACATGGCAAAAGGGACTTTACAAATGTTACTAAGTTAAGGATCATGATATGAGAATATTATCCAGGATTATCCTGATAGGCTCAATGTAATCACAAGGACTGTGAAAGAGGGAACCAGGAGAGACAGAGTAATTTGGAGATGATTTGCAGTTTGGCTTTAAAGATGGAGAAAGATGGAGAAAGAGAACATGGCTTTAAAGATGGAGAAAGAGGTCCTGAGATAAGGAATTCAGTTGGTCTCTAGAAGATGGAAAAGGTAAGGAAATAGATCCTCCTGTAGAGTCTCCTAAAGGAATGCAGCCTTACTGACACCTTGATTTTAGACAAGTCTGAGACCCATTTCAGACTTCTGAATTCCAGAACTTTAGTATAATAAAGTTGTGTAGTTTTAAGCTAGTAGCATTGTGGTAATTTGTTACAGCAGCAATAGGAAACCAATACCAATGGAAATTCTAGAGTTTTTTTATTATTATTATTCCTTTGACAACTTTATCTGTAGACTAGACACAATGAGGAAATAATTGATGAACTTGATGACAGGAACTACTGAAAATTAAATAATTAAATGCATGGGAAAAAAGAACAGATCATCCAAAAATTAGGGAATAAAACCAAACAGTCTAATATACATGGACTTGTATCTCCAGAATAAGAAGACAGCAAGAACCAAAGAAATATTTGAAGAGGTAATGATCAAGAATTGTCTGAAGTAAATTGAAGGCAAAAACAGAAACAAAAAGCAAAAAAAAAAAACCAGACCAAAGAATCTCAGAAAACTCTAAGCAATATAAACAAAAATTTTAAAAACACAGCTATGAAAATTGTAGTCAAACTGCTGAAATTCAAGTTTAAAGAGAAAAATCTTGATGTAGAAGAGGAAAAAGGAAACATTACATAGGGAGGAAGATAAGAATCACACCAGACTTCTTTTTAGAAACTATGCAGTTCAGCAGATGATGTAACATCTTCAAAGTAATAAAACAAGCACAACAATAAACTGATAATGATATATCCAGCAAAAATAGCTTTCAGAATAAAGATAAAATAAAAACTTTCTCAGACCAACAAAAGCTTAGGGAATTCATTGCCAGCAGACCTGCAACTAACCTATTGAAAGTTCTTTAGGCACAAGAAATATGATACCAGATAGAAAATTACATCTGTGTGAAAGAATGAAGAGCATAGAAATGGTAAAAATATGGTTAAGTATAAAAGATGTTTTAAATTTTGAATTCCTTTAAAATATAATTGTCTAAAACTATAATAGTAACAATATATTATGGGGTTGATAATACACACAGAAGTAAAAACTGTAACAACAATAGCACTAAGGTTGGAAGAAAGGAAATAGAAGTATATGTGGTAAAGCTACTACACTCTATGTAAAGTGATACATTTGGAAGTAAACTGTGATAAGTTAAAGATGTTTAAATCCTAGAGAAACCACTAATAAGCCAATTTTGAAAATAAATATAATAATGAAAAATATTTAGTTCAAAAGTAGGCACTAAAAGAGGAAAGGAAAAACAAGGAACCAATGGGACAAGTAGAAAACATTTAGCAAGATGGTATATTTAAACCCAAACATATCAATACTTACATTAAATACATCTGGAATTAGCACTCCAATTAAAGCCTAACATTGTCAGGTTGGACAAACAAGTAAAATGCAATTATATGTTGTCTACAATAAATCTACTTATAAAGACAAAGGAAAAAGTAAAAGGATGGAAAAATTATACTATTAATTAAGGGAAGCTGCAGTGCTTATATTAATATTAGCTAAAGTAGTATTCAGAATAAGGTATATTAACATCAACATTATGTAATTATAAAAGGGTCAATTCATTAAAAAGACATAATATTGCTACATGTATATGCACCCAATAAAACTCCAAAATAAAGCAAAATCTATAGAACTGAAAGGAGAAATAGACAAATATACAATTACAGTTGGAGACTTCGGACACACCTCTATTACTAATTAACAGGACAAGTAGACACAAAAAATTAGTTGATGAGTGATAGAAGATCTGAATAATATTATAAACTTAATTGACTGTTTTAGTGTGCTTGGGCTGCTATAACAAAATGCCAGCCATAGGCTACAGGTCTTAAATTACAGAATTTTTTTTTATCACGTTTGTGGAGGTTGTAAGTGTGAGATCAGGTGCCAGCATGTTTGAGTTCTGGTGAGGGTTATCTTTCCAGCTTTTAGATGGCCACTTTCTCTCTGTGCTCTCACCTAGGGTAGAGTTGGGGAGTGGGGAGCCGAGAGAGAGAGAGAGGATCTTCCCCTTAGAAGTACAACAATCCCATCATGAGGATTCCCATCCTCATGACTTCACCTAGCTATAATTACTGTGCAAATGCCCCATCTTCAAACCACATTACATTGGTAGTTAGGGTTTTAACACATGACATTCAGTGATGACAGAAACATTCAGTCCATAATATTCCACCCCTGGCCCCCCAAAATTTATGTTCTTATTGTATGCAAAGTACATTTATTTCATCCCAACAGCCTCAAAAGTCTGAATTTATGCCAGCATCAACTCTAAAGTCTAAAGTCCATAGTCTTATCGAAATATCATTTGAATCAAGTATGAGTGAGACTCAAGGTACAATTCATCCTGAAGCAAAATTCCTCTTCAGATTCAGCTCTGAATCTGTGAAACCAAACAAGTCATGTACTTCTAAAATGGCGAGCCAGCCATAGGAAAGACCTTTCTATTACAAGAGAGAAAAATAGGAAAGAAAAGGATGATTAGTCCCAAACAAATCTAAAACCTAGTAAGATACATTCCATCAGATCTTAAGGCTCAAGAATCATTCTCTTTGACTTGATTCTCTATCTTCCAGACCCACTGGGGTCCTATCTTCAAAACCCATGGGGGCAGAGATCCTGTATTCATGGCCCTTCCAGGCACCCTGTCCCCAGCGTTCTTCAAGGTGTCCTGATCCTTCAGCACAACAAAGTGGTCCTGGCCTCACAGCTTCAAGAAAGAGGGCATCTGACTTATTGAAAACAAGATGGTGGCTCTGTTAATTTCTGAATTACCTTTAGGGTCATTTTTCCTCTTATTGAAGGATAGCACATGTTCACAGCCAAAAGACTCTTTCATCTTTTCCCCCACAAATCCTGATGAGTCTAATAACCTTCCTTCCTTTAGTCCTTTCTGCATCTCCTTCAGTTTAAACTGGCAATGTTGCTGCTTATATAGTCCCATAAGCTCTTCATTGAATGACAGTCCAGGCACACCCTTGGTGTTCTCTTCTGAATACTTTTTCATTTTTTTGCAATATACGTAGGCTGAAACTGTTCCAAATCTTCAAATTCAGGTTCCTTTTTGCTTAACAATTCCTTCTTCAACTTATCCTTTAACAATCCCTTCTTCAACTGTCTCTTATCAGGTTTTAGTATAAGCAGTCAGGTGGAAGCAAGCCACTTCTTAAACATTTGCTTAGACATATCCTCAACTAAATATCCAATATCATCATTTGCAAGATCTACCTTCCACAAACACTAGAACCCAAACATAATTCAGCCAAATTCTTTTCCATATTATAACAAAGATCGCCTTTCTTCCAGTTTCCAAAAATATGTTTCTCATTTCATCTGAGAGCTCATCAGAATTGCTCTTAACATCCATATTTCTAGCATGCACCTCAAAATACTTCCAGCCTCTATTCATTACCCAATTCCAGAGCCACTTCCACATGTTTAGGTATTTGTTATGACAGAACTACAAACACTTTTCAGTACCAAAATATGTATTGGTATGAATTATCCAGAGAAACAGAATAGAAGATAAAGATATAGATGAAGATGTAAATATAGATATATATTTATTAGAAGAAATTGACTCACATGGTTATGGAAGCTAGAAATTTTCAGGATCTACAGTCATCTAGCAGGAGGACCAAGAAAGCCAGTGAGATACTTCTTCTCTGAGTCCAGTGGGTAAGGACCAGGAGAGCCAATGGTATAAGTTTCAGTCTGAGTTCAAAGATCTGAGAACCTGTAGATCCAAAGATGTAAGTTCTAGCACAAGTTCTAGGGCAAAGCCAGGGAACAATCAATGTCCCAGCTGGAAGACAGTCAAGCAAAGAGTGACTTCTATTTTTTTCTTCTTTTTGTTCTATGCAGGCCTTCAATGGATTGCACGAAGCCCAACCATACTGGGGAAGGCAATCTACTTCACTCAGTCTACACAATAACTCCCTTCTTTTTCTGCTGATTCAGAGGCATGTTCAAAGTGTCCAGGTGGCACTCTTATCTTGCAGTTCAATGGAATCATTGTTGTGTCTCTTGGTGGAACCATTTCTCCATTTGGAACTAAGACTTCTAGGCCAGCAGAGAACAGGGTCATAGGAACAAGGAAAAAAAAGTTTTGCTAGTGGGTCATTAGCAAATTGTGAATGTGAATGGAATGTAATTGTGAATGGTGCAACTCTCACTTTTCACCCATTGATTCCTGTATATCATACAGAACTATCTATAAACTAGGTCTGAGTAATCTTTTCTCCTATCAATTGATCATAGGTGCTATAGTTTGAGTGTACCCTCAGAATTAATGTGTTAGAAATTTGGTTCTTGGTGCAACAGTGTTGGGAGGTAGGGACTTTAAAAAGTCATTGTGGCTGGGTGCAGTGCCTCATGCCTATAATCCCAGCACTTTGGGAGGTCAAGGAGGAAAGATTGCTTGAGTGCAGGAGTTTGAGATCAGCCTGGGCTATGTGGCAAAACCCCATCTCTACAAGAAATAAAAAATTAGCCAGGCATGGTGGTGCACGCCTGTAGTTCCAGCTACTCAGGAGGCTGAGGTGGGAGAATTGTTTGAGCCCAAGAAGTTGAGGTCACAGTGAGCCAAGATCACACCACTGCACTCCAGCCTGGGTGATAGAGTGAGACCCTGTCTCAGAAAGAAGAAGAAAGAAGAAAGAAGAAGAAGAAGAAAGAAGAAAGAAGAAGAAGACATCATTGGGTCCTTAAATGGGATTAATGTCACTCTTGAAGGACTCAGTTAATTCTCTGGGGAATGAGTTCTCACTGTCATGGAACTTGATTCATTACCACAAGATTGGGCTGGGGGTATTATAAACTGAGGCCACTCCTCATGTTTTGATCATTTCACACACACCCACTTCTCCTTCCACTTCTCCATCATGTTATAATGCAGTATGAAAAGCCCTCACTGGAAGCTGCCACCATGCTTTTGAACCTTCCAGCCTCTAAGGCTGTAAGCCAAATAAGCTTCTACTCTTTATAAATTACCCAGTCTGCTTGATTCCGGTATAGCAACAGAAAATGTACTAAGATGATAGGGAGCTCCTCATGAGGCCATAAGTGCAGACTGAGGGAGAGAAGGCAGTGTAACAGGAGTTGAAACCATTGGCATTTAGACCACTTCTTTGTGTAACTTACTTGTGCCTTTGGGGCTTTCTTAGGTCCTATCACATATATACCACTTCCATTTGAAGTGGTATATGCCCAAACTTATGGCTTGGTGAGTCAAAACACCATGATGGGCAGCTCAGGTTGCACCGTAACTTTGTAGCCCATGATTAAGCAGTCAGTCTCTATTAAGGCCTTGTAGTAGGCCATCAGCTGTTCCTTAAAAAAAAAAAAAATAGTTATGTGCAGAGGATGGCAGAGCTTTATTCCAAAATCCTAAAGGACTATGCCTAAATTTACTTATAGGAGCCTGGCAGAGGCTCCAAATAGCTTCCCTACCTGCCACTAACATTTTAAGCACCATTGGGTCTGTTGGATGATATGATGCAAGAGCCAAAGCAGCTTGCACAGCAGCCTGGACCTGTTGTAGAGCCTTCCCCTGTTCTAGGTTCCACTTAAAATTAGCAGCTTTTCAGGTTACTTAGCAAATGGTCTGGAGTAACATACCCAAATGAGGAATATGTTGACTCCAAAATCCAAAGAGGTCCATTAAGCATTGTTCTTATTTTTTTGGCAGTGGTGGGGGGTGAGGGGGTTGTCACCCTTAGGCATTTTACTGAGATAGAAAGTCTTTCCATTTTTTGTCTCATTTATTTCCCACCTTCTGAAATGCAAATGACTTAAGTCTAGAGTAGTTGCTACTTCTTGCTCACTACTTCCAAACAGCATAATGTCACTAATATGACAAACCAGTATAATATCCTTTTGAAGAGAAAGATGATCAAGATCCATGTGAACTAAATTATGGTGTAAGGCTGGAGAGTTGATCTACTTCTGAGGTAGAATAGTGAAGGTATATTACTGGCCTTTCCAGCTGAAGGCAAACTGCTTCTGATGGTTTTTATTGACAGGTATGAAGGAAAAGCATTTGCCAGATCAATAGCTGCATACCAGGTACCAAGGGATGTGTTAGTTTGCTCAAGCAATGAAATGCAGCAATTGGAGTCACCTCCTGGTTAAGCTTACTTAACTGCTATTCTCCAAGATCCATCTGTTCTATGCACAGGCCAAATAAGAGAGTTGAGTGGGGAGTAGTAATCATCACCCCTGCATCTTTCAAGTCCTTGATGGCAGCACTAATCTCTGCAATTCCTCCAAAAATGCAGCATTCCTTTTGGTTTGCTATTTTCCTCTGTAGAGGCAGTTCTAGTGGCTGCTCCCACTAGGTCTTTCCCACTACAGTAGTCCTTACTGTGCAGGTAAGGGAACCAATGAGGGGATTCCAACAGCTGCTGAATGTATCTATTGCAATTATGCATTCTAGAACTGGAGAAATAATCACAGGATGTGTTCAGGTACCCATCGGGCCCACTGTGAGATAAACTGGAGCCAAAGCTTCACTAATCACCTGACCTCTATAAGCCCCTACTCTGACTGGTAGACCACAGTGATGTGTTGAGTCTCCTGGAATTACTGTCAGTTCAGAGCCAGTGTCCAGTAATCTCTGAAAGTTCAAATTATTTGTTTTGTTTTTTTTCCCAATGCACAGTACCATTAAAAAGGCATAAAGCTCTTTGTGGAATTCTGGGAGGAATATTAACAGTGTAAATATTTGTCCACGTACAGGGGTCCTTCCTCAAGGGGATCCAGCCTTCCCTTCATTCAGGGTATTCTGAGTCTGTAAAGTGGTTCATGTCTGGAAGTGATTGTGAGTGAGGAGCCATAGTTCTGTTTTCATGATAAACTATTTCCCCTCCTCCATGACGCCAGCTTTCACTGGGCTCATTAACACCATTTCCTTCCCTGGCCCCTGCAGCCCCAAGAGTACTAATAGCTCCCTGATGTTGCTAGTCCCTGGGTGCCTCACTATCCTTTGTTGGTTTTCTTATCATGGCTCTGACATAGTCTCTTCACAAATCAGTTCTACTCTTCAGAATATGCTGTGTTTCTTCTGTGTTTCTTGCCAGAACCCCTTGACTGATCCACTCTTACTTGCTTGTGTTTTAAATTAAAGTCTATTTCTGCTTTCCTGTTTCTCTTCTCTACCTCTCAGACAATTAATCTGGAGCCTTAACTGGTGACAGTCTAATGATATTTCTGCTTCATTTTGGCTTGGATTATTTATCTTGCAGGAATTAAAAGAATTAAAAGGCAAGGAATAAGCTATTGCATCTGGTGCTTCCTACAGTTAAAAAAAAAAAAAAAAAAAAAAGAAAAGAAAAGAAAAGCACAACGCCTAATGGGGCTCTTTGGATTTTGGAGGCAACATATTCCCCAACTGGGTGTGTAACTCCAGCCCATTTGCCAAGTAACTCATCCTACCAAACATATTATATAGTTAGCTTTTTTATAGAGCTTTCTCTGACTTTTCCCTCCACTCCCAAGCAGGTTTAAATGTTTCCTTCTCTTTGCTAGCAGTTATTACATATTCCTTCATCATAATACTTATCACATTGTTCTGTGACTGTTTATATACACCTCTCTCCACTAGACTATAATTCCTGTGGGACTGTGTCCTATTTATCTTTCTACCCCAGCATCTAACACATGCATAGTCCATAGCAGTTATTCAGTAAGCTTATGATAAATGAGTTAGACAGGGAAGCTAGATTCCTCTATAATCCAGGTACACTCTAAAGGTAAATCCACTATCAATCAACAAGTCTATAAATTGCCAGTGTTCGATGCCAAAAAAGTTTTCTCCAATATTAGTTGGAAACACACATGCATTTGAAACTTTCCAGTCTTTTTGGCTCATCCATATTCCTTAACAATACCTTAGTTGAACCCTCCACCCAGCATAGGACCACAGAAACACACATTTACAGAGTTTAAGTACAAGAATCTCCTATACACACACATGGACATTGTCATACTCCCCAGCCCAGGTAAATCAAAGGGAAGCATTCTTTTCTCCAGCTTCTCCAACCTGGAAACACAAGCAGAGGCAGTGAAATTCCATACCTAATACAATTTATCCTCTCTTGCCTATTTTCTGTAAGCTAACTTTGGAATCTTAAGGTTTTAAGATAGATCCTAAATACTAAACACCTCTATGAAAATGCTATTTTAAAGAGTTTTGCAAGGTTACACTCTGGGAGGCTTCAGTTCATGTGCCTTTAGCTTCCACAAAACCTATGTCAATCTGTTGTTTTCTACTCCATATGGTCTGGAAAATAACTCCTCCCTTTTCCACTGCAGGAAGCTAACTCTACAGCAGAAGCAGTGAGTCACAAGGACAAGAACCAAATGATATGGACGACCCCATCACAACAACTCAAGCTGGTGTAAACATTCTCACATGGCATGAGAATGAAACATAATGCAGTGCTCCCTCTCCCCAGACCTGGGTCACATTCCTCTATGGATTAAATGCAATAGCAGTTAGGTTTTAATTGCATTCCTTTGAGCAATGTCATTTATTTTACCTGTTGTTTACCATTAAATTTATGTCCTGGAAGATGTTGATAAAACTACAAGAAGGAAAGTATCCTTTTGCTATGGTTTGAATAGCAAACCAAAATTTGTGTTGAAATTTTATCCCAAATGTGGCAGAGAATTAGTCCATTCTCATGCTGCTAATAAGGACATACCCAAGACTCGGTAATTGATAAAGGAAAGATGTTTAATTGACTCACAGTTCAGCATGGTTGGGGAGGCCTCAGAAAACTTACAATCATGGTGGAAGGGGAACCAAACACGTCCTCCTTCACATGGTGGCAAGAGAGACAAGTGCAGAGAAAAGGAGGGGAAAGCCCCTTATAAAATCATCAACTCTCATGAGAACTCACTCACTATCATCAGAACAGCATGGAGGTAACCGCCCCCATGATTCAATTACCTCCCACTAAGTCCTTCCCATGACCCATGGGGATTATAGGATACCTGAGAACTTTGACATGTTTCTGACATGCCCTGAAAACAGCTGCCACATTGCCTCAGTGATTAACATTCGGCTCCTCATCACATATGCAAATTTCAGCAGCCGGCTTGAATTTCTCCCAAGAAAATGGGTTTTTCTTTTCTGTCACATAATCAGGCTGCAAATTTTCCAAACTTTTATGCTCTGCTTCCTCTTGAACACCTTGCCACTTAGAAATTGCTTCTGTCAGATTCCCTAAATCATCTCTCTCAAGTTTAAAGTTTCACAGATCTCTAGGGCAGGGGCAAAATGCCGCCAGTCTCTTTGCATAGCAAGAGTGACATTTACTCCAGTTTCCAACAAGTTCCTCATCTCCATCTGAGACCACCTCAGCCTGGACTTTATTGCCCATATCACTATCAGCATTTTAGTCAAAGCCATTCGACAAGTCTCTAGGAAGTTCCAAACTTTCCCACTTCTTCCTGCCTTCTTAGCCCTCCAAGTCTCTAAGAGTTTCCAAACTTTCCCACATTTTCCTGTCTTCTGAGCCCTCCAAATGGTTTCAACCTCTGCCTGTTACCCAGTTCCAAAGTTACTTCCACATTTTCAGGTACCTTTACAGCAGCGCCCCACTCTCTGTGGTACCAATTTACTGTATTAGTCCCTTCTCCCACCTCTATAAGGACATATCTGAGACTGGGTAATTTATAAAGGAAGGAGGTTTAATTGACTCACAGTTCCACAGGGCGGGGGAGGCCTCAAGAAACTTACAATCATGGTGGAAGGGGAAGCAAACACGTCCTTCTTCACATGGCAGCAGGAGATGTGCAGAGAGAAGTGGGGGAAAGCCCCTTCTAAAACCATCAGATCTCATGAGATCTCATCAGATCTCATAAGAACTCACTCAATATCATAAGAACATGATATGGAGGTAACCGCTGCCATGATTCAATTACCTCCCATGGGGTTTTTTCCATGACATGCAGGGATTATGGGAGCTACAATTCAGTATGAGATTTAGGTGCGGACACAGCCAAAACCATATCAGGCAGTATTGAGAAGTGAAGCATTTAAGAGGTGATTGGGTCATGAGGGCTCTGCCCTCATGAATGACTTAGTCTATTCACAGATTAATGAAATAGTGAGTTATCATTGGAAGGGAACTGTGGCTATATAGGAAAAGGAAGAAAAACCTAAGCTAGCATGTTAGCGCACTCAGCCCCCTTGCCACGTGATGCTCTGCACTGCCTCAGGACTCTGCAGCATCCCCATTAGCAAGAAAATGTGGCATATATACACCACGGAATACTATGCAGCCATAAAAAATGATGAGTTCATATCCTTTGTAGGGACATGGATGAAATTGGAAATCATCATTCTCAGTAAACTATCACAAGGACAAAAAACCAAACACCGCATGTTCTCACTCATAGGTGGGAATTGAACAATGAGAACACATGGACACAGGAAGGGGAACATCACACTCTGGGGACTGTTGTGGGGTAGGGGGAAGGGGGGAGGGATAGCATTAGAAGATATACCTAATGCTAAATGACGAGTTAATGGGTGCAGCACACCAGCATGGCACATGTATACATATGTAACTAACCTGCATATTGTGCACATGTACCCTAAAACTTAAAGTATAATAATAATAAAATAAAATAAAATAAAAAAACAAAAAAACAAAAAAAAAAGAATCAAAACTTAAAAAAAAAAAAAAAGGCTCTTACCAGATGCAGCTGCTGAACTCTGGACCTCTCATCTCCCATAACTGTAGGAAATAAATTCCTTTTCTTTATAAATTAGCCAGTTTCAAGTATTCTGTTATAGCAAGAGAAAACAAACTGAGACACCTTTCTTATTGCCAACTACTCCCTTTTAGCTTGTTATACTCTAGCCACCCTGAACTGGTTAGTGAGGAATTATTTAAAGCCCTCAAATGTGACATTGGTCTCCTTTGCATATACAGATGGCTTATGCCAAGAAAATTCTCCTAAACCAGAAGGTGAATAGAAACTAGTTTAGAGAAATGCAATAACAGTCAAATTTAAATTATCCTCAAGGGGGAGTAGCATAGGAGATGTCTTGATAGTATGACAGACAGCACTGGAATTAAATTGAATGCAATGAATTGAGTGAAGAGGGATGATAAAGTGTGAGGAACCCTGCTCAACACCTTCCTTTTAGTATCCTATCTCATTTAATCCATTTAATCATTTAATAATTTAATCTATGGCTGGTAGGTATGATTAACCTCGTTTTACAAATAAGGAAACTGGGACTCAAAAGGGCAAGTAAGGGACTGAAGCTTTACTGTATTTTAACTAAATGAACCTTTGAGTTAATAGGATTGGTGATGGGGATGGGAGGGTTTCTGCTCCAAACAAATTAATCTTCTCATTGCTTTCATCATCCTGCCCCACCCAAACATGTATTCTACTTTTTCATTTCTGTGCCTTTGCTTCTTTCCTCCCTGAAATGTCCTTCCCACTGCCGTCTCTGCTAATCTAAACCTCAGATCCCAGCTCCAATTCCATTTCTTCTGAGAAGGCTTATCAGATTGTTCTGTGCACAGAGAATATACCCTTGCTGAACTTCCATGGCCTTTTTTTCTATGTTTTGCTCACATGACACTTGTCATATTTTAGCTATTTGTCATATTTTAGCTATCTTTCCAAGTGTGTGTCTTTTCTTTCCAACTAGCTTATAAGCAGCCCAAGACCAGGTACAGTACTTGATCTTGATTTTAGCAGCCCCTGTGTTTCCCATCATTCTTTTTTTTTTCAGAGCAGGAGTGAAAGTTTATTTAAAAGCTTTAGAACAGTAAGGAAAGGAAGGAAAAGTAAAGTAAAGTACAACTTGCGGGAGGGCCAAGTGGGCAACTTGAGAAACCAAGTGCACTTCTTGAGAAACCAATTGGGCCTCATCATTATTTATTTTGTTTTATTTTTATTTTGAGACAGAATCTCACTCTGTCACCCAGGCGTGCAATGGCACAATCGCGGCTCACTGCAACCTCTGCTTCCTGGGTTCTAGTGATTCTCATGCCTGTCTCCCCAGTAGCTGGGACTACAGGCACCTGGCTAGTTTTTGTGTTTTTAGTAGAGACAGGGTTTCCATGTTACTCAAGGTGGTCTGGAACTCCTGGGCTCAGGTGATCCACCCACCTCAGCCTCCCAAAGTACTGGGATTACAGGCATGAGCCACATGCCCGGCACACCCCATCATTCTTAAAGATAATTCTGAGCACCCAGTATAATACCAACATATAATACACATTTAGGGAGAAAGGAGTGAACAGTTTTTAGAAGAAACATTTCAAAACATTTCAGAACACGTCTACTGAAGAAACATTTCAAAACATGTAGAAATGTTAGATGTTGTGGGAAGATCAATAAGTGTCTTGTACATGTATATGTCCTATGATTCTGTAGTATTGCTAGGTTCTCATTTGCCATAGAAAAAGTAAATCTATTTACTAAAATTATTAACTAAATAAAATTAAGAAATAACTAAATTCTTCTATAAGAGTTTTCAATAGCAACAGCTGAAACAAACACACAAAAAGGACAAATCACCATAACCTGAGTTAACTGGATTATCCTATTTTGTACATAAGCTTCCCTTACATGGCTTCATTTTTCCTTGAAAGAGAATGTACCTTTCTAAAAAGGTGTTGAGAGTCAAAGGGCATTCGCCTGGGACCCAACAAGCTACTTGGATGGCCCTGTTTTCCAACCACAAGCCATAGAAAGAGTGATAGAGTTGAGGAAGGTAGTCAGAAACAGTCAAAATCTCAACTGAGTGAGAAAAATAAACTTAAAGAAAACCCAGGCCAAACAAACAGCTTCACTGAATGACCCACTCCTTCAAGGGAATTGCCCATTCTTTAGAATCATAAATCCTTTTTCTTTCTTTCCTTTGTCATGTTACATGATTAAGTCTTCTAGTTAACAAGAAAAACATCCAACTTACTTATGTTCAATAAATTCCCATGAAAAGGACAAAAACTGGAAATGTTTTCAAGCTGAGAAGCATTAAAAAAAAAAATCAAAAGCATCCATCAAACCATTCTGAACCAAATTAAGGCATTTAGCACCATCTTGGCAACCTGAGCCATATGCCCTACCCTGTCCACCCAGCAAGGACCATCTAAGAAACCACAGGAAGCTCATCCCAGCCTCCTTCAGCAACATTCCTCAGTCTCAGATCAGGCCCAACCCAGCCTGGGATATCCCAGACACAGACCTCAGAATGTAACCTACATATGTTCTTCAGTATTAGGTTATTTCACTATCAAAGCCTCTTTTACGAAAAATTTAGGGGTAAAAAATAGGGAAGAAAAAAATCACCTATAATTATACTTTTTAAGCTAGCAAAAGATTAATAAAAGTCTAGACAGATTTCTCCCTCGAAACCTTCCCTCACCTCCCAACCAATTCTCATCTCACCAAATGGCATTACCATCCACCAATGAGGCTAGAAAGGCTGCATATATTTAGCAGTCAGCCTATATTTCTCTATATATATCCAATTAACCAGAATTTTTCTAATAGCTTTCACATTTATTCTTATAACATCTCCACTTCATCAAATATTTAAAGGGGTTAACATTTTGAAAATATTAAACCAATGTTCTTTTTTGTTGTTCTTTAACTATTATAGCCCCAGAGAATTACCCCTATGGCAAGGAGAGGATTATGACAAAGAGGAAGTGCCAACAAGACAGGAAAACACAAAAAGCTTACTTGTCTAGCCTCTATGGCAAGCTTGTCCAGTCCATGGCCTACCAGCCACATGTAGCCCAGGACAGCTTTGAATGAGGCCCAACACAAATTTGTAAACTTTCTTAAAACATTATGAGAGTTTTTTGCAATTTTTTTTAAAGCTCATCAGCTATTGCTAGTGTTCGTGTACTTTATGTGTGGCCCAAGACAATTCTTCTTCTTCCAGTGTGGCTTAGGGAAGCCAAAAGATTGGACACCCCTATTCTAGAGAATTGTGAAGGAGAGAGAAACAGGGGAAGCATGTAGTATAAGAAAAAATAAACCTCTGGGGTTGTAAGCCATCAAGATTGGAAAATACTTTGTCACAGCAGCAGTACCTAGCCTATCCTGACTGCTATTCTGGGTTACACCACACCCAGAAAGCCCTGATAAGCAGATTGATGCTATCTCCAGCATCACCTAGAGGCATTCCAAGCTGACAATCTCTTGCTCTGCCTTTTCTCTATCTCCTGTAGAGGTGTCATAATGCTCAAATCACTCATAAGAAGTTAGAATAGGTATGGCTCCATGTTTGGAAGAAAACAAGAGTATGGTTTTCAAGATTTATGTGAATCTTAGGTTATAACTTGAGGTTCAAGTCTCACCATTCCCAGGTATACTCCGTGCCTCATCAATTCACATCTCCCTGCCTTCTGTCCCCTCCCAACCACTACCAATCATCAGCAGGAAATGTACCTGTGTAAACCATGTCTAGCCTTCCTTTCACCTGTCCTCATTTCTGTTCTTACTTCCCATCAGAGATCTAGATTTAATAATTCTTGTTTTCTTCTCTCACAGTCAACATTTTAGAAAACATGACCAGTATCTCCTACAAAAGAAGCCTGATTTTAATCATTGTTTTCTACCAATGACCAGAAAATATACTTCTTGTGGCCTCCATAATATCACTGTAACATCTCTTACCCTACAAATTGTCTTTTCAAAAGCAGGACATGGTGTGTCCTAAAATTTAAGCTTCCAATGTAAACAGTTACATTTTCATTGAGATGAATAGGTTTGCCCTTTCCACTGTTGCAAATAAACCGAAAACAGTACACTACTCCCTGGCTCACCATCATTAACTTTTAACAGACAATCCACCTCGTATTAGCAACGATTGAAGGAGCCATGCAAAGATTGAACAATGAGACAGGCTTTGCAGCAATCCCTCAAGGGCAAGGAGACTTTGCAGACAAGGTACCTAATTCCAAGAGTAAGAGAAACTAAATCATTCTTTCAGGTTCTTCTTGGCTTTTTGGGTTCTGTGGTTCTGTGATAATGCAACAAAGCTATTCTAAAGCCACTTAAGTCAGGTTAAGAGATTTTTTAGTTTAAAATTCTATACTTACTGGAATTGTTAGAATTTAGGGCCCACAAAATTAAAAAAAAAAAAAACTCCAATACCCTTGTATGTCAGAGGATAATTAAATATATTTGCTCATAGGAAGAGAGAGAAATAAAGTTTTTTTATTTAAAACAAAAGCAAAAATGTAATTGATTCAAAGTAAATTGAATGACTGATCTTTAGAAAAAAATTATTTCTTAAAAAAATAAACATTTAGTGGCACTTACTATCTGGCATTCTTCTAAGTCTTACAACCACTCTGTGAGGCTGATAGACCCATTTTATGGATTGCAAAAAGGAAACACAGAGAAGTAATTTTCTCAAGGTTATACAGGTAGTAATTGAAAAACGCCAGGATTCAACCCAGGAATCTGGTCCTAGACTCTGTGATTTTACTCACTCCGCTGCCACTTAACTAAGAGATCTTGAATAGAAATTTCAGGTTGACTAGAGATTTCTGGAAATCTTCGAAGAATTTCGGGACCCAGAATGACTTTTAGGCATATCTCCTGATAATAACCCACCAAGAGATCATTCAACCTGTGCTAGAACATCTCCACCAGTAAGAAACTCACTATGTATCAAGACGACTCATTGAACAAATGTAGTTATTAGTAAGTTCTTGATTCTGTTATGATAAAATCTATTTTTGTTACAATAAAATATTTTCTTGTTGCATCATCTATTAATTTTGATTCTATTCTTTTGAGTATGTAGTATAAATCTAAGCTCTCATTCTCATGTCTTCCCTTCAAATATATGAAGAATCATATATCATATATAGTTTCAAGAATCATTACGAGCCTCATCACTGTCCCCTAAACATAATCTAGTTTGTCTGCATCACTCTTAAAGTGGGCTGCATATAACTGAACAAAGTACTAAAGCATGGTCTGATCAAGGCTGGATATGACAATACCTTCAATTTCCTTAACTCCAAGTTTCTTAACAATATTATGTACAAGAGACACTAACTCTTTTGAGTGAGTCATATCACATCAACAATTCATATTGAACTATCACTTATTGAACTATACATAAAATACAGTATAGTTCCAAAAGAGTACAGAAAACATATGTACAGTGTGAAGAACTAGAATAGAAATCAACATCTGTGTATTCACAACTCAACTTTAGAAATATAACACTAAAGTGGTAGAAACCTCCACATACATCTCTCTGTTTGAGGCTCTCTTCCCGTTCCCCAAAGTAAGCATTAGATGGTATTTTGTGTTCATTTCCATGTGTTTTTCATTATGGTTTTACCAAACATGTGTCCTTAAACAATAAATTGCTTAATTTTACCTTAAAAATATTTTATAAATGGAGTCATAATGTGTTTATTCTTGTTTCACTCAATATTATGTTATGGAGAGTCATCCTTTAAGTTCATTTTATACCTTTCACTGCCAAGAGGAATCTATCCAAATTTTTCCCATAGGGTGAATAAAATTTTACATTTATCTCTGTTACATAGAATATACCCATCTCTTTCATCTTAGAAAACATCTTACTGAGTAAGAAAAACCTTAAATTGGTATAGGGGTACTGCCCACACTGTAACCCCTGGATCCCTTCAAACACAGAAGCCCCAAGTCTTAAAGGAATTGCTTGAGAAGTAACTACGCTTCCATGATTTAAACTACATACTGAACAAAATGGTCTTTAATTAAAAATAAAAAAGTCAGGTGCCTAATAAATTTAAAGCTGATTTTGATTAAGCTCAAAGGCAAATTATAATTTTATATTATTTACCACAGGTGTAAAGTATGCACATTTAGTTTTTTTGAGCAAATAGATTTCTTTAATTAACATTTTCAAGTGATCTTAGCACAGAAAGTCATTATGCCACTTGAAAATAAGGAACTTTTAATTATTATGCAGGATATTTTTAGTTATCCTCCATAATAATTAAAGGACTATAATTCTTGGTAAATATAGAAGCAACACTAAATTCCTAGAATCAGATAATGTGGAAACTCTGAAAATCCGTTTAATTCTCTCTCTCTCTCTCCATCTCTGTCTCGCTCTCTGTTTCTCTCTTCTCTCTCTTCTCTCTCTCTCTCTCTCTCTCTCTCTCACACACACACACACACACACAGAAACATAATACATTATAGTAAATTACGGTAAAGGACTATAATTCTTGATAAATATGGAGGCAACACTAAATTCCTAGAATCAGATAACATGGAAACTCAAACTCCATGTTTAATTATATCTGTCTCTCTCTCTGTGTCTTTCTCTCTTTCTCTTCTCCCCCACCACCACGCACACAAACACACACTCCTGAAACTCATAAGTAGATGAAACAATACCCCGAGGTACCCTTTAAAAATCAGAACTGCTAGTCTGCAGGAAAAGAGCTTAATTTCCTCTCTTTTCCCCTTCTAATCTTCTAGTGGAGGTGCCAAATAGCAGCAGAAACATCAAAAGGCAAATGAAAAGGAGGACAGAGGAGAAAAGATCCTGGTTCATGCCTGTCATTTCCATGCAATCTTTTATCACACATTGACTAGGCATAATAGGGAGGTGTCAATAAGTAATGACCTTAGGACAGTAGAGGGGATCACTTACCTATCATTTTAGATCAAGGAGCCCCTGTTATCCAATAGTGGGAGAATAAACACTGATAAACACACCTCACTACTGTATTTATTTAAAAGCAAAGCTAATATACAGCAGGGAGAATGTTCAAAAACCATTATCCTGTCCTGTCCTACTAAGAATAACATGTCTACAATCCCTATTAATTTTTTCAACCAATAGATAGGTACATATTCAACTTGAATGAAAAGCCAACAAATCATCTAGAAATATTCTTATTTTCCACCAATGTTTTGATGAAACCTGATGGTTTAGGTATGTAGAAAAATACATTAGTCAGGATAGGCAACTGCAATAACAAACCACCCCTAAAAACCTCACTGGCTTGTACCAAAAATAGTTTACTGCGGCTCACACTACTTGCCAGGGCTCTTATCAATTGTCGGGTCAAAAAGATCTCTTCCCCAATTATTCAGGATGATGAAGGCTCTACCATATGGCCTTCTTGGTCAATAGAGAAAAGTAAAAGATAGATGGAGACGTTTGTGTGGACTCTTCTAAGATTCATATCAGAGGCAATATATGTCATTTCGAGCCCATTGACCACAACTAACCACATGACTCAACCCAACTGCAAGAATTCTAGGAAATTTGGGGGAACATTACTGTCTTTGCCATAAAACAGTATCCAAATCCAGACTTTATGATGGTAGAAAGTTAGCAATCTCTCATTTTTTTAACCTCCTTTCTCTACCAGAGAAACATTCATGAAAACCCAATAAGAAAGGCAAATTTTCAATAGCCCAGGAAACTAGCAGTGTTCATCAATGATCTATCTGAATGCAATAAAAAATTCTACTAGTCAAAAGGCAGAAAACCTGTAAACAATTTGCAGAGGCATGTGGACAAAAATACATTAGAATAAATTCATCCATTTAGTCCGGGTTTTTGCGTTTAAAGTTTGCCTTGGCTGGCCTTGGTTGATTCAGAGTTGCTGCCAAAAGCAGCCTGGGATATTTCATTACCTCCTCAATCAGCTACTCATACCAGTCTCTGCAGTTCAATTTAACTGTGAGTACAGATAGCTGGGAAGAGCTTTAGAGGCTTGACATTTCCTCTTAGTGAGAAATTTAGTAGGATAAGAAAATTTCTTGTTAGGCAATCAGAATTCACATGAAATAAAAGACTGGAAAACACTATAAAATAGGTAAGGAGCTATGCATATCAACCAGTCTCCCAGCTTATGATATGAGGTTCCTAGCAGCAAGTGATGGGAAGCTGGCACAAATCAAAGAGAATCCAGCAACCTTTTATAACTGATATTGTCCTAATAAGTAGTTTGGGATATAAGCAATGACCTCTGAGTAATTGTTTTAAAAAAGGTACTGAATGGAGGAAGAGAGTAGAACAATATTGACCATCTTAGAAAACAGCTGTAATGCAACACTAAGCTCTATTTGCCCAGATTAGTAGGAACCTTTACTATCGGTTCCCTAGAGATCCCCATTCCTGAGTCTAAAAACCCTCCAGGATGCTAACTCATCTTATAGAACAGTCTTGCCTGCTTCTCCTTGATTCTGATACCAGAAATAAGATGCATTTCCTTGAGGATAGAAGATCTACTATAGTTTCTGAAATCTGGTTGAGAGGCGGGGACTCCCTTCTCTCCAGACCCTACTCGTGGAATACAGGGTGTACCTTGGTGCCACTGAAAATACTGCGGCCTCAGTTGCCCTTTCCCTGGCTCATGGGGCAAGGGTGTGATAAAAGAAAAACTTCAGCCAAATTAAACTTAAAGGAGTTTAATTGAGCAATGAATGATTCATGATTCGGGCAGCCCCCAGAATCACAGCAGATTCACAGACTCCAGGGGTGTCTCCTGGTCAGAAAAAATGTATAGACAAAAATGTTAAAGTGACACACAGGAATCAGAAGTGAGGTACACAAACAGCGAGATTGGCTACAGCTCCACGTTTGCCTTATTTGAACCCATGCCTATTAAGAGGGAGACATTTCTAATTATTGCCTCTTGTATTCTAAACCATGGAAAAAGGACCTAACAAATTATGTCCTTCTAGAAGAGTGAAGGCCTCCTGGCAATGTTCTCTTTAATCCATGATGTGGGTTAAGAGGAGTTTTGACTGATTATGAGTCAACATATGTACCACTAAAGTTTCTCACCCACCTTGGGCCTTCATCTTTTATCTATTAAAGTATAAGTTTATTTATGTATAAGGCTGGCTTCCCGCAAAATCCTTCACAAATAAAATTATACCCTATAAGTGCACATTATAGACCCACTTTTCATTTCTGTTGCTCATAGAGGCATAAACAAGGTAAAAATATTCAAAGGTAAGAGTCTCATGATAGTAGAAGTTTTGACCTGTGATCTTGGGAAAAGCTGTTCACATCAAGGATGCCATCTTTTTCTGGGGAGAAACTTTCCTGGTTAGTTTTACCTTAAGAGTTCCAATGGGTGTACAGTTCCAGGAGTATGGAGGGACCCTTCTCAGTTGTGAGATTATAAATCCAAGGTTCAAGGCTCCAAAGTTTTACTGTAGTGTGGATGGCAAAGATAGTCTTTCTCTGATGTTTTCAGAAGATCCAATCTACGGGTTCCCGATTGTGAAGGTCTTTACCTGGTGAAAATACATGGTAGCACAATAATCTACTGTTACATCAGCCCTCTTGCATGGGAAAGCTTTTATACAACCAGAAAACATGCAGTGAAAATGACAATTGAATGAAATCTCTTTATAAATGTTTAAATGACACATTAGGTAGCCAAATGTACCTGAAGCTTTGATTGCCTTCCCAGGAATATGAAACCAAACATTGGTTTTAAAATATTTCCACTATCTATAAGTCACCACATCAGTATATTCTATTTGGATTATTTTATCTTTTCCGTGATGAGTCATGGAATGCAGAACCTTTAGTAACAAGAGCTTTAAGGACTCGGGAAGGACTAGGAGGCTGTCCTGGTTCTTCATGAGTCCATGCTTAACATCAGACTCATGTCCTCTTGAATACCAGTTGTTTCTCCAATTTAGATGCATAGCACTGATAACTAATGGGTTATCATAGGTAATTTGACTTAGACCAGGGAGTTCATTTAAATTGTATATTTAAACAATTTTAGTATTGGCTGATTTAGCATGATAATCTAGAGCTTGATTTTGAAAGGTTTGTTAAATACCAAATGTTTAAAACATTGGATATTACCAAATAGAATCTTAGGTTACCATAAGTCATTCATTTAGCCAAAATGATAACTCAAAAATTTTTAAAAGGACAAAACATTCTGATAAAGAGGAGACTCAGCTTTCCAAGCAAGACCCAATGAAGATAGCATTAGGACAATTGACTCTGTCTCCTTTCTTTCCTTCCCTCCACTTTTCCCTTTTGTAGCTTACTTAAAAGGTAAACTAAAACCTTTTATCTTTTAATATTACATAAAAATCCTTTTTAAAAGAGAAAAACAAATTTTATGTTCCCATTAGTGTATTTTTTATGTTAAAGCTAGTTTTTAATGACATTTTATAAATCTATTGTTTTAATTAGTTTGACCATAAGGTAAGATTTTCATAAACCTTTTATAACCCTTTACAACTTTTTTTCTCAGAGCAGAACAATGTTCTAAGAAAACTCTGTTGTTCTTCTATTCCAATGTCCAATTTATAGAAAAAAAATGAATAATGCCATTTTAACTTTAGCCAATACATTCACACATAGAATCTCTTGTAATTAATTTTTATAAACCATTCACAACTTGTTCTAACCTTTAGCTTTTTAATTCAAAATAAATCTTTAACCCTCTAACCTAGACAAAAATTTACATTCCCATACTTTCTTATAATCTCTCACAAAAACACATTTTATTCCCTTTACAAACCTTGTATGTAAACTTATTTTTTCAGTAGTCTCAATTACATATTAAAATGTTAACTCTTAGCATCTTTTACTTTTGGTGAAAACCTTGGTAAGGGATTTTAATTATGTACTAGGTGTGGAGCCTACGACCCAAACAGAAATGCAGATAAGATCTGAGCCTTTCCAGTGTCTAACTCCATGTGTCCCAGGCCTTACCCAGCTGTAGAGTAGGCAAGCTGTACAGTTAAGAGTCATAGTGGCATTTTATGAAGCATTTAGGAAGCCTAATCACCTTTAAATTGTAAAACGGGGGAAGAGCCAAGATGGCCGAATAGGAACAGCTCCAGTCTACAGCTCCCAGCATGAGCGACGCAGAAGACGGGTGATTTCTGCATTTCCATCTGAGGTACAGGGTTCATCTCACTAGGGAGTGCCAGACAGTGGTCGCAGGTCAGTGGGTGCACGCACCGTGCGCGAGCCGAAGCAGGGTGACGCATTGCCTCACTTGGGAAGCGCAAGGGGTCAGGGAGTTCCCTTTCCGAGTCAAAGAAAGGGGTGACGGACGCACCTGGAAAATCGGGCCACTTCCACCCGAATACTGCGCTTTTCCGACGGGCTTAAAAAACGGCGCACCACGAGATTATATCCGGCACCTGGCTTGGAGGGTCCTACGCCCACGGAGTCTCACTGATTGATAGCACAGCAGTCTGAGATCAAACTGCAAGGCGGCAGCGAGGCTGGGGGAGGGGCGCCCGCCATTGCCCAGGCTTGCTTAGGAAGCTCCAACTGGGTGGAGCCCACCACAGCTCAAGGAGGCCTGCCTGCCTCTGTAGGCTCCACCTCTGGGGGCAGGGCACAGACAAACAAAAAGACAGCAGTAACCTCTGCAGACTTAAATGTCCCTGTCTGACAGCTTTGAAGAGAGCAGTGGTTCTCCCAGCACGCAGCTGGAGATCTGAGAACGGGCAGACTGCCTCCTCAAGTGGGTCCCTGACCCCTGACCCCCAAGCAGCCTAACTGGGAGGCACCCCCCAGCAGGGGCACACTGACACCTCACAGGGCAGGGTATTCCAACAGACCTGCAGCTGAGGGTCCTGTCTGTTAGAAGGAAAACTAACAAACAGAAAGGACATCCACACCAAAAATCCATCTGTACATCACCATCATCAAAGACCAAAAGTAGATAAAACCACAAAGATGGGGAAAAAACAGAAAAGAAAAACTGGAAACTCTAAAAAGCAGAGCGCCTCTCCTCCTCCAAAGAAACGCAGTTCCTCACCAGCAACAGAACAAAGCTGGATGGAGAATGACTTTGACGAGCTGAGAGAAGAAGTCTTCAGACGATCAAATTACTCTGAGCTACGGGAGGACATTCAAACCAAAGGCAAAGAAGTTGAAAACTTTGAAAAAAATTTAGAAGAATGTATAACTAGAATAACCAATACAGAGAAGTGCTTAAAGGAGCTGATGGAGCTGAAAACCAAGGCTCGAGAACTACGTGAAGAATGCAGAAGCCTCAGGAGCTGATGCAATCAACTGGAAGAAAGGGTATCAGTAATGGAAGATGAAATGAATGAAATGAAGCAATAAGGGAAGTTTAGAGAAAAAAGAAAAGAAAAGAGCAAAGCCTCCAAGAAATATGGGACTATGTGAAAAGACCAAATCTACGTCTGATTGGTGTACCTGAAAGTGATGGGGAGAATGGAACCAAGTTGGAAAACACTCTGCAGGATATTATCCAAGAGAACTTCCCCAATCTAGCAAGGCAGGCCAACGTTCAGATTCAGGAAATACAGAGAACGCCACAAAGATACTCCTCAAGAAGAGCAACTCCAAGACACATAATTGTCAGATTCACCAAAGTTGAAATGAAGGAAAAAATGTTAAGGGCGGCCAGAGAGAAAGGTCTGGTTACCCTCAAAGGGAAGCCCATCAGACTAACAGTGGATATCTCGGCAGAAACCCTACAAGCCAGAAGAGAGTGGGGGCCAATATTCAACATTCTTAAAGAAAAGAATTTTCAACCCAGAATTTCATATCCAGCCAAAATAAGCTTCATAAGCGAAGGAGAAATAAAATACTTTACAGACAAGCAAATGCTGAGAGATTTTGTCACCACCAGGCCTGCCCTAAAAGAGCTCCTGAAGGAAGCACTAAACATGGAAAGGAACAACTGGTACCACCCGCTGCAAAATAATGCCAAAATGTAAAGACCATCGAGACTAGGAAGAAACTGCATCAACTAACGAGCAAAATAACCAGCTAACATCATAATGACAGGATCAAATTCACACATAACAATATTAACTTTAAATGTAAATGGACTAAATGCTCCAATTAAAAGACACAGACAGGCAAATTGGATAAAGAGTCAAGACCCATCAGTGTGCTATATTCAGGAAACCCATCTCACGTGCAGAGACACACATAGGCTCAAAATAAAAGGATGGAGGAAGATCTACCAAGCAAATGGAAAACAAAAAAAGGCAGGGGTTGCAATCCTAGTCTCTGATAAAACAGACTTTAAACCAACAAAGATCAAAAGAGACAAAGAAGGCCATTACATAATGGTAAAGGGATCAATTCAACAAGAAGAGCTAACTATCCTAAATATATATGCACCCAATACAGGAGCACCCAGATTCATAAAGCAAGTCCTGAGTGACCTACAAAGAGACTTAGACTCCACACATTAATAATGGGAGACTTTAACACCCCACTGTCAACATTAGACAGATCAACGACAGAAAGTCAACAAGGATACCCAGGAATTGAACTCGGCTCTGCACCAAGCGGACCTAATAGACATCTACAGAACTCTCCACCCCAAATCAACAGAATATACATTTTTTTCAGCACCACACCACACCTATTCCAAAATTGACCACACAGTTGGAAGTAAAGCTCTCCCCAGCAAATGTAAAAGAACAGAGATTATAACAAACTATCTCTCAGACCACAGTGCAATCAAACTAGAACTCAGGATTAAGAATCTCACTCAAAACCGCTCAACTACATGGAAACTGAACAACCTGCTCCTGAATGACTACTGGGTACATAACGAAATGAAGGCAGAAATAAAGATGTTCTTTGAGGCCAACGAGAACAAAGACACAACATACCAGAATCTCTGGGACGCATTCAAAGCAGTGTGTAGAGGGAAATTTATAGCACTAAATGCCCACAAGAGAAAGCAGGAAAGATCCAAAATTGACACCCTAACATCACAATTAAAAGAACTAGAAAAGCAAGAGCAAACATATTCAAAAGCTAGCAGAAGGCAAGAAATAACTAAAATCAGAGCAGAACTGAAGGAAATAGAGACACAAAAAACCCTTCAAAAAAATTAATGAATCCAGGAGCTGGTTTTTTGAAAGGATCAAGAAAATTGATAGACCGCTAGCAAGACTAATAAAGAAAAAAAGAGAGAAGAATCAAATAGACGCAATAAAAAATGATAAAGGGGATATCACCACCGATCCCACAGAAATACAAATTACCATCAGAGAATACTACAAACACCTCTACGCAAATAAACTAGAAAATCTAGAAGAAATGGATAAATTCCTCGACACATACACTCTCCCAAGACTAAACCAGGAAGAAGTTGAATCTCTGAATAGACCAATAACAGGAGCTGAAATTGTGGCAATAATCAATAGCTTACCAACCAAAAAGAGTCCAAGACCAGATGGATTCACAGCTGAATTCTACTAGAGGTACAAGGAGGAGCTGGTACCATTCCTTCTGAAACTATTCCAATCAATAGAAAAAGAGGGAGTCCTCCCTAACTCATTTTATGGGGCCAGCATCATTCTGATACCAAAGCTGGGCAGAGACACAACCAAAAAAGAGAATTTTAGACCAATATCCTCGATGAACATTGATGCAAAAATCCTCAATAAAATACTGGCAAAACGAATCCAGCAGCACATCAAAAAGCTTATCCACCATGATCAAGTGGGCTTCATCCCTGGGATGCAAGGCTAGTTCAATATACGCAAATCAATAAATGTAATCCAGCATATAAACAGAGCCAAAGACAAAAACCACATGATTATCTCAATAGATGCAGAAAAAGCCATTGACAAAATTCAACAACGCTTCATGCTAAAAACTCTCAATAAATTAGGTATTGATGGGACCTATTTCAAAATAATAAGAGCTATCTATGACAAACCCACAGCCAATATCATACTGAATGGGCAAAAACTGGAAGCATTCCCTTTGAAAACTGGCACAAGACAGGGATGCCCTCTCTCACCACTCCTATTCAACATAGTGTTGGAAGTTCTGGCCAGGGCAATTAGGCAGGAGAAGGAAATAAAGGGTATTCAATTAAGAAAAGAGGAAGTCAAATTGTCCCTGTTGGCAGACGACATGATTGTATATCTAGAAAACCCCACTGTCTCAGCCCAAAATCTCCTTAAGCTGATAAGCAATTTCAGCAAAGTCTCAGGATACAAAATCAATGTACAAAAATCACAAGCATTCTTATACACCAACAACAGACAAACAGAGAGCCAAATCATGAGTTAACTCCCATTCACAATTGCTTCAAAGAGAATAAAATACCTAGGAACCCAACTTACAAGGGATGTGAAGGACCTCTTCAAGGAGAACTACAAACCACTGAGGATACAAACAAATGGAAGAACATTCCATGCTCATGGGTAGGAAGAATCAATATGGTGAAAATGGCCATACTGCCCTAGGTAATTTACAGATTCAATGCCATCCCCATCAAGCTACCAATGACTTTCTTCACAGAATTGGAAAAAACTACTTTAAAGTTCATATGGAACCAAAAAAAAGCCCACATTGCCAAGTCAATCCTAAGCCAAAAGAACAAAGCTGGAGGCATCACACTACCTGACTTCAAACTATACTACAAGGCTACAGTAACCAAAACAGCATGGTACTGGTACCAAAACAGAGATATAGATCAATGGAACAGAACAGAGCCCTCAGAAATAACGCCGCATATCTACAACTATCTGATCTTTGACAAACCTCAGAAAAACAAGCAATGGGGAAAGGATTCCCTATTTAATAAATGGTGCTGGGAAAACTGGCTAGCCATATGTAGAAAGCTGAAACTGGATCCCTTCCTTACACCTTATACAAAAATCAATTCAAGATGGATTAAAGACTTAAATGCTAGACCTAAAACCATAAAAACCCTAGAAGAAAACCTAGGCATTACCATTCAGGGCATAGGCACGGGCAAGGACTTCATGTCTAAAATACCAAAAGCAATGGCAACAAAAGACAAAATTGACAAATGGGATCCAATTAAAATAAAGAGCTTCTGCACAGCAAAAGAAACTACCATCAGAGTGAATAGGCAACCTACAGAATGGGAGAAAATTTTTGCAACCTACTCATCTGACAAAGGGCTAATATCCAGAATCTACAATGAACTCAAACAAATTTACAAGAAAAAAACAAACAACCCCATCAA